>NC_000016.10:18789516-19092546 GCF_000001405.40 Homo sapiens
GTATCATCGGCAACATTTTCCAAATTGCTGAAAATCAGCAGATTCCATACTATTAACATTGTACTTTAAATCAGTTCACTCTCACCTACAATGAACACATCTAACTATTAAACATCCATCTTCGTGCCATTTAAAATTGCGTCCAACAGCAAGAGCCACAGTGGCAAACAGAAACATTTTACATGCTTGTCAGACTGGACTCTCTTCTAATGGGCAAGAACCGCACACTACACTGAAGTTTTGAAAGACCAAAGTGCCAATAGTAAAGAGTAGAACTTAAATTCCTTAAGTTCAAAAGTGTCTAAAGAAAAACTCTGCGGCCCAGAAGATCCAAGTTGGCACCCAGCAAACTGCCAACCCCGGCACGATGCAGCTTTTACCTGCTGGGTGGCCTCAGCCTCCCAAGCTCCCAGCGCGGCCGCAGCAGTGAGAAGCTGCACGGCCCACCAGCCCCGATGTTGCCCGCCGCCCGGGGCCAAGGCGCTGCCTCAGCACTAAAGGGAGATCCAGACGCTGCGGCCCGAACCGGAGCTACCGCCTAGCTGGGCAGTCGAAGGCTCCGGCTCCCGCCCGCGCTGCGGCCTGCACCCCACGGACCGGGATCCCCTGAGTGCACAGTCTGGGGCGCCCAGCCATGGCTCTCCTCTATGCCTGTCCAGGAACCGGCAAGGCCAGGATCCTCGGCCAAGGTGGGGACCAGCCTCCTCGCAGGACACCGAGACCGAACCTTAGATTGCAGGATGGCGCCGATGGCAGACGGATGAAATTGGAGCTCTCAGAGAGTGCTACTCACCGGCGCGGAAAGATGGCGGAAAGAGGACGGGAGGGGAGAGCGCACGGAGTTATGGGAAGCGGGAGAGCTATCGCGAGACTTTCAAAGGCCCGGCAAAAACAAGGACCGCCTAGGAGAAGGACGAGGGTGAGGGAAAGGCGGAGCCTCCTCAGGGGTTGGCAGTTGAGAGTCGATGGAATCGACCTCCCCCGGTGGGGCCTGGGAGAGGCAAGGTGAGCCGTTCGTTGGAGGTTCGTCTACATTTTTTTTTTTTTTTTGAGACAGTTTCGCTCTTGTAGCCCAGACTGGAGTGCAGTGGCGTGATCTCGGCTCACTGCAACCTGCGCCTCCCGGGTTCAAGTGATTCTCCTGCCTCAGCCTCCTGAGTAGCTGGAACTACAGAGATGCGCCACCACGCCCGGCTAATTTTTGTATTTTTAGTAGAGACGAGGTTTCCCCAAGTTGGCGAAGATGTTCTTGATCTCCTGACCTTGCGATCCGCCCGCCTCGGCCTCCGAAAGTGCTGGGATTACAGGCGGGAGCCACCGCGCGGGCCTTAATTTTTATTTTAGTTTACTTTTGATAAGGAGTCTCGCTCTGTCGCCCAGGCTGGAGTCCAGTGGCGCGATCTTGGCGCACTGCAGCCTCCGCCTCCCGGGTTCAAGCGGTTCTCCTGCCCCAGCCTCCAGAGTACCTGGGATTACAGGCGCCCGCCATCACACCCGGCTAATTTTTGTATTTTTAGTAGAGACGGGGTTTCACCATGTTGGCCAGGCTCGTCTCAAACCCCTGACATCAAGTGATCTGCCCACCTCGGCCTCCCAAAGTGTTGGGATTACAGGCGTGAGCCACCACACCCGGCTAAAAATTTTTTTTTAATTAAAAAGTTAAGTTCAGACAAAAGTCACCCAACAGTTGTTTACTGAGCACCCATGTACCAGACGCTAGCAAGGCCCTGGGGTACGAGGTGCCCACACAGGCACCATTTAGCCAGTTCTGTCCCTGCCGGTTCTTCCAGCTTCGTCCTCTCTCACACGTCAATGCCCCTGCTCATTCGTTGCATTTCCTCTTCCCTCTAGCATGGTACCTGGATATTTGCTAAATAAAACTTAAACCTTTTATTTTTGTTCTTTTTTAAAATTTTTCCTAGACAGGGTCCTGCTCTGTTGCCCAGGCTAGAGTGCAGGGGTACACTCAGCTCAATGCAACCTCAAACTCATGGACTCCAGTGAACCTCCTGCCCAGGTCTCCCAAAGTGGTGGGATTACAGGTAGGGTACCTTATAGACATCTAAGGACCACACAGGGTACTTCATTAATCAGATTCATAAATCCAATCATAAATATTATATTGGCTAAGTTATAAAGAAAGTGAGACATGAAGATTCCAGCTTTTTTTATTTTTTCCCCTTTTACACAAAACAAAGTAGAAGAAATAATACAGGATTAAAACTGCAAAAGTAGTTAATCAGTAGAATATGTATGCACACAAAAAATCCAGATAGGAAGACAGGCTTATTTACAATGAAAGTAAGGTAAAATTAACGTAGTTTTCTTATGAAATAATAAAAAAAAATCAAACATATGCTACAATGGGCACCACTGTTCACAGCAATATTAAAGAGGAGAAAACAACACTTATTTAATAGGGACAGATATACCACAAGGTACAACATCAGTGCAATAAATTCACAAAACTATATTACAGCTAGTTAATCAGTTTAAGAATTGTTCCCGTCAGTCACATTTTTTGGCCCTCAGAAGTTCATTCCTAAAGATTTCAACTACTCTAAATTTCTAGCTACCAAGAAGTTAAGAATGATTATAAGAAGCTTTCCAAGGAGTTATGAAATCTTTGTAGACCAGAGGCCAACTATCATCACCTCAAGTCTGCTCTCACCAACAGCCCTTGTATTTTTCAGGGAGAAATCTCTAGGAAAAAAGTCAGACACCAGTGTAGTCACTATCTCCCATGTCAAACCTAGGGGACTAAAATGGTCAGTATTACCATAAAATGATAATTTTGAGGTTTACCTTAAAAGGCTTATTCTGGTCTCAAAAATTAGATAAGATTATCTTCTACTGAAATGAATATTGACTAAACATAGAAGACTGCTGTCCTTTTGCCAGTCTTAGAGTGAAAGTCATAGACATGAGTCTTAACCTACTGTATACTATAGCTAATGTCAGCTGAAAATCTGAAATTAAAAGCATGCTAGAAATCCTAAATGCAATCTTTTGGAAGTCTGCTATTAAAAAGCCTTTAAGGATTTACTAACTTCGAGTCTAAGTGCAAGGGGACGAAAGCTTAAGCCTGTCAGACATTCCTTTTCTTGGACAAAAAGATCAAAGTTTCCTACAAATTGCTAAGCTTTGCACAAGGGAGAAGCCTACATGTACTAGTGCATGGAATCAGTTTCATCTTATTTCATGGGGACTCTTCTCCCACTGGAAAGAAACAGAATGAGGAATGAATCTTAATTGGTCTCTTCATCAGAAGTGGTAAACTTGGTCTCTATATTCACGAAGTCAGACAGTTTTTTAAGCAGACTGTGGAAGCAGACAGAACCAGCTTCCTGTAGCCACAGACCACTACATGGTATCTAAGCTAAAGCAAAGATGAACAATTATCCAGATTCACTTGAACTGTACTAAAGGGCAAGGTTCACCACTACAAAAAGGAAGTTGTCTAAAAGCAAGAATTCAATTAACGCTGGGTAAGAAAAGTCAAAACACTAATGAGTTGTCCATGAAGCCAACTGCTAAGAACGCGCTCAACTATACGCGACATGAAGACACTATGCACGAAGCCTTACTTGGCGAGTCTGAATTTCTATTAACTAAGGGCAGAGTGAGGGAGAACAAAGAGCTACTTCCGTAACATTTTAGTATCCAGATAGTACAGCAGAAACGGTTCCCGGGGCAATGGGTGCTGCATTAATCACACTGATTAAAGCAGATGAATCATTCGTTTTTCTTTTCTTTTTGTTTGAGAAGTTTGTTTATCTCCCTCTTGGCCATTCCAATGTACTTCAAAATGATTCCATGTTGGTTTAGTCCAGGAAGCAATAGTAAGGAAGTCACTTAAAATAAAAAAAAACCCAACATTAAGGAGGCAGCAATTAACCTGCTAAAGGTTATTACTTTTTTTTTTTTTTTTTGAGACAAAGTTTCACTTTTGTTGCCCAGGCTGGAGTGCAATGGCGCAATCTTGGCTCACCGCAACCTCCGCCTCCCAGGTTCAAGCGATTCTCCTGCCTCAGCTACCCAAGTAGCTGGGATTACAGGCATGCGCCACTACGCCTGACTAATTTTGTATTTTTAGTAGAGATGGGGTTTCTCCATGTTAGTCAGGCTGGTCTCGAACTCCCAATCTCAGGTGATCCGCCTGCTTCAGCCTCCCAGAGTGCTGGGATTACGGGCGTGAGCCACCACACCCAGCGACAAGTCTCACTCTTTTTGCCCAGGCTGGAGTGCAATGGCACAATCTCGGTTCACTGCAACCTCCACCTCCCAGGTTCAAGCGATTCTCCTGCCTCACCCTACCAAGTAGAGTAGCTGGGATTACAGGTGCCTGCCGCCACGCCTGGCTAATTTTTGTATTTTTAGTACACATGTGATTTCGCAATGTTGGCCAGGCGGTCTCCAACTCCTGACCTCAGGTGATCAGAGGTTATTACGTGTGTATGGCGGTGGTGGGTGGGGGGGGTGGTGAGTGCAGTGGTGTGATCTCAGCTCACTGTAACCTCCACCTCCTGGGTTCAGGTGATTCTCATGCCTCAGCCTCCTAGGTAGCTGGGACTACAGGTGTGTACCACCACATCCAACTAATTTTTGTATTTTTAGTAGAGACAGGGTTTCGCCATGTTGGCTAGGCTGGTCTCAAACTCCCGGCCTCAAGTGATCCACCTGCCTCAGCCTCCCAAAGTGCTGGGATTACAGGCTGAGCCACCGTGACCAGCCAGTTATTACATTTTAAAGAAGGCAGGTTCCTACATTATTAAACTCAGTAATGGGAGGAAGCAACATGAAATCAATTACTTCCACTGGGATGTATCCCCAGAAACTTCTGCTCTCATCCCCTCTTCCACCTCAGAAAATAATCATTGCTTATTTTTACCTCTTGCACATTACTTTCTACCTTGGTTATTGCATTGTTTTCACTTTCTATGAGACCATAATAATCTTTCCATATTCCCACAGTTCCTTTTCGGTGTCTAAAACTTAGGAAGTATTCAGCTGTTTACTGACGAAGTTACAGTTAAATTTCACTGGCCAGGATGTGCCTGTAGTTTTTCCTCAAAGACTTACCTATCAGGTAGGTGAGAAGCAGGTTGTGGACTTGTTGTCCCACCCAAGCAACCGCAGCAAGGGAAACGATCATGGTCATGAAGTACTAGCAATGAAAACAAGAATTTAATATCAAAACTTCATGTGACACCATAAATATATGTAATTTTTATTTGTCAATTAAAGAAGAATGTGTTTCAAAGTTCGGGAAATAATTTAGCTTTTATTATCACTTTTCTTTAAAAATTCTTAGATTTAAAAACCTATTCCATTGGATCTACTTTATAGAATTTGGATACATTTCTTCCTAGAATTACTGCAATTCTGTATGTAAATATTTTATGATATAAATTATACGATCTTTTCAGTTAATAACTTCACGGAACAGCCTCACGACGTGAAGCTTACAGATAAGAGAACAGATGAACAGATGCTTTCCTTTTTTTTTTTTTTTTTTGAGACAGAGTCTCATTCTGTCACAAAGGCTGGAGTGCAGTGGTGCAAACAGCTCACTGCGCAAACACAGCTCACTGCAGCCTCGACCTCCAGGGCTCAAGTGATCCTCAGCCTTCCATGTAGCTGGGATTATAGGCATTAGCCACTGTGCCCGGCCTAAACAGATGCTTTCTAAGTATATGTCTTTTACTATTATTTCAGTAAGAAAAATGAAACAGAAGAATTTTGTTTTATTAGAATAAAAAATTAAATGCAAAAATGTAATTTTTAACTTTAAAATGATTCAGTCTAATTAATACAGGTAAACATTTATGAATGTACTTAGGAATTAACCAATGAATAATTTTCAAATTATAGCTATTAAGACAAAAAGGCGAATTGACTCAAATCTTAAAATTTTACTGTACTTAAGTCAAAGCAAAAAAAGTACCATCTTAGGTTTTTCTTCCTTTAGTGTGAAGAGGCGTTTCCACCAACCCACAGCTCTGCGTCGAGTTTTTACTAGATTGCTGCAAATTTCATGGAATCTTTGCTGTTGTTCAGTGGTCCTAGAAAAGAAATTTGCCTTTTGCTATAAACAAATCGTTACAGTAGACAAAAACATGACACCCTGTTCAATTTAAGAGCTATCTTCTAAAGAAAATAAAAATAAAAACAATGTTTCACCATTATCTTATGTAGGTGAAAAAATCCTTCCACCATTAAGACACCTTTTATAGCACAGGAGTAAGTATTTACATAAACTATGTGTGTGAGAGAGAGAGTGTGTGTGTGTGTGCGTGTGATAAAGAAAGGATCATCTCTGGCTCTGAAGCCACATTTATTTAATGGTAGTAAAAGACTCATGACTTCTATGGGCCATAAAGAAATCAGTATAAATTTGATTTTGCTATTCCTAAATATTCTTTAGATCCTAGTAAATGCTGCACTATACCTACCAGAATCCCACCGAACAACTGTATTTGAACACTCCTTAGTAAGATACTAACTACTGGCATTTAACACATAACACCCCCAACTGGGCTTCATACATCTGATGACAAGGCAGCAATAAACAGCTCAAATCTAAATTCTTCTTTGTAAATTTATCCCTAGGGAGGGAAAATATAATCAACAAACAACACAGCAGTAAAAATCCAACAAGAGACCCTCCAAGAAAACCTTTTATATTTATAATGTTTTTCTTGGTTCTGATTTTTTTAATTGCCTTTGCACTGTCTTCGCTACACAGCTATAATGGCTGCTATTATTGCCCTGTGCTGAGGGATGTGTTGCCTTCTCTTCTCTAGCCCTCATCTCTGTAAAACTGCAGTGATAGATAAAGTACAAGGATTTCTGCTGAGCCCTGGAACTTCTTTTCAACAATGAGATGTTATTTCTTGCCCATGGTCAAGGCTAGATTGTGGCTATGCAAAAGAGTATTCTTTCTTCCTTGTAAGATCAAAAAATAAACAAAATCTGCTCTATCAATAACTGAGTCACATCACGAAACTATCAGTGGTTATTTCTGCAAACTTTCCTCTAGGAGTTATAAATTAGCAGACTGGAATGTTATCTGGCTAATAAGGCCAAGGTCAGTGATTTATTTCCTTTGCTAACTCTGTTATACTGCACATTCAGAAACTTGCCCAAAAGAGCCAACAACATTGATTCATTACTGCAAGTGAAAAACAATTTGGACAGTTCCTAACACTAATCCATTCTGCTGTTGGGGGAAACACCTTTAAATATTGTCAATTATATCATAATTTAAGCAAACTTTGAATTTGTTCTTAAAGATCCATAAGGTACACATTTAAAATTCTTATATTTACAGAATTATTTTGCAATTTGCTATCCTCTGAGATACAAACAACCAAAGGCACAAGTAGAATACTAACCAAATAAAATAAACAGCCAAGGATAGAATAGCAGCTGAGAAGAAAATATCTATTCCAACTTCTATTTTGGCTGATTATTTGAATCAAAACTCAACATGCTAGAGAAAGTTAAAATACTTTTAATATGATCCTTATCCACTTAACTATATCTGAGGAGTTCATAAGCAACCTCATGGTATAAATAGGCCGGGCACGGTGGCTCACGCCTGTAATCTCAGCACTTTGGGAGGCCGAGGCGGGCGGATCACAAGGTCAGGAGATCGAGACCATCCTGGCTAACATGGTGAAACCCCGTCTCTACTAAAAATAAAAAAAAAAAAAATTAGCCAGGTGTGGTGGTGGGCACCTGTAGTCCCAGCTACTCGGGAGGCTGAGGCAAGAGAATGGCATGAACCTGGGAGGTGGAGCATGCAGTGAGCCAAGAGCGTACTGCACTCCAGCCTGGGCAACAGAGCGAGCCTCCATCTCAAAAAAAAAAAAAAAAAAGAGAATGGTATAAATAAAATCAGCAACCCATGTGTATACAGCTTGAACCTCTTCGGAAACACTTGGTATTCACTTTGTTAACTGCCATTCCACTGCCTCAGTGTCTCAGTATCTCAGCCTTAACACAAGATCAATCTTAAAAGTCAAAATATTTCACAGTACTTTACAGGGCCTGCCACAGTAGGCATTTAATAAATAATTGCTAAATGAATGTGAATGAAAATCTGCCAGTTTCCTTTTCTGTATTCATTCAAAAATAATTTGTGAAGTTATTATACTATCCTAAATATCAATGGAAATGTAAAAATGTATATGTGCATTTACCATAAAAGAACTATGGAGTACAGAAAATTCATAGTTTATATTCAAATCAGTTACAATATTCTTCACATAAAAGCAATAAATCTAATGCTTAGGTGTCTGATGGTTAGACAATTATCTCTGCTTATTTACAGCATACTAATCACAGCCACCAAGTTCAGTAACTACACAAAAATGAGACTGCCAAATCATTATGCTACCTACCATTTATTGGAGCCAAAAATTCTAGGCGCTAGAATGGGAACAAGGTAGTCAGCCAAGCACAAAAACATAACAAAACAGGAAACGCCGGACAGAACAGATGGATCTAGATAGTAGATAATCCTGTTAAAAAAATTAATAAAGGTTAGAAAAACATAGTCATTATTATTCCTAACTAAACATGTCTAACTTAACTATTCACTTAACTATTCACCGCCTCTCAGAGATATTTGCCATTTTTCTTCTAATTTTCTCACAAGTGGCTTTCCAGAGGCTTTGTGACATGCTGATATCATAGCTGCAGTGGTTAAGTATATATCAATGGACAAAAGCTCTTTGGAGTTCTCAGCACTTTTTTAAGAGTTTAGGGAGGTGGGGGACTAGGGGAGGGATAGCATTAGGAGAAATACCTAATGTAGATGAAGGGTTGATGGGTGCAGCAAACCACCATGGCACATGTATATATACCTATGTAACAAACCTGTACATTCTACACATGTTTCCCAGAACTTAAAGTATAATAACAAAAAAAGAGTTTAAGTGTCTGGAGGACAAAAAGTTTGCGAGTCACTGATTTACTCAAGTGCTTTAGGTTACCAAGTTTACAGAAGTACTACAAATTCTGGAAACTAGAAGTGCTTATGAGAAACATTCTTTATGGGTTCTTTATGGGTTATATATTACAGAAGACTTAAGGCACTCCCACAAACAGAAGCTATATATTAAAAAGTCTTTATTAATAAGAAGCACAACCCATAGTAATCTAATAGCTCACTTACAGAAACACCAAAGAAACCACACCCATGATGGCAGGTGGAAACCAGGCTCTTTCCCATCGGAGGACTTTATCAGCCATCAGCATCACTTCTCCCCATCCTTGCAGCTGTTCTTCCAGACTTGCAGTCTCTGCAGCCTAAATACCACCGACATTTAAAGTGATCATTTTACCACTCTCAACATTTTTGTGGTTCATAGACTTCAATTATTTTAAAGCTCCAAATACAAAAAATAACCTCTTAACCAAATTGCCAATTTTAAACTAGTTGGTTTCTGAAAAACTGCAATTTCAAAGATGAAAATACAATGGGTTTTTTTGTTTTTTGTGTTTTTTTTTTTGAGACGGAGTCTCGCTCTGTCACCCAGGCTGGAGTGCAGTGGGGAGATCTCGGCTCACTGCAGCCTCCGCCTCCTGGGTTCAAGCGATTCTCCTACCTCATACTCCTGAGTAGTTGGGACTATAGGCGCCCGCCACCACGCCCGACTAATTTTTTGTAGAGACAGGGTTTCACCATGTTGGCCAGGCTGGTCTCAAACTCTGGACCTCAAGTGATCCACTCACCTCGTCTTCCCAAAGTGCTGGGATTACAGGTGTGAGCCACCAGGCCCAGCCTAAATATCCTTTAATGGTCACTTTTCTAGTCCAAGCACTGGGCTATTCTTTATATACATGATGTAACTTAATCCTTACAGAGAGCCACAAGGTAGGGATAATTAGACTCAATTTACAATTAAAGAAAGTGAGCTCAAAATGGTTTACTTTCTCAAAGTCATGCGGGGAATCGTGGCAGTGCCCAGAGTATTAATAAAATGAAATAACTTTTTTTAAGTTTGTTTATTTCAGATGGTTAGAATTGATCCGTTGTTTTTGTCATCTTATTGATTTAAACCCTTCTAAATCCATTAGGAAAGACTTTCCCTGAATAGCATTCAATTTCTAAAATAGCTCTTTGTGTAATGGAATCACTCAGATGTTGACATTCATTGGACAATTAAGGAAAACTACTTTCACCAAATTAAGGTGGCATTTTACGGTCAATATACCTCCTCAATACAGTGTTTCTTACCACTCAGGATGTCATTTTGATTATACTTCAAATTTCTCTGACTCTGAACAGCCGAAAGTGGGCCTCTAGGATGAGCTAATGTGGCAAAAGCCCTTAAAGCTGGTTTTGGTAAAGGAAGAAAAATTTAGAATAAGAAACTCAAGTGTCTCTATGTTATCAGGCTGGATGCAGTGGATCACGCCTGTAAACCCAGCACTTGGCGGGTCGGGGGGGATTGCTTGAGCCCAGGAGATCGGGACCAGCCTGGGCTGAGACCTTGTCTCTTTGTAAAAGTCATTCACTGGAAATCATGCAAATGACAGAACAAGGCACTTAATCTTAACAAAGACGCTCGCTATCTGTGCCACGCTGAGCACTAGTGTGATCTCAATATTTCTGACTTTATATTCCATGCTTAATACTAGTGAAAGAGACTACTATGTGTGGGCACTCTGCTGAGCATTCATATTTATACTTCAATTAATCTTCCTAACAACCCTTAAAAAAAGGTGTTATTACTGTCCCCATTTTACCAAGGAGGAAACAGATACAGAGGTTAACTGATCTGCATCCAAGAAATCCACGACCAAAGGCGTTGCTTTCCTTAGAGTTATATTGCTCTGCTGGAAGGAGAGTTGGGAAGCAGGAGCTCTAGCCCAGGATTTGTCATTTCAACAGGGCTTGAGCTACTTCTCTGTGCTTCAATTAATCCTCTTAAAAAGATCCACGCTGAGAACTAACTATGCTAGAAGGAGCGTGTGTTTAAAGGAACAAACCATGCATTTCTAAAAGCAAATATAAAATCACGCACAATCAAAACTGCCCTGAAGTCACGTCATTGGCCAGCGTCTGGGGTCTTGGAAGTTCAAAAGCCCCTAAGTAAATTCTTTGGTTCCGTTTTTCATTGCTGGTATGTGACCTACAGTCACCAGGGAAGGGCAACTGAGAATATGCAAGGATATTTCTCTTGTTTTTTGCCCACAAGGTGCGCTTAAATTCATAACAAATAAAAATGTGTCCGCCTATGATACCATCTCACTGCAGTTCCTTCGGATCCCTGCTTATTACTCTAAAGCTGTTTCCAGTAGTCCTGTGACCCCACCCCCGCCAGACTTCCAAATTCCAGACAAACGCCAAGACATCCCATTGTCTGTTCAGCTGGACCCCGCTCCCGGTTCCCCACGGTGAGCTCGCAGCCTCCCTGTCGTTTTAAGTTGTACCAGCTCTAAGATAAATTCTGGGCAGTAGCCCTTTGACCCTCCACCCTTGTCCAAGTTTTAGGGGGAAAAGAAGGCAGGCACATCCAGGTTAAGATCAAAGACGGGGAAAGCCGAATACGGCTGGGGCCTGAGCCGCGAAAGCGCTGGACAGGCCCCAGGAGGCCTTCTGCCCCCACCCGCACCCCAGGCTAGTGTCGCAGCCCCTCTGCCTCCCACTTCCTCCTCGACTCCTACTCGCGGTGATGAATCACGCGCCCTCCTCGCCCCGTCGCGCACCGTCCCCAGGAAAGGTAAGGGTTCGACACCCAGGAGTCACCCAAGAAGCCCGAGGGCCAGGCATCGTCGCCTGCCCAGGGAGAGAAGGGCCGGGCCCGCGGCGGGTGACAGGGACGAGGCCGCGGTGTTTGAGCCCACGGACGTCTGGAGGCCTCGCTCGGCTCCCGGGGGACAGGCAGCCAGGACTCACCAGCAGGTTGGTGCTGCGATTATCTCCCTCCGCCATCGTCTCGGGGATGCAGTCTCTACAAGCGCAGGCCACCTCCCCAACGAGTCCTCCAACCGAAACCCGCACACCAACCACAACCCGAGGGAACGCCCCGCAGGCTGCTTATATGGGTCGGCCGCCCTTCCCGACGGCCCCCGCGACGCTCGCTCCTCATTGGACAGACCGAGCTTACGCCTCAAGGAAGCCGGGCCAACCGAAGCTCAGCGCATGGCTTGAAATCGAGGTCAAAGGAGACAGAGGCAGCGCCGGGCCGAGGGGGAGGGGACACGGAGTGCCCAATCAGCGCCCAGGGACTGCGCGACGCCCCGCCCAGCGCTGTGGGAAGCGGTTCAACCGCCTCTGCAGGGGGCGCTGTCCCTCAGTGGTTCTCCGGCTCTTGCCGCTGCGGTGGCTTTGGGTCCCTCTTCGTCTGGCTTTCGCAGCCGAGGAGACTCTCTGGAAAATGGGCTACTCGAAGAGAGATGCTCCGTTGCCTCAGGCGGAGGGCGGGGACGCCGGGCCTGCGACACTTCATCTTTTCCTGGCCCCGAGGTGGCTGGGATCCGTTCCACCTTCGGCCCAGTTCCCCAGCCAGGCCCCTGAGCCGTTTAGCCCGGATTTGCGACCCGTGAGGTTTTGAGGACAAGTGAAAAGAGCTCTTTGTGTGGATTTTGCTGCAATGTTTCTCTCCTACCCAGTAGGAATGAGGCCTTAGCTTGCGCGGAAAAACCCAGGCCTGGTTTGAGAACGTGTGAAAATGCACCGCCTTCTAAGTGGCTTTATTATACGTGGATGTTTAAGTTACTTAAACTACAAGCTCCCTCTCCAAAAGGATTCTTTTTTTTTTTTTCTTTTTTTTTGAGACGGAGTCTCGCTATGTTGCCCAGCCTGGAGTGCAGTGGCGCGATCTTGCTCACTGCAAGCTCTGCCTCCCGGGTTCACGCCATTGTCCTGCCTCAGCCTTCCAAGTAGCTGGGACTACAGGCGTCCGCCAACACGCCTGGCTAATTTTTTGTATTTTTAGTAGAGACGTAGTTTCACCGTGTTAGGATGGTCTCGATCTCCTGACCTCGTGATCCGCCCGCCTCGGCCTCCCAAAGTGCTAGGATTACAGGCGTGAGCCACCGCGCCCGGCCAGAATTGTTTGTTTGTTTGTTTGAGACGAAGGAGTCTCGCGCTCCGTGGCCCCGGCTGAAGTGCAGTGGCGCGATCTCTGCTCACTGTAACCTCCATCTCCCGGGTTCAAGTGATCCTGGCGCGTCAGCCTCCCGAGTAGCTGGAATTACAGACGCCCGTCACTACGCCCGGCTAATTTTTGTATTTTAATAGAGACGGGGTTTCGCTATTTTGGCCAGGGTGGTCTGGACCTCCTGACCTCAAGATATCCGCCCGCCTTAGCCTGCCAAAGTGCTGGGATTACAGGCGTGAGCTACCGCGCCCGGCCAAAAGGATAGTTCTTGACACGACCTTTCTTCCATTAGAGGTCAAGCTAAGAAAATATGTAAACCCTCTCACAAGCAGTAGAATTCCTAGGCAGTTTAGGAACTGTGTTGAGGCACTTGTACATCTTTTCTATCCAGGATTTCAAATGCAGTAACAAGTGCTTTGATCTTTTTTTTTTTTTTTTTTTTTTTTTTTTCTTTTTTTCTTGAGACACAGCCTGGCTCTGTTGCCCAGGCTGTAGTGCAGTAGCCACCGCGCCCGGCCGATTTTTCATCGTTTGATACAAACAGAATCATGCCAAATGTCCGGATCAGATGTTTGTTTCAGGTGAATTAACTATAGTTTTAACTTCCAACCTTTTATCTTTTTTACAGGTTTTAACTTCCAATCTCATGGTCATTTGTATTCGGCCATTGAATTTAAATTTATTTTTAAAATGTTCCTTAAGTAACCACCAGGTTCTTAAATGTTCAAGGAAGTCATAAATGTGAGAGAACATAGCTGCAGACCACATACTGCCCCTAAGAGAGCTGGGCAAGGGCAGGAGCATTGTGAATTTCATGGAAGGGTGTCAATTTGCTGTGGGTCTTTCGGGGAAAGGGGAGTGAAGTATCTGAATCAGGGAGAAGCACTTGAAAAAAAGTCTTTGCAAGGGAAGCTGACTGTTCAATAAAGTGCCACTTTGGAGAATGTTGGGGTAAAGAAGTTGTAAAGGCAGGATACAGCCAGTTGACAGAGACGCTATTTGGAGAGATTTTAAAGCTATGGAGTCTGAGGAGCAGGTTCTTCTCCACGCCCCTAAAAAAAAAAAAATACAAATGGGGAGGCAGGGAAGATCCCTTGAGCCCAGGAAATAGAGGCTGCAGTGAGCTATGATTGCACCTATGCACTTAAGCTTGGGTGACAGAGCAAAAAACCTGTCTCAAAAAAAAAAAAAAAAAAAAAAGTCAAAAAGATCGAAGCAATCAGCAGCCACATAATTAGTGAATATGTTGAGCACTGGGTATGTGATCTTGCTAGACCCACAGTAATAGCCACTTCCAAAAGAGAGGGTATTTTATTAGGGTTTAAAACTGACATTTCTACTTTTGGGAAATCAGCTTTTGCTGCAGAATATGCTTCTTGTTTTCACCCAAGTTTTCCATGCACAACTTAAGACTTGTTAACACCAGCTTGTGAAATGAAGGTAGGTGAAAAAAACAGAAGCAACTGAAACAGCAGTTTCTCCACTTAGTATTTTTTGTTACTTAACAATGTATTCCCATACCTATTTCTAAATGCACAGCCCTGCTATATGGTCTCTCACTAAATTTCCGATTGGTCTAATTATTAAAAAACACCCACCCTTAACATAGCTTTCTTTAGAGCTTTGTTTTTGTCCTACAGAGACAGGATGTGATCTTTTGAAATGTGCCAGATGACTAAGCAGTTAACACAAATCTTACTAACTTCATTTAGCAGCAACAAATGCAATCTCCAAGATATAAAGCCAAGCTGGACATTTTCTATTTTTTTTCAGAGGTTTCACACTCCAAGGAATGCACCTATCTGTCAATAATGATCTACGGGAATTTTGTTTTTAAATACTGCCAAAATTAAGCTTTATAAATTGGGCCTTAACACAAAGAATTTTATCGTTGAAGTAGAATTTCTACTGCTATTCAAAAATACAACAGATGTTTGAGAATAAAATAGTTACTTTTCTGAGAATTTAGGGGTCTTTTTTGAGGTATTAGTGCTATTCAGAAAAAAAAGACTAGGCTTGGCTCGGCTTAGTGGCTCAGGCTTGTAATCCCAGCACTTTGGGAGGCTGAAGTGGGAGTGTAACTTGAGCCCAGGAGTTCGAGATCAGCCTGGGCAACATAGGGAGACCCTGTCGTTTTGTTTTTTCAAGCTACCCAGGTTCCAAAAGGTTTCAAGTTTTCCAAAATCTATTTTGACCAATAAATTCAGAACTTAAATGCTGTATCTTTTGAGACTGAACCTTTATTTTCTGAAAAACAGGTATTTCATACAATCTTTGCCATGTTAATGCAAATATGCACAAAGTAGGCATGTATTTGTTTTCCAAAAGATGCATTATGAACATTTTCAGGAAGCTGGTGTGATTTATTCAACTTTTAAATACAATCACAAAATTATATCCATCAGGAGGCATTACAACCTTTTGTACAGAAAAGCCACTATTTATACATTGTTACTAAGACAAGGAAGATTCAGTTCAACTCAACTTGCTCTTAGAATAAGGGTAAAAAGTAAATTAACAAGTAAGTGAAGTATGATGTTGTTGCCACTGACATTACAGGTGGAAATATAAGGGAAATTTAAACCAGAAAAATGACACAATAACTTTAAAGAGGAGCTGAAACTTTGTCAAAAAAAGAAAAAACTATTAGCCTGTTTTCAAAGAAAAACATTCTAAAAGTGTGCATTTCAGAACATAGAATTCTTCTAAGTTTACCATCTTCAAAAATCTTCTAAATTGTATGACACTTTTACATTAGCACAACAAACAGCTTTTTCTAAGTCTAGCCAAGTTCCCATGGAAGGCAAACGACCCTAAGTAGTTCATATTTTACAGCCCTTGAACTTATAAAGCTTTTCTCATTAAGAGTCAGTTTTACCCTTCTGTAAATAAGGATGGTGATACTGTTATCCAGGCCTAAAAAGCAGGAAGTGCAACAAACCCTTAGGGTTTCATGATACAGTGAATTTTCCCCTCCCCAACGTTTGGAAAAAATTGGGACACTTGCTAGTTCTTCCCTGTGGGAAGAATCTTTCTAATATTACCCAAATATTGAAAACAAAATCTACCTTCTTTAACCCTTGTATTAGTAATTCTACCTCCTTGGCTTATGGGGGGAAAAGTCCTAGTTTTAAATTGCTGGCATTTTACAAGCTCAACAAGATAAAAAATTGAACACTGGTTTTCATACTCTAATTTTATGTAAAACAAAGATGCTTAAATGTGCGAATAGTAAAGCATTCACTGATATTTGATGTATCTGAATAGGACTAACAGGCTAATTGTAGGTGCTTTCATATGAAAATAATTGGGAGAAAAGAAGAACCAGCTCCTTTGATTTCAGTACTGCCAAAACAAGTAAGCCCCCAGAGTTAATTACAAAAATGTAGAGGAAAATAGGCCCGGAAGACTTTGCAATTTAAAGTACTGCCTATAATACCCCAGATTAAAAAGGACCGAAGATTGCACATCAAGTCTAATATTTGGCTGTACTTGCATTGCCCTGCTCGGCATTTTTAAAAAATGGCTCTTTCCTTAAATTTCACACGTCAGAACAACCACAATTAAAAAAACAAAAAACAATGCAGATAACACCAAACATTGGACAATATTAAGAAAACTACTTACTAAGCTTAGGTAATAGAGGCAAGGGTTAAGGGCAGAAGTGATGGAAGTGTTTCTTTGTATTACAAACCCTCACCCTAAACCTGGGGTTTGGGCTCTAAAAAAGTAATTTAGGGAAGCAGATCAAGAGCCTGATTATCAGTTCTCACATGGAAATCTCAACAGATTTCAAAAGCAACTCACCACAAGTGTCAGACACAAAAGAATCTTAATAATCATCTAGCAAACTACACTAAGAACTCAATGACCAAAAATAATCAATCAAACTTCAAGACACACCAAAGCAACAGTAAAAGAGAAATAACTACACAAGCTAAGCTCTGTAGAGAAATCAACTAAAAATTAGGCAATTCTAGTAAATTAAAGACAGCAAAAAACTTAAGATTGAACTTCAATTTCCAAGGGTACTTTGAAGAGGTTGTTTGTAGGTTATTCTGTACCCCCTGATTCTTAAAGAAAGTGGAGGAGAGGGGGAGGCGACAGAGGAATGGAGGGAAAGGGGGAGGCAAGAGAGAGAAACAGGAGAGGATCCCTGGTTTTCCACAGGTATTTTATCAAAAATGTATGACTTCATAACTACAGCACTCTAACTTTTCTCAGTCTAACTGCTGAGGTCTCTTACGAAAGTTCAAATGGCAAGTCACCTTGTAGAATGACTTAACAGAGGAAGCCAAACTATACAGACCAGGGCCTTGTCCAGAGTGCAGTAAGGAGCAGGCTTTTGAAGTCATCTATTACATCTGCCTTACAACCAAACCCACTGTGTATGCCACATTATTCTTGGAGGGACCACTTTAAAACAAAAGTGATGGATAATTTACCAGAGGCACATGCTTTTGAAGTAAAGCTGTTTTTTGTTTTTGCTTGAGTAAGGTGCCAGGTACCTCTGAAGCCTGAAAACACAGGCAATAAAATTCACCTATTTATCTTCTTTACCAAAGAGAAAGCAATTTCTGAATACTATCTATAGTGCTAAACTAATGTGAACTGACTATCATTGCGATAAAAGTTTTTCCTTATGATGACAATAAAGAATGTTGCTGAAAGACTTTAATCTTGAGAGAGCAGAGGTAATGTGATGAATGTAATTTGCTCCCAGAGCCTCTAGAAAATAAAGCAGTGTGCAAAATACAATATGGCATTATTATTCCAGCTAGGTTTTTTGCGAAAATAAGGTTCCAAATGAATGAAGAAAACAAAATTTGATGCGCTAGGTTCCTTAACTTGCTATTGGACACATGGGTATTTCAAAAAAATCCACCGTGCCTACAATACTTGTTAAAGTACCAAAAAAGCACTGATACTGAAACACATTCTTTCATGGGTACTTAACGATTACAGATTAACGTGGCAATCAGAATACAAAAAAGGCCCAGAGCTATGTGGAATTTTTTCCTTAATACCTTTCAAGTTTGTCTGTGAAGACGGCAACTAGAAAGTGACCACTGTCCTAATCTCTAAAATGCAGGGAAAATGTACTCAAACAATTTTTTTTTTTATCTAGTCATTTATTTTTGACACAGAGTCTAGCTCTGTTGCCCAGGCTGGAGTGCAGTGGCACAATCTCGGCTCACTGCAAGCTCCGCCTCCTGGGTTCACGCCATTCTCCTGCCTCAGCCTCCCGAGTAGCTGGGACTACAGGCGCCCGCCACCACGCCCGGCTAATTTTTTTTGTATTTTTAGTAAAGACGGGGTTTCACCGTGTTAGCCAGGATGGTCTCGCTCTCCTAACCTCATGATCCGCCCGCCTCGGCCTCCCAAAGTGCTGGGATTACAGGCGTGAGCCACTGTGCCCAGCCAACAATTAAGATTTTAATTGTGTTCTATTTTGTATTGATACTTGATTTTAAGAACCCTATTCTAGTCTGGGTTTTTATTTTGGATCAGCAATTTAGCTTACACAGTCAGTACTGAAATGCAATGCTAAATTTAAGGAAACCTTGATCATGAATTCACTATAATGTATTACTGAATAGCAAGCTATTAAAATTGTGCAAAAAGTAAAGCACTTCACAGACTAATAACTGAACTTAATAAAAGATGTTGGTGGATCTCATTTTCACTGTTTCATGTACATGTCCTAAAATGCCAAGTAAATTAAACAACTTTTAATTTACTAAGTGTAAATTAAAAGTATCAAATGAAAAACATGAATTAAAAAAATTTCAGTCTACCTCCACCAGAACATCACTTTATTGTTAATCTATCATCAACAATGTAAAACTCTAATAGATACTCTATCTTGGTTTTTAAAAAGGTAAAAGATTACACTGGATTAGCTACTTTCTATGAAAGAAACTACAGCTATCACAGAAGAGGGAAAATTTGAATGACCTCCAAAAAAAATGCACACTATAAGCAAAAGGGAGTGTACATTAAATCAAATGTCTGTTAGATTCATTACTTTTGAATGCACAGTGACAATTCTGGAAACTGTACATGATAGAATCACAGAAATGACTTAAATAACCGGAATTACATTTTGTGTGTGATCATCAGACCTTTAAACAATCCTTGAATTTTCCATGTTATCAGAAGTTGTTAACAGCATCGAGACGGAAGTATATGAAATATAAGGACTGAAATAAAAGTGAATTTGAAAGATGGCTAATCTACTAGATTAGGTAAAGGGGGAACGGGTAAGTGGTGGGGAGGAGTAGGGAACGATGGGGTGGTTTTTTTCCCTTCATTTCAGAAGTAAGTTCTTCTACTGTAGTGTATCTGTTACATAGCTCTCCATTTTCAGTCCATTTCTGAAATTCATATCGCATAGCCTTTAGCCTTTTTCTACTTACTGGTCAACCCAACCAGTACTGTTGCCAAGCAACAAGTGTTACACGAGAATCTGAATGCATCAAATCTTCCTTGGCTGTGATTTCTTCGCGACCCCAGTTTTCTCTGTTTCTGAGTGGGGTTTGTTTTTTTCCTGGATTGTACACACAGGGTCAGGTGGAATGGAGTTCCAAATCACTCTGTGCTCCGCGGCATCCCGATTTCTTTCCGCAGCTAACCTCCCGACACGTCTGCTGCTGTTCTGTGGCAGAAAGACAATCTCCGTGTTCAGGCGGTGAGCTTGCTTTCCTTCACCCTTGACCCTGGGGTTGCAGGCCATGGTGTTGGGCGTATCCCTGAGTGCAGCTGTCCTGCGGGATTCACTTCCTAGTGCACCGAGATTTCCTAGGTTTCCTCAGAGTAAGCCCCCAGTTGCATCACCACCGACTGTGGTGTGGCTTTGGATGCCTGAGGCTGAGTTGATTCTGGTGGATGTCTGACCTCGCTTAACCAGACTCATCTACTGTCTTGCCATTCACACCCAGGCTGTCCAACCTTCATACAGCTGAGCCAAGTTATCTAGATTAGTTGCTTCCTTAATGACATAGTCAACCTGTAAAAATAGGCAGGATAGTATGTAAAGTCATTTAAAGCTTTTCAATTGTCTGCTGAATTACAATCAGCAGACAAATTATGCCAAAAGTTAAGTGCAAAGGACTCTATACTTACCCTGCTCCTGTAAGCCCCTTAATTTTCATATAAAATGTAATAACTATCAGAATAAAAAGCACAATAACCAAGTATACTTTAAAAAGAGAGCTAAGACAGTTATAAAGATATGAAAAGCACACAATCCATTAACCTACCAGAACGTTTCTTAAGTAAAAATATCCCAAACTCAGAAAATCTCTCATGGTTTTTGACAAACTTGACAAAACGGTTTCTTAAAAAAAAAAAAATTCTTGCCCAAGAAGAGTTCAAGTCTAGGTCCTATACAAGAATATAATAGTGTTTAAAAGAAAAAAAAAATTCCTTGCTGATGTTAAAATTGAATTACGGATGCCAAACCATGGAAGAACAGGATATTCAGTCTCTTAATTTTTATCCCACAGGAAAAAAATGTACATTTATAATGAAGACATCAAGAGGATACCTCTCTTGACCAAATGATCTAGCTTATCACCACCAAAGATGGCACAAACTGACATGTGTCTCTTGATGTAAAATACTGAGAAAGAAACATCACTGATGTTGCATTCCTTCCAAAAAAAATCTTGAATGAATTGAATTATGAGGAAAATATCAGACAAATATAAATGGAGGCACATTCTGTAAACCAACTAATCTAGACAAACCAAAAATATCAACGGAAGAGAAGAGGGAAAGGCTCAGGAACTGTTCTAGATATTAAAGCAGATCAAGAAGTAGGACAAGGATGGACAGTCCCTGACTCACAGTGGATCTGAATGACCATTTTTTACCTCACCATGGGTTTATCGGGGTATTAAATGCATTTTAGACTTATGGATTTATTGGGATGTCACTCCATAAGGGGAGGACCATCTATCTATACACAAAATGCATGATGATCCTTGACTAGATCTTGAAGGTCGGAGGAACAGGGGGTTCAGAGAGGAGGAATAAGCAATAAAGGATATTTTGAGATAATTGGAGAAATCTGAATGTGGACTGAATGTCAGATAATAGTATTACAACAATGTTAAGTTTCCTGAGTTGACAATTATGTAGTAGCTACAGTATTATAGTATTTTGTTCAAGAGACACATGGTGAAGTTTAGGCATGAAGTGCTAAGATGTCTGCAAAGAACCCTCAAATTGTTCAGAAAAACTGTGTGTGCATACACACACAGAACAATGAAACATGGGAAATTGTTAACTGGTGAGTCTAGGTAAAACGTTTATGGGCATTCCTATAACTTTTCTGTAGCTTTATTCTCAAATTTATATATTCAATATTAGTAAGACTAATGAAAAAATTTCAGAATAATGACTTCAGACAAATGTCCCGATACCCAAAGATGCTTTACAAACATAGGTTGAGTATCCCTTATCCAAAATGCTTGGGACCTGTAGTTTTAGATTTTGGATTCTTTGAGATTTTGGAATATATACATGTATATAATGAGGAACTTGGTGGTGGGATGCAAGTCTACACACAGAATCCACTTATGCCTTATTATACACATAGCCTGAAGGTAATTTTATACATTTTCAGTGATTTTGTGCATGAAACAGGTTCTGACTAGATTTTCACTACTGGGATCCATCACCAGGTCAGGCATGGAACTTTTCACTTATGGCATCATGTCAACTCTCAAAATGCTTCGGATTTGGAGCATATGAGTTTCTAATTAGGGATGCTCCACTCATACTACACCTGCAACCCAAAGGGTCCTTGGCATTTCATTTGAAACCTTCAACAGTCTTCTTTAAATGGAAACTAACTGTAGTCTGGTGGAGGAGGATCGGACTTATATTTGGGTTAAAACAGGGCTAGGGGAAAGGAAAGTGCTCATAGGGAAGGGTCAGAGTAAAATGGTGACTACTTGACGACGCCAGAGCTGTGTTACTCAAAATCTTCTGAATCCTGAAAACACATTTAAGTTCCTTGATGAACTATTAAGGAAATCGATGAGAGGGATCTTTATACACCTCTACTTTTCCAGCAGCATTAAAATGTGTAGCCCAAGTTTAAAACACGGTCACCTGTTCAGCAACTGACATCCTCCTATTCGGATCAACATCTCGGCCCTCTAACTTGGCTTTCACTCTCTTCCACACACTCACTGCATAGGAGTTTCTCTCTTGCACCGCTATGAAGCAACAAAAACATACGTAAGTCAAACCGTCATTTTATATAAAAATTTAAGGCATCTTTATTCTAACTAATTACCTTTCCCAGTTTTAGGGTCTCTGACTGCCTTTTTAGGACTACAAGCAACACTCTTGCCAGTTCCTGGAACGGTGCTTGGTGGAGTATCAGCTGATGTAGCAAGATTTTTTTGGATCAGCTTTCTAGCATTCTGTGACATGACATCAGGCTGAGTCTTCTGGCCAGTGTTACTCCGGACTGCTACAGAGAAAGAGTTGGTGGCTCAATTTACATGTAAACAGAACATGGAGGGGGCAGAGTGGAGCAAGCACGGGATAGGTGGTAGTGGTTGATACCCCAATTAAATAATCAACTATAAATCCTTATCCTTGGACACAGCAATTGTCTTCCTAAAAATGTAGCCTAAAAACAGCCAGACATTCAGGTATGAATTTGTACAATTATGTTTACTAGGCTTGTGGCATCAAAAACCATAAATAACAGCCAGGCATGATGGCTCACGCCTGTAATCCCAGCACTTTGGGGAGGCTGAAGTGGGCGGATCAGTTGAGGTCAGGAATTTATTAAATTCAATAAAAGTGAAATATAAACATTAATTTACCAAAATATACAATGGTAATATGATATTTTGGGTATCCACGTGTTAATCTTTGTGAACTATTTTATATATATATACATATATATACACACACATATATATACATATATATACACATATATATACATACACACATATATATACACATATATATACACATATACACACACACACACATATATATATACACACACATTTACTATACTTCAGGTTCTAGGGTACATGTGCACAACATGCAGGTTTGTTGCATATGTATACATGTGCCATGTTGGTGTGCTGCACCCATTAACTCTTCATTTACATTAGGTATATCTCCTAATGCTATCCCTCTCCTGTCCCCCCACCCACAACAAGCCCCGGTGTGAGATGTTCCCCTTCCTGTGTCCAAGTGTTCTCATTGTTCAATTCCCACCTATGAGTGAGAACATGCGGTGTTTGGTTTTTTGTCCCTGCGATAGTTTGCTGAGAATGATGGTTTCCAGCTTCATCCATGTCCCTACAAAGGACATGAACTCATCCTTTTTTATGGCTGCATAGTATTCCATGGTGTATATGTGCCACATTTTCTTAATCCAGTCTATCATTGTTGGACATTTGGGTTGGTTCCAAGTCTTTGCTATTGTGAGTAGTGCCGCAATAAACATACGTGTGCATGTGTCTTTATAGCAGCATGATTTATAGTCCTTTGGGTATATACCCAGTAATGGGATGGCTGGGTCAAATGGTATTTCTAGTTCTAGATCCCTGAGGAATCACCACACTGACTTCCACAATGGTTAAACTAGTTTACAGTCCCACCAACAGTGTAAAAGTGTTCCTATTTCTCCACATCCTCTCCAGCACCTGTTGTTTCCTGACTTTTTAATGATGGCCATTCTAACTGGTGTGAGATGGTATCTCATTGTGGTTTTGATTTGCATTTCTCTGATGGCCAGTGATGATGAGCATTTTTTCATGTGTCTGTTGGCTGCATAAATGTCTTCTTTTGAGAAGTGTCTGTTTATATCCTTCGCCCACTTTTTGATGGGGTTGTTTTTTTCTTGTAAATTTGAGTTCTTTGTAGATTCTGGATATTAGACTTTTGTCAGATGAGTAGATTGCAAAAATTTTCTCCCATTCTGTAGGTTGCCTGTTCACTCTGATGGTAGTTTCTTTTGCTGTGCAGAAGCTCTTTAGTTTAATTAGATTCCATTTTTCAATTTTGGCTTTTGTTGCCATTGCTTTTGGTGTTTTAGACATGGAGTCCTTGCCCATGCCTATGTCCTGAATGGTATTGCCTAGGTTTTCTTCTAGGGTTTTTATGGTTTTAGGTCTAACATTTAAGTCTTTAATCCATCTTGAATTAATTCAAGCCTAGCCAACATGGCAAAATCCTGTCTCTATAAAAATACAAAAATTAGCAGGGCGTGGTGGCAGGTTCTTGTAATTCCAGCTACTGGGGAGGTTGAGGCAGGAGAATCCCCTGAACCCAGAAGGCGGAAGTTGCAGTGAGCCAAGATTGCGCCACTGCACTCCAGCCTGGGCGACTGAGTGAGACTCATCTCAAAAAAAAAAAAAAAAATTAAATTAAATTAAAAAAAAATAAAATAAAATAAAAATAAATAAGAAAATAAAAAATAAAAATAAATTGGCCATTAAGTCATTTTTAAAAAGATTATTTAATGACTGAAAAATTATTAACTGGAAAGGCAACAAAAATTACATTTGCATAATCATCCCAATGTGTTTGTGTATGTGTACATATGCACAGCAAGTAAATCAACAAATGCAGAGTGGTTTCTGCCTCTATTTGGAATGGAACTACAAATTCTTCATTTGTATTAAGTATTTTCCTATGTTTCTCTGATATATATATATATTTTTTTTAGCCAGGCATGGTGGCGAGCACCTGTAATCCAAGCTACTCAGGAAGCTGAGGCAGGAGAATTGCTTGAATCTGGGGGGTGGAGGTTACAGTGAGCCGCAACTGTGCCACTGCACTCCAGCCTGGGCGACAAGAGACAGTTTTGAGACTCCGCCTCAAACAAAAATAAAAACAATTTTTTTAAAGAAAACTATTCAAATTAGCAAAGCATTTTTACTCTCTCACGAGTTGTTTCATTTTTTTGAGACAGAGTCTTGCTCTGTCACCCAGCCTGGAGTGCAGTGGCGTGATCTTGGCTCACCGTAACCTCCACCTCCCGGGTTCAAGCAATTCTCCTGCCTCAGCCTCCTGAGTAGCTGGGACTACAAGCATCTGGCACCACACCCAGCTAATTTTTTTTGTATTTTTAGTAGAGACAAGGTTTCACCATGTTGGCCCGACTGGTCTCAAACACCTGACCTTAGGTGATCCACCTGGCTCAGCCTCCCAAAGTGCTGGGATTATGGGTGTGAGCCACCTCGCCCGGCCTTTTTTTTTTTTTTTTTTTTAATAGCTGTTTATTTATTTATTTTTAAAGAGACAGGGTCTTGAACTCCTGGCCTTAGACAATCCTCCCACCTTGGCCTTCAAGTAGCTGAGATTACAGGTGTGAGCCATCGTGCCTGGCTTACGAGTATTTTTAAGGATAAGCTAAAATCTGTTCAGTTTAAGATTATAGAATGACAGGCCTTAAGTGTTTAATATTAGACAGTTATGTATAATTAAACATCTTAGCATCTATGTGTAACATTAACAACAGATCAAGACTCAGGACTCTTCTCCTACCTGCAGCGAAGGATGGCTGATAAGTAGCAGATGACGTTGGACTCGAACATTCATTTGTTGCATCGGTGACTAAGGGTGATGCAAAACTCACTAAATTATTATAGATACTGAAATACAAAATAAAATGGCTTATTTACGAAATGTTTTACCTGATACTACTTATAAAAATATGAACAAAACTGAAAAATTAAATCAAGAGATAAACTTCTTATACCAGTAGTTTTGTACTTATGTTTTATAAATTCTGACCAGAAGGCATTCTTACCTCTGACTTTGTGTTTTCAGTTCTTTCAAGGTGGGAGTGATTTCCTGGAGCATTTCAACGTGTTCTTGACTTCGAACCTGACCCATAGCCTGGACTAATGTAAATAGAACTGTTTGAATGTTGTCTTGCCATGATTTATATTCACCCAAAAACTGCCTAACACTGTTCTCATAGGGAACATCTTCACCATCTGCCAGAGCAGCTTCTTCATCCTAGAATTGATAAATTAATGATTAAGAAAAATAGTTTTAGTATCAGTAATTACTCTCAAGACAGTCACCTAGTGATTAAGTAACAAATGTTTCAAATATGAGTGTGTTTAAACTGCTTAGTTCAACTCCATTTTTATAGGAACTTTGTTTCCACCATCAAATAAAAATTCAAAGTAAAAGTAAATTCTAAAATTAAATTATTTACTGTTTGTAATGATGAAGTAATAGCCTTTTCTGGAGGCTTAGTTTTCTTACTTACTAGACTATGTACAACACTGGAGGGAAGAGACAACATTTCATTCATTTTGGAGGCAAACTGTATGGGTTTGTTGGTATAGCTAAGAAAGAGAAAGACAAGCTGGATATCTGAATGCTCAGACTAGGTTCATATCTTGGTTTTATTACAAGTTATATCACAATAAAGGAATCTAATTAAGCCTTAGCTTCTCTGTGTATGAAATTCAAACTACTACTACTGGCTTTAAAAAATAGTTGATGAAAACACAAGTTAACTCAGTTACAAACAAATTGGAAGATGTGATGAGATAAATTGTTATTTACAAAATGTCACTGTTTTTCCTATAAATAAAACTACTTGTAAATTTTATAACAGAGGGAGAGTAAATGTGTGTTCATGGTATTAGTCTTACCTTAGCCATAGCTTTCAAGAGATGTTTGACATCTCCAAGCTGTCGGTTATGACCAGTGAGCACAGTCTTTATATTATCAACCAGATTCTGAATTGTTTCACAGACCGTTTCTATCTGCTGCTCTTTCTCTGTCTGAATTGCCCTCTGAGTAGACATATCCTGGGTCAACTGTTTGTGTGCTGACAAAAGCCATTCAGAGCTGCCAATAGGATGTTCAAGACCAGTGTCCTAAATAGAACAAGCATTTGTTTGACTTCGAGTATCAGCTGAAATAATGAGTTCTTTCTTCATTAACATCATCAAAAGATATTAGTAACTCAAGCTGACACAAAGAGAACCTCCATTGCTAAGTCATGAATTAATTACCTACAAGTTACTTAACAATAATCTCAATAATCTATGAAATATAGATGAAGATTTTTACTTTTCTGCATAATCATGCAGGCTTTAAATGCTTAAAGTTTAAGACCTGAGAAATACATTCGGAATCACAAAGATGACTGGCAATCCAGGTCCCTAAATTCTAAATAACTCTTCGAGATGAAATGTGAACTTCCTAACATACAGCTTTAAGCTTTCTGACAAAATATAAACGTCAAACTTACCAACTTGCTATTTCTGGCCTTCACTAACCTTTCCAGCATTCATCTTCCATAAGCCCTCTTTCTCCTGCTCTATTTTCAGTGCATTGGAATCATTTGCTACATATCGTCTTTCTCCTCCCTTCTAAACTTTCATAGTATTTTGGTTGTAGCTATGAGGATCCTTTACACTTCCTCATTTTTTATATTTTTAAACATATAATATGTTTCGGGGCGGGGGGGGGGGCGCTAAGAAAATAATTTAATCATCACTGTCCCCCCGCCCCCCTAACAACCTCTTACATACAGTATATGCTCAACGAATGTAATCGGAATGTATATATTAAATTGATTTTAATAGTATAACACTAGCCTTATTTAATCAAGTTTCTTTCCACCAAGACTCACCACTCTCTGTAATAAACGAAGCTCTAACTCAGACACTGAACTGTTAAACTGTGATGCAAACGAACACATCTGCTGACATCGCTTGATTAGTTCAAATAACGCCGCATCCAGGTTTAAGGCTTCTGCAGTTCTTGTTCGTAAACTTTCAAAATGAATGATATTGCTGCAGAGAAATGTGACCTGTAAAGACAGAAATGGAACCACAAGAGGAGATGGGAGGAAGGTGGGAAAGGGAGGTGGCAATTAATAACATGAAAAAATACTACTTCCTCATTTTGAGAATTCAGGACCAGAATTGGTCCTGAAAATGTTTGGGAAATAGACCAAAACCTTATAAAGGCTGTAAATAAATGTACATTTATACTGACACTGTTAGGTCTGAGATGGCCAAAAGCACTGACAAACAATTAGGTAAATTTATCTTCTACATTACTGTTTTTACATAGAATATTTACTCCACAATAAAGCTGTTATATTCAGCTGCAATTTGTGTTACAGCCACAATTCAGAAGACACTTCTGTCAGAATGTTCCCCTTCTGCTTCTATTCTTGCCTAACTTATCTGGCAGTATTAAGCTCATTTTAAAGGTATGATTAATATTGTGGTTAGTTTTTTTGTTTTTTCCCTTTGAGACAAGGTCTCCCCTGTTGCCCAGGCTGGAGTATAGTGGCTTAATTATGGCTCACTGTAGCCTTAAACTCCTGGGCTCAAGCAATCCTACCGCCTTAGTCTCCCAGGTAGCTAGTCTCCCAGCTGGGACCAGAGGTGCGTGCCACCATGCCTAGCTAAAAAAAAAAAAAAAATTTATTGGCCAGGTGTGGTGGCTCACACCTGTAATCCCAGCACTTTGGGAGGCTGAGGCCAGCGGATCACCTGAGGTCAGGAGTTCGAAACTAACCTGGCCAACATGGTGAAACCCCGTCTCTACTAAAAATACAAAAAACTTAGCTGGGCATGGTGGCGGGTGCCTGTAATCCCAGCTACTTGGGAGGCTGAGGCAGGAGAATCACTTGAACTCGGGAGGCAGAGGTTGCAGTGAGCCAAGATCACGCCACTGCACTACAGCCTGGGCAACAAGAGCAAAACTCCGTCTCAAAAAAAACAAAAAAAATTTTTTTTTTGGTAGAGACAGTGTCTTGCTATGTTGCCCAGGCTGGTTTCAAACTCCTAGCTTCAAGCCATCCTCCCGCCTCAGACTTCTGAGCAGCTAGAGCTAAAGGGACATACCACCATGCCCAGCTATGATACATTCTTAAATAGTTCTTAATAGGTATATACTGAAAAATTTATAGATAAAATTATGCACTATTTGGGATTTCTATTAAATATGGATAGAAAGGAGGATTAGGGAGTATGGGTGAAATAAGATAAGACTTAAGTTGATCATTATTAAGCACTGGCGACAGGTATGAAGTATGAGTATCATGTATTAGTCCAATTTTGTACTTAGTTGAAAATGTCCGTAATAGTTTTTTTGGTTCTCCTCCCCCTGCCCAATCCACAGCCTCTTGACAGGGCACAAGGTCCTTTTTTTTTTTTTTTTGAGACAGAGTCTTGCTCTGTCACCCAGGCTGGAATTCAGTGGCACGATCTTGGATCACTGGAACCTCTGGCTCCCAGGTTCAAGCGATTCCCCTGCCTCAGACTCCTGAGCAGTTGGGACTACAGGTACCCACCACCACACCCAGCTAATTTTTTTGTATTTTTAGCAGAGACGGGGTTTCACCATATTGGTCACGCTGGTCTTGAACTCCTGACCTTGTGATCCACCCACCTCAGCCTCCCAAAGTGCTGGGATTACAGGCGTAAGCCACGGCGCCTGGCCAACAGGGCACAAGGTCTTAAGACGTTTTATTGTCATGTGGAAAAAATAATATTCCAAGTACCTTTCCAAATCTTTGGATCACTTTAGTTGTATAAAAGAGACCCAGAGAACCTTAAACAGATATGAATTTAAGACCTCTTTATTTTTCAACAGAGGCTGAATTTATTTAATTAATATTTAAATGAGAGGCAGTAAAGGCCAAGGAAATAACCTGCTGTGGGTTCAACTTAAGGCATGTCCTGAAAGGCCCATCCGTCCCTCCTCCCAGGGCTGTGAGCCAGAACGTGGGCTCTCAAGCTCCCCTAGTTACCCCACATATAACTTCCAGCTACTCATCTAATCCTGTAAAAGTGAATACAAAGATGGTGCATGTAAGTCACAATACCTGACTTGCTCTTTGGCTCTCTTTAAGGACAAGATTTCTTCTTTCAGCTATCGTTGCTTCAAAATCTTGTAGTACAGGGGCCAATGCAGGGTTGGCACCACCTGCCCACTTGAGTCGCTGTTCAATACTTGATTCAAGTGCAGCTAGCTTCTCCTATAAAAGCCAGCAGAATCTTGGTGAAGGTATATGACATTCTCTACTTCCTATTTGTGGAGTATTTTATATAACACAATAAAGATTCAAAAGAACCAGGGTGGACACATGTAATTTAGAAAACAAAAGTTTTAACAATCACCTTTTGGAATTAACCTTGATTTCACTTTGAACATTTAAGGCCAAACATGTATGGAGAGAGAGGCAAGAACTGGCTTTCAGTTTATTATCTTAAAACGTACAGAAGGAAGTTTCACTTTCATTTTAAAATAAAATGATCTTTAAAAAATAAAAAATATGCTACACCAAATTCTTTTTTTTTTCTTTTGAGACGGAGTCTCACTCTGTCACCCAGGCTGGAGTTGCAGTGGTGCAATCTCAGCTCACTGCAACCTCTGTCACCTGGGTTCAAGCGATTCTCCTGCCTCAGCCTCCCGAGTAGCTGGGACTACAGGCACCTGCCATCGTGCCTGGCTAATTTTTGTAGTTTTAGTAAAGACGGAGTTTTACCATCTTGGCCAGGCTGGTCTTGAACTCCTGACCTCATGATCCACCCGCCTCGGCCTCCCAAAGTGCTGGGATTACAGGTGTGAGCCAGCACGCCCAGCTACTATCTTGGCTCACTGCAACCCCCGCCTCCTGAGCTCAAGCCATCCTCCCACCTCAGCTTCCAAAGAAGCTGGGACAAGAGGTGCGTGCCACCATGCCCAACTAATTTTTTGTATTTTCTGTAGAGACGAGGTTTTACTATGTTGCCCAGGCTGGTCTCAAACTCCTGGCCTCAAGCAATCCACCCACCTCGGCCTCCCAAAGTGCTGGGATTATAGGCATGAACCACCATGCCTGGCCAAGTTTATGAACAATGGTAAAAATCCATCCAGATTATCATGACGAGGAAAGTTTAATGTAACAAAGTTATTTGATTATTTATTCAACATTTCAGGTGGACGCATTCACATTTTCTCTCCCCAACTCCCTCTACTTTCCTGCATGTCCATGTCTCTAAAATCATAAAGAGGAAGAGTTCATTCTTGTAAGTTGAAAACACATCTTTTCTCTGACCAATACACTGTAGAGAAAGCTTATTTCAATCTTCAAATGACTGAGCTCCAAAAAAGCTTCATTAAAAAACTTTTAAAACATCACAGAATTATACTTGATTTTATACTGCTATTAATTTACAAAAACAAAAATGTCAGTTACTACTGAGTACATGAAGTATAAAGGACAGACAATATAAAGATACACATAACTTTCATTAAGGCAAGTTTCTCTTATGTAAAAAAATAAGTAGAAGGATTATGTACATAGCTTTCAATATCCAGTCACTATAATAGTTCAGAAAAATATTCTGCTGCCTTAGGCATCACAAAATTCCATTATCTATACAACATAAGAAATGCCCATGCTTGTTAGCTACTACTAATAAACAAAATAGAACTACTTATATACATTTCACAAAACAAATTCAGTATTCAAAGTTTTTCTAATCATCAAAATTTCCTTAATGTATTAAGGCACAGTAATTATCAAATTCATTAAAAACCTGAGATATTTAGTATGTTTCTTTTTTTTTTTTTTTTTTTCTTTTTTTTTTCTTTTTTTTTTTTTTATTATACTCTCAGTTTTAGGGTACATGTGCACATTGTGCAGGTTAGTTACATATGTATACATGTGCCATGCTGGTGCGCTGCACCCACTAATGTGTCATCTAGCATTAGGTATATCTCCCAATGCTATCCCTCCCGCCTCCCCCGACCCCACCACAGTCCCCAGAGTGTGATATTCCCCTTCCTGTGTCCATGTGATCTCATTGTTCAATTCCCACCTATGAGTGAGAATATGCGGTGTTTGGTTTTTTGTTCTTGCGATAGTTTACTGAGAATGATGGTTTCCAATTTCATCCATGTCCCTACAAAGGATATGAACTCATCATTTTTTATGGCTGCATAGTATTCCATGGTGTATATGTGCCACATTTTCTTAATCCAGACTATCATTGTTGGACATTTGGGTTGGTTCCAAGTCTTTGCTATTGTGAATAGTGCCGCAATAAACATACGTGTGCATGTGTCTTTATAGCAGCATGATTTATAGTCCTTTGGGTATATACCCAGTAATGGGATGGCTGGGTCAAATGGTATTTCTAGTTCTAGATCCCTGAGGAATCGCCACACTGACTTCCACAATGGTTGAACTAGTTTACAGTCCCACCAACAGTGTAAAAGTGTTCCTATTTCTCCACATCCTCTCCAGCACCTGTTGTTTCCTGACTTTTTAATGATTGCCATTCTAACTGGTGTGAGATGATATCTCATAGTGGTTTTGATTTGCATTTCTCTGATGGCCAGTGATGATGAGCATTTTTTCATGTGTTTTTTGGCTGCATAAATGTCTTCTTTTGAGAAGTGTCTGTTCATGTCCTTCGCCCACTTTTTGATGGGGTTGTTTGTTTTTTTCTTGTAAATTTGTTTGAGTTCATTGTAGATTCTGGATATTAGCCCTTTGTCAGATGAGTAGGTTGCAAAAATTTTCTCCCATGTTGTAGGTTGCCTGTTCACTCTGATGGTAGTTTCTTTTGCTGTGCAGAAGCTCTTTAGTTTAATTAGATCCCATTTGTCAATTTTGGTTTTTGTTGCCATTGCTTTTGGTGTTTTGGACATGAAGTCCTTGCCCACACCTATGTCCTGAATGGTAATGCCTAGGTTTTCTTCTAGGGTTTTTATGGTTTTAGGTCTAACATTTAAGTCTTTAATCCATCTTGAATTGATTTTTGTATAAGGTGTAAGGAAGGGATCCAGTTTCAGCTTTCTACATATGGCTAGCCAGTTTTCCCAGCACCATTTATTAAATAGGGAATCCTTTCCCCATTTCTTGTTTTTCTCAGGTTTGTCAAAGATCAGATAGTTGTAGATATGCGGCATTATTTCTGAGGGCTCTGTTCTGTTCCATTGATCTATATCTCTGTTTTGGTACCAGTACCATGCTGTTTTGGTTACTGTAGCCTTGTAGTATAGTTTGAAGTCAGGTAGTGTGATGCCTCCAGCTTTGTTCTTTTGGCTTAGGATTGACTTGGCAATGCGGGCTCTTTTTTGGTTCCATATGAACTTTAAAGTAGTTTTTTCCAATTCTGTGAAGAAAGTCATTGGTAGCTTGATGGGGATGGCATTGAATCTGTAAATTACCTTGGGCAGTATGGCCATTTTCACGATATTGATTCTTCCTACCCATGAGCATGGAATGTTCTTCCATTTGTTTGTGTCCTCTTTTATTTCCTTGAGCAGTGGTTTGTAGTTCTCCTTGAAGAGGTCCTTCACATCCCTTGTAAGTTGGATTCCTAAGTATTTTATTCTCTTTGAAGCAATTGTGAATGGGAGTTCACCCATGATTTGGCTCTCTGTTTGTCTGTTGTTGGTGTATAAGAATGCTTGTGATTTTTGTACATTGATTTTGTATCCTGAGACTTTGCTGAAGTTGCTTATCAGCTTAAGGAGATTTTGCGCTGAGATGATGGGGTTTTCTAGATAAACAATCATGTCGTCTGCAAACAGGGACAATTTGACTTCCTCTTTTCCTAATTGAATACCCTTTATTTCCTTCTCCTGCCTGATTGCCCTGGCCAGAACTTCCAACACTATGTTGAATAGGAGCGGTGAGAGAGGGCATCCCTGTCTTGTGCCAGTTTTCAAAGGGAATGCTTCCAGTTTTTGCCCATTCAGTATGATATTGGCTGTGGGTTTGTCATAGATAGCTCTTATTATTTTGAAATACGTCCCATCAATACCTAATTTATTGAGAGTTTTTAGCATGAAGGGTTGTTGAATTTTGTCAAAGGCTTTTTCTGCATCTATTGAGATAATCATGTGGTTTTTGTCTTTGGCTCTGTTTATATGCTGGATTACATTTATTGATTTGCGTATATTGAACCAGCCTTGCATCCCAGGGATGAAGCCCACTTGATCATGGTGGATAAGCTTTTTGATGTGCTGCTGGATTCGGTTTGCCAGTATTTTATTGAGGATTTTTGCATCAATGTTCATCAAGGATATTGGTCTAAAATTCTCTTTTTTGGTTGTGTCTCTGCCCGGCTTTGGTATCAGAATGATGCTGGCCTCATAAAATGAGTTAGGGAGGATTCCCTCTTTTTCTATTGATTGGAATAGTTTCAGAAGGAATGGTACCAGTTCCTCCTTGTACCTCTGGTAGAATTCGGCTGTGAATCCATCTGGTCCTGGACTCTTTTTGGTTGGTAAACTATTGATTATTGCCACAATTTCAGAGCCTGTTATTGGTCTATTCAGAGATTCAACTTCTTCCTGGTTTAGTCTTGGGAGAGTGTATGTGTCGAGGAATGTATCCATTTCTTCTAGATTTTCTAGTTTATTTGCGTAGAGGTGTTTGTAGTATTCTCTGATGGTAGTTTGTATTTCTGTGGGATCGGTGGTGATATCCCCTTTATCATTTTTTATTGTGTCTATTTGATTCTTCTCTCTTTTTTTCTTTATTAGTCTTGCTAGCGGTCTATCAATTTTGTTGATCCTTTCAAAAAACCAGCTCCTGGATTCATTGATTTTTTGAAGGGTTTTTTGTGTCTCTATTTCCTTCAGTTCTGCTCTGATTTTAGTTATTTCTTGCCTTCTGCTAGCTTTTGAATGTGTTTGCTCTTGCTTTTCTAGTTCTTTTAATTGTGATGTTAGGGTGTCAATTTTGGATCTTTCCTGCTTTCTCTTGTAGGCATTTAGTGCTATAAATTTCCCTCTACACACTGCTTTGAATGCGTCCCAGAGATTCTGGTATGTGGTGTCTTTGTTCTCGTTGGTTTCAAAGAACATCTTTATTTCTGCCTTCATTTCGTTATGTACCCAGTAGTCATTCAGGAGCAGGTTGTTCAGTTTCCATGTAGTTGAGCGGCTTTGAGTGAGATTCTTAATCCTGAGTTCTAGTTTGATTGCACTGTGGTCTGAGAGATAGTTTGTTATAATTTCTGTTCTTTTACATTTGCTGAGGAGAGCTTTACTTCCAACTATGTGGTCAATTTTGGAATAGGTGTGGTGTGGTGCTGAAAAAAATGTATATTCTGTTGATTTGGGGTGGAGAGTTCTGTAGATGTCTATTAGGTCTGCTTGGTGCAGAGCTGAGTTCAATTCCTGGGTATCCTTGTTGACTTTCTGTCTCGTTGATCTGTCTAATGTTGACAGTGGGGTGTTAAAGTCTCCCATTATTAATGTGTGGGAGTCTAAGTCTCTTTGTAGGTCACTGAGGACTTGCTTTATGAATCTGGGTGCTCCTGTATTGGGTGCATAAATATTTAGGATAGTTAGCTCCTCTTGTTGAATTGATCCCTTTACCATTATGTAATGGCCTTCTTTGTCTCTTTTGATCTTTGTTGGTTTGAAGTCTGTTTTATCAGAGACTAGGATTGCAACCCCTGCCTTTTTTTGTTTTCCATTTGCTTGGTAGATCTTCCTCCATCCTTTTATTTTGAGCCTATGTGTGTCTCTGCACGTGAGATGGGTTTCCTGAATACAGCACACTGATGGGTCTTGACTCTTTATCCAACTTGCCAGTCTGTGTCTTTTAATTGCAGAATTTAGTCCATTTATATTTAAAGTTAATATTGTTATGTGTGAATTTGATCCTGTCATTATGATGTTAGCTGGTGATTTTGCTCATTAGTTGATGCAGTTTCTTCCTAGTCTCGATGGTCTTTACATTTTGGCATGATTTTGCAGCGGCTGGTACCGGTTGTTCCTTTCCATGTTTAGTGCTTCCTTCAGGAGCTCTTTTAGGGCAGGCCTGGTGGTGACAAAATCTCTCAGCATTTGCTTGTCCATAAAGTATTTTATTTCTCCTTCACTTATGAAGCTTAGTTTGGCTGGATATGAAATTCTGGGTTGAAAATTCTTTTCTTTAAGAATGTTGAATATTGGCCCCCACTCTCTTCTGGCTTGTAGGGTTTCTGCCGAGAGATCCGCTGTTAGTCTGATGGGCTTTCCTTTGAGGGTAACCCGACCTTTCTCTCTGGCTGCCCTTAACATTTTTTCCTTCATTTCAACTTTGGTGAATCTGACAATTATGTGTCTTGGAGTTGCTCTTCTCGAGGAGTATCTTTGTGGCGTTCTCTGTATTTCCTGAATCTGAACGTTGGCCTGCCTTGCTAGATTGGGGAAGTTCTCCTGGATAATATCCTGCAGAGTGTTTTCCAACTTGGTTCCATTCTCCACATCACTTTCAGGTACACCAATCAGACGTAGATTTGGTCTTTTCACATAGTCCCATATTTCTTGGAGGCTTTGCTCATTTCTTTTTATTCTTTTTTCTCTAAACTTCCCTTCTCGCTTCATTTCATTCATTTCATCTTCCATTGCTGATACCCTTTCTTCCAGTTGATTGCATCGGCTCCTGAGGCTTCTGCATTCTTCACGTAGTTCTCGAGCCTTGGTTTTCAGCTCCATCAGCTCCTTTAAGCACTTCTCTGTATTGGTTATTCTAGTTATACATTCTTCTAAATTTTTTTCAAAGTTTTCAACTTCTTTGCCTTTGGTTTGAATGTCCTCCCGTAGCTCAGAGTAATTTGATCGTCTGAAGCCTTCTTCTCTCAGCTCGTCAAAATCATTCTCCATCCAGCTTTGTTCTGTTGCTAGTGAGGAACTGCGTTCCTTTGGAGGAGGAGAGGCGCTCTGCGTTTTAGAGTTTCCAGTTTTTCTGTTCTGTTTTTTCCCCATCTTTGTGGTTTTATCTACTTTTGGTCTTTGATGATGGTGATGTACAGATGGGTTTTCGGTGTAGATGTCCTTTCTGGTTGTTAGTTTTCCTTCTAACAGACAGGACCCTCAGCTGCAGGTCTGTTGGAATACCCTGCCGTGTGAGGTGTCAGTGTGCCCCTGCTGGGGGGTGCCTCCCAGTTAGGCTGCTCGGGGGTCAGGGGTCAGGGACCCACTTGAGGAGGCAGTCTGCCCGTTCTCAGATCTCCAGCTGCGTGCTGGGAGAACCACTGCTCTCTTCAAAGCTGTCAGACAGGGACACTTAAGTCTGCAGAGGTTACTGCTGTCTTTTTGTTTGTCTGTGCCCTGCCCCCAGAGGTGGAGCCTACAGAGGCAGGCAGGCCTCCTTGAGCTGTGGTGGGCTCCACCCAGTTCGAGCTTCCCGGCTGCTTTGTTTACCTAAGCAAGCCTGGGCAATGGCGGGCGCCCCTCCCCCAGCCTCGTTGCCGCCTTGCAGTTTGATCTCAGACTGCTGTGCTAGCAATCAGCGAGATTCCGTGGGCGTAGGACCCTCTGAGCCAGGTGTGGGATATAGTCTCGTGGTGCGCCGTTTCTTAAGCCGGTCTGAAAAGCGTAATATTCGGGTGGGAGTGACCCGATTTTCCAGGTACGTCCGTCACCCCTTTCTTTGACTCGGAGATATTTAGTATGTTTCTACTCCTGGTTCAAAATATACCTGTTACTATAAGATTCAGTTACCTTGGAGGGTAAGAAATAAAAAATATAGGCCGGGTGCGGTGGCTCAAGCCTGCAATCCCAGTGTTTTGGGAGGCCAAGGTGGGCAGATCACCTGAGGTCAGGAGTTTGAGACCAGCCTGGCCAGCATGGTGAAACCCCGTCTCTATAAAAATACAAAAATTAGCTGGACATGGTGGTGCGTGCCTGTAGTCCCAGCTACTTCAGAGGCTGAGGCAGGAGAATCGCTTGAACCCGAGAGGCAGAGGTTGCAGTGAGGTGAGATAGTGCCACTGCACTCCAACCTGGGCAACAAAGCGAGACTCTGTCTCCAAAATATATATATATAGGTATAAATATACCTATATATATATATTTTTATATATATTTGGTATAAATATACCAAAATATATATTTTTATATATCTTTGGTATAAATATACCAAAATATATTTTTTTATATATCTTTGGTATAAATATACCAAAATATATATTTTTAGATATATTTGGTATAAATATACCAAAATATATATTTTTATATATATTTGGTATAAATATACCAAAATATATATTTTTATATATATTTGGTATAAATATATCTAAATATATATTTTATATATATATTTGGTATAAATATACCAAAATATATATTTTTATATATCTTTGGTATAAATATATCTAAATATATATTTTATATATATTTTGGTATTTGGTATAAATATACCAAAGTATATGTTTTTATATATCTTTGGTATATATATACCTATATATATATATATATGTATAAATTAAAAGCAAAAGTGAAAAAAATTATGCTCTTCTGGCTTACAAGCCAAGGACACACAAATAGACACACTGAACAACAGAGCACTAACAATCATAGTATTGGTTATTTCTAAAAAGAAAATGCCCTGGAAGGAAGATCTGGCAAAACACACCTGAACTGTTGCAATAGAAGTTTCAATCTGGCTCAGGGTATGCAGCTTCTTTTTCATGCTGGTTAGGATAGCAGACCGTGGGGGAGGTGTGACTGACATGGCTTGTGGTCTATTGATAAGTAGATCTTCATGTTGCCACTGTTGAGAGAAAAAGAAATGTATTAAAATCAGCAGGAAAAAAGCGTTTAGATAAATAAGGGAAGGGAGGCGCAACCTAGGACTGGCGGAAGAGAAAAAAATCCCAGCTGCAGCCAATGGGAGGTAAGCAGGGAGAAGTAACAGAAAAGACACACTGAAAAAAATCACATCCAGGTGAAAGACTTCTTGAGGTAGAACATGGCTAATAAATTTCTTGGATCACTCACATGCACCATTTAAATAGTAATTCTGAAGATGTTAACTACAGTTAAGGAAATCAGAGCTTAAGGAAGTTAAGTACAAGTTTATATACCCAAGTCTCATTTGAATACAAATCCATCTCACCCCAAAGCCTGTGCTGTTATACATCCCCTAAGTAATTAAGGCCAAAACTAGGCTTCTAAAAACCATTTCCAAAATAAAGACAGATTTATTCCCAAAGCTGTTTATCACATCAATAAGGCATCAAGGAAAGAGAAACTACTTTAGAAATAAATACAGGAAGCATACCTACATATGAATGAATTCAACATTAAAAACTATATTTATGCCAGGCATGGTGGCTCACGCCTATAATCCCAGCACTTTGGGAGGCCAAGGCGGGTGGATCACCTAGGCTCGGGAGTTCGAGACCAGCCTGACCAACATGGAGAAACCCCATCTCTACTAAAAATACAAAATTAGCCAGGCGTGGTGGCACATGCCTGTAATCCCAGCTACTAGGGAGGCTGAGGAGGGAGAATCGCTTGAACCCAGGAGGCGGAGGTTGCGGTGAGCCGAGATCGCGCCATTGCACTCCAGTCTGGGCAAGAAGAGCAAAACTCCATCTCAAAAAAAAAAAAAAGCAATATTTAATACAGATCATGCTTATCATACAGCCTTGATGGAAAGAAATTCTAAGGACACAAACCATAAAGGATAAATGATCTCAACTATACAGAAGAGAAACGAAGTATCATTGGAAAGAAAGTGCCAAAATGCTATGGTGTGTTTGCATTGGGTTGCTGTGAGTTCAGGAAGTTTTAAAAAAATTTCTGTGTATTGTTTTAAATTAATTTCCCCCATTTTTCAAGTTTCCTACCTTGAGGAAAAACACATTATAAACAAAAACACTTACCTGAAACATGGCAATATGCAGCTGAACCCGCTGCAGGCTTGTCTTACAAGAAGAAATACTGGTTTCTAGCCTTCGCACCAAGTCATGCTTCTTCCAGGCAGTGTCGTAAGAACTTGCTAACACAGTTGCCCTGTTCATAACCAGCTGAGAGAACTTCCCTATCTGGATGTTATGTTCCACCGCTTTCTTACAGAGATCATCAACAGAAACTTTGCTTTCGGCACCAAAGTCCTTTGCCTCTACTTGAGCAATGATGTCTACACCCAGAGCACTGATAAAACTGCACAGTGTGAGTCCGAGGGCTTGGTTGGGTAGCCCTATCAAGAGCTGCCTCACAAAGTCAGCTGTGAATGCCTTGATAGGTTTGGCCATTTGGTCTTCACTGAAACAAGAGTTTCTAAAAAGGGTTTTCACATTGACAATCTGTACAGGCCCATTCACAGTATTCTGATCTTCAAGTGAACTTGATCCTACAAAAAGGAAAAATTTCTTGTATTTCATGAAAAAAATCAGGTAATATGCTGCTTATTTATAGTATTTAAGGTGTCATGAATGTATAATTAAATTAAGCCTACTCTATCCTGCCCCCTTCCATAGTGCTACATAGCTAAAGCTAGTATGTTTACAGGTAGAATATTACCTGACAATGTTTTAGAAAAGGTACCACAGAGCCTGAAGAACTCCTTAATAGTCTGTAGTCTTTTTAGAAAGAAAATCTCTTCTAGCACCTGCCGGTGATTATCATCATCAAAAAAATTAACTTGAGTACTCCTGGCTTCCCTTATGATGTCAATCTTTCGCCAAGCTATGGGAATTTCCATCTTGTTCAACTATGTAAATGAAAGAAAACAAAGTTCATTTCTCCACTCTTGACACAACTGAACAACTACTTTATGGCACTTGCATTATTTTTAAATCCAAGTCCACATTTACCTTTTCAACTAATAAGCTGAAAGCAGTTTCAACTTGAGCAAACATGCCATCGAATGCTACCAAAAGCATCTGGCCAGCTGACATTTTGGGTGTTTCATCAACTGAACCATTTCTCGGTTGGATTAATTCACCGTACTGAGCATGTAGTAGTCTACAGAAAAACAAAAGGAGTTAAAACCTTCGCTGAAAAGTAATGCCTTTGGTGGGAACATACAAAGTCAGTACATCTCACAGCTGCATGCTGTGAGAGTCTAGAAAGCCTTCTGGCATTAAGAAGAAGTGTTATTAGGCCGGGCGCGGTGGCTCACGCCTGTAATCCAGCACTTTGGCAGGCCGAGGTGGGCAGATCACCTGAGGTCAGGAGTTCAAGACCAGCCTGACCAACATGGAGAAACCCCGTCTCTACTAAAAATACAAAAAAATCAGCCGAGTGTGATGGTGGGCACCTGTAGTCCCAGCTACTCAGGAGGCTGAGGCTAGGAGAATCGCTTGAACCTAGGAGGCGGAGGTTGCCTAGGAGGCCAAGATCGCGCCATTACACTCCAGTCTGGGCAACAAGAGCGAAACTCCATCTCAAAAAAAAAGAAGGAATGTTATGATGATAAAATGGTATTTCATGTCAACCACAATAGGATTTCAATGATTCCAATTCGTTATTAATGACTGTTATGTGATTAAATTTTATGCAAACTTCAGTGATCAGTCTCATTTTTACACACAAAATATGAAATAATTTAAAATCCTGTATTGAAAAATGTCAGAAATCACACCATTCTAAAGCTGGCGGACCTAGTAAATTGTCAGGTATGTTCGCACTATTACTACAAGATACGATACAACCAAGTATACTTGCTATTTTGGGTATGCTTGGTTTTTATTTATGCACATTTTGAATGTAAGGTCTTCAGAAATTCACCCCTCACATTACCATTAAGACTTACATAGTGCTTATGTATCCAGGCACTATTTCTTATCACACACACACACAGAAACCATTCCAAATGGCTGGAACTATTAAGAATTTTTAAGAGAATTAAAAATGTTAAACTACCAGATAAATTTCTAATGGAAAAAGAGCTGTAAGATGGTATGAGATTTTCCTTGAGATTACCCAAAAAAAGCTTCTCTGAAACAAGGCACAGACAGGCTGCCATAGATCCAGGCACAAAGTTTGTTACCCAAAGTACACATTTAGGTAAACATTCCTCTGTATGAGGATAAGGGGAACCCAGATAAGATATTAAGAGAGATAAAATGAAGTCTGAAATTCAGTGCAAAACAAAGATGTACAGATCTAGCATTTAACTTTTTAAATACTGCTAAAAATTATATGATAAAGCTGTTCTATAAATAATCTAATATTTATGCTATTAATGATTATACTTTTTCTAGCCGGGCATGGGGGCATACGTCCATAGTCCCAGCTACTAGGGAGGCTGAGCCAGGAGAATCTCTTGAACCCGGGAGATGGAGGCTGCAGCGAGCCGAGATCGCACCATTGCACTCCAGCCTAGCGACACAGCAAGACTCCATCTCAAAAAAAAAAAAAAAAATACATATATATATATATATACACACACACGTACATATTTATGAATATATATGAATATATTTATTATTTTATGAATATAACCACTCCAAAGAAACATGAGAAACAGGAAATTTCTGAATGCAGGATAATTAACATTAAGGAATTATTGCTACTTTTTTCATGAAATAATGGCACCACAGTCAAGAAAAATAAGATTACATATATATGTATACTTTCTGCATTATTAATATTTAAGAATGAAAAAATATTTGCTTCTAAATAACTAGGGTAGTAAATTTAAACCAGACTAGCCCAGTGCAGATAATTACCAAAGGTGGTGGCAGGGGGTTCATTAGACTATTCTCTCTACAGTCTTGTATCTTTGAAATTTCCCATGGGAGGAAACGGTGCTACAATTCATTTCTACTCTCTCAATTATACTTCTTCTGTGAATTAGACATTGGAACGCCAAAGAAAAGAGGCCCTGAGTCACTAGGCACAAAGAAGCTTAGGGATTAGCTCTGAGTACAATGCATGTCTGCAGGAACTGCCCAAACTCTACAGATTCCAAAGTCAGATTGCTTTTCTGGACTAATGAGATGAAAAATACAATATCCAATTAGCTAAAACAAACTTACAATATTTAAACTAATTTAAAAGTATTCACCTGAAATGAGGTGTGTACTCTGTTAGCTAAATAAACTGTTTCAGGTGTCTCCAAGGGGTTCTACAAGATGGCTTAAAAATATCATGTTCGACTGTGTGTATGTACATGTACATAACTACAAGCACTAAAAGGATATATGTATGTATGTGACCGAACTATACACTTGCACACACACACACACACACACACACACACACAAATAAGTGCATGTATAACTAGTGAAATCTGAGTAAGCGGTGTGGACTATATCATTGTCGGTTTCATAGTGTTACTATAGATACTAACACTGAAGGAAGGATGAAGCATGCACAATACCTGCCTGCACTTTTTTTTTAAGCAACTTCTCGTGATGTATAATTATTTCAAAATAAAAAAGTTTTAAAAAGATACGTGTATGAGCATTTATAAGTAATTATACCTGCTCTAAAAACTAAAAGTAAACTTACGTTAAAGAGCTCAGAATCCCTTTCTCTGGCTGTCCCATCTCTTTTACAAGGAAACGGCACAGCCAGCATTCACTTGCCTGGCAACATCGATGTAATGAGCATGTGTTTCTTCTTCCAGTCCCATAGCTGCGTTTCTTAAGTAGGCCTGAAGAGATTCCACTAGAGTCTGCAGGGGAACGCCATCGGTGGTCTGCTCAATAAGACCGTCCAGTTCATGCAGCATACTTTCTAACGTGTATTCCCCTTTCATTAAACATCGAAGTGCTTCTGGAAATATGATTTGCCGGAAATTCGAATTCAATTCCTATAAATATATGAGAAAAAAACTTTTAATGTTTTTTGAGTTTAGCTAAGTTACACATTTGGAGACTTAGAGCCATACATTAAGAGCAAACTTATGTAACTATGCCATCAACTCATTCATGTAAGTACATCTTTTGTTTACTTTTTATTTCTACTTTTAAATATTTTCTTTTCAAATTCTATTTCATAGTCATGTGAAATTTTTCAGGAACTATTTCAAATGACTTTAAAAAGTTGTCATATAATTAAACATTCCTAGGATGATGTACCTTAAGAACAAAAAGAACTGCCCTAAAGTATGTTATATAATGTTATTAATTTTTAGGAATCATATTTCTGTAGTGATATTAGCATTGTTATTCTCTTTTTGGTTTGGTTATAAGTGGCTTCTATTTCCCTTCAAAAAAAAAAAGTCTTATCAAGGTATAATTTGCATATAATAAACTGCATGTTTAAAATATATAATTTGTTATACTTTGGTACTTGCATACACTCATGAAACTGTCACCACAATCAAGAAAATCAGCATACCGACTACCCTACAAATTTCCTCCTGACTTCTTAATCTCTCTCACTCACACTTCTCCATACCACCTCCTCCATCTCCAAGTAAACACTGATCTGCTTTTTCTCATATTATACACTCTCCATTTATAGGGGTAGAAATGTCTAGCTTTCTTTACTCAGCATAATTATTGTAAGTCATACATGTGGCTGTATGTTATCAAGGTGTCGTTCACTTTTATTGCTAAGAAGTATTCCATTATGTGGATGTACCATATTTGTCCATTTGCTTGATGAACACTTGACTTGATTCCAGTTTTTGACTATTACAAATAAAGCTGCTATAAAAATTCAAAAAAACAAAGAGCAACTGTAACCAAGTTATAGCTATAAATCTCACAATTATCTTCCTTTTAAATGACTGGTTGAGCAACATTCAAATGGGGAAGTCAAATTGCTTTCCTGGGTTAAAGAGATGAGAAAGACAATATTCAGTATCTAAAACAAACTAATATTTAAAATAAAAGTGTTCACCTGAAGTGAGGTATACACTCCATTGGCTAAGTGAACTGTCTCAGACGCTTCCATGGGGTTCGGGATATCTAAGTCCTGTGGCACCAGGTGGCACTGCTTCAGTAACTGAACCAAGCAGGTGACGTTTCCGCTCATACTGCAGAGTTCCTCCAAGAACCAGGCTCCATCCCGAGAAGTCAGATCAACCAGCTGTTCTCCAGCACTTGACGCTGCACCTTCCATCATCAGGTTACGCCTACAAGAGATAAATATCTGTACAGTGAAACTTAAATGTATAAACAAAACAAGGTAACTGGCCGGGTCAAGGCCATGCCTGTAATTCCAGCATTTTGGGAGGCCGAGGCAGGTAGATGACTTCAGGCCAGGAGTTCGAGACCAGCCTGATCAATATGGCAAAACCCCATCTCTACCAAAAAATACAAAAATTAGCCAGGTGTGGTGGCACACACCTGTAGTCCCAGCTATTAAGGAGGCTGAGGTTGCTGTGAGCCGAGATCGTGCCACTGCACTCCAGCCTCAGTGTCAAGAGTGAGACCCTGTCTCAAAACACAACCAAGATAACTAAAATCTGAAAAGCAAGTAAGCAGCTGTAACACTTGGCAAGACTAAGGAAAGTAAAAGAACATTTTAGGTTTGGGATTAAAAATAAGACACAGGAAATGGTCCAATATGAAGTTGGCTAACTTACCTTGTAAGGGTACAAAGGGCAGAAATAATAACACTTGCTAGACTCAAAGATCCTTCTTCTCCATTCTCATGAAGGAAAACTTTAATGCAACGTTCAATTTCTTTCAACTGATCTTCACAAACTGGCACAGTGACAGCTTCCTGTTTCAAGCGTTCCACTTGTCTAATAAGTCTGCTGTTGATGTCTGCTGCGTATCGCTGCAGGGTCATTTCAGTGGCAGTGATGAACTGACACACTGTTGGGGGTGGCTGGGGAGCATATTGCATTTCATATCTATAAAAATAAGGAAGAGGTGCTTGTTTATAACACAACCACCCCCAACATACAAAAGAATATTGCATTTAATCCTCAAACAAAACTTGAAGAGTAGAAATCATTATTTACATTTTACAGATAAAAATGTCTCAAGAGCTTAAGCAATTTCCTAAAAGGACTTGTTGATGACTGTGACAGAATCAACATTTGAGGCCAGGCACCACGGCTCATACCTGTAATCCTAGCACTTTGGGAGGCCAAGGCAGGAGGATCGCTTGAGCTCAGGAGTTCGAGACCAGCCTGGGCAACACGGCGAAACTCCATCTCTACAAAAAAATATAAAAATTGTTCAGGCGTGGTGACACACGCCCGTGGTCCCAGCTACTTGGGAGGCTGAAGTGGGAGGATCACCTGAGCCCAGGGAGGTCAAGGCTGCAGAATACAACTTTGCTTCCACTCCCAATAAGAAATACAATTGGCCAGGCGCAGTGGCTCACGCCTGTAATCCCAGAAATTTGGGAGGCCCAGGCAGGCAGATCACGTGGTCAGGAGTTCAAGACCAGCCTGGCCAATATAGTGAAACCCCGTCTGTACTAAAAAGACAAAAATTAGCCGGGCTTGGTGGTGTTGTAGTCCCAGCTACTCTGGAGGCTGAGGCAGAGGAATTGCTTGAACCTCAGAGACGGAGGTTGCAGTGAGCCAAGATCATGCCACCACACTCCAGCCTGGGTGACAGAACAAGACTCCGTCTCAAAAATAAAAGAAAATTAAGCACTATCAACTTACTTCCTATAGAGCTCTTGACAACGCTCTACTGTGGTGTTACAGATGAGCTCTTCCATCCAGGTCTTCCACTGTTCAATTCGATGTTTCTGAAATATGGCCTTCGGATACTGCAGGGCCACGGTTGCATAGTGATGCAGTTGCTCCAGACAGCCACGGAGCACGGAGCGCCTCTGCTGCAGGAGAGCACCAACCTCCCCCTCCAGCTGCTCGCACTGGCTAATCAAGTGGGCCTGACCAGCATTCTGCAGAAAGGCTGTTGCTGGCACGTAACTTGGAGGACCTTTTGGTAAAAGACATTATTAAACACAGTAAAACAGGGTCAAGTCAGCTGTCACTAAAAGCAAGCACAAACCAGGACCCCACACAAACACACATGACTATAAAACTCATAGTTTCACATGTGAATCTAAAATAAGTCAACCCATACCAAGGTCCATTTGTGTGCTTATCTCTTGAAGCAAGCTTGCAAGCTGTGTTGCTTCTAAATTATTGAATGCAGCCTGATAATGTGTTATCCATTGTTCAAATTCATTCAGCTTCACCTGGATTGCTTCCTGAACAGCTCTTTGCTGAGTCTGTAGTTGGGTGTGCTCAGAATACCTAATCAGGGGGACACAAACAAAATCAAAAGATTTATTGCTGTTTTCTTCCACATACTTTCCTACCCTGGAATGTGCTCACACATGGACTGTCTGGTACGCTCCTTGTTCACCTTGAGGGCCCTCCTCAAATGTCCCTTACTTCTCTGTTTTTCCTGACCCTGTGATTCCCTCAACCATGCTCATGACATTTTAATTAAAACTGCCACATCTGCCAAGTTTTAGGTTCCTTGAAGGTTAGAGACTGATGCTTGACAGATCTTTGTAATCTGAGAGCCTCACACAATGCTTGACACTTTCATATTCAACTACCCTTTTACTGAGCACCTGCTGTGTATAAGGTTCTTTCAGTTAATCATCTTATTTAATACTTAGTGAGGTAGATGAAGTAGCTGCCATTGTACAAATGAGTAAGGACTCAAGATACATAATGGTAATGAGAAAACCAAAACCCAGATTTTCTGATTCCAAGTTTTGTGTTCTAACCACTACACCCACCTATCTCCCATAATTAGTCATTCAAACATTTAAGTTAAATATAATAAAAGCAGACAATTTCAGTGAATTTTTGTTTACTAACACTTTGAAGTTGCAGTCACTGAGACAGCTTTTATCATTTATGTGATTTGTTACAATAATTCTAATCCATATTGATGTTTACATGAATATGAAAATTCTAATTAATGGCACATATTTAGAAGAATTCAACACTGTTTTAAACCTGTGTTGCAGAGTATGAGAAGGATGATCCACCCCTTCAGCTCCTTCTAGAAACTCTATTTCCTCCAGTAGTTTGCCCTGCAGTTTTTCCACATCTGTCAGTTGCTCTTGCAAGCTTAGGTATTCATCTAAGCTACCGTCCAACTTGGGAAGCACAACCAGCATCTCATCTCTATTCTTAAACCAGTTCACCTGTAAAAAGATATTACGATTAAGAAGACTCTTACAGGGCCAATTTTGAGACACAACAGTGTCAGAAGAACATTTTGCACATCCTACTTAAATCTCTACAAAACCCGAAAGGGGTGATGCGTTGCCTCCACTGTACAAAAACAACTAATGCGTTCAAGTTTACACAGGCATAAACTGACAGGCTCAATCTCATAATACCATGTATTAATAGTTGCCAATGTCACCCAGAACAAGACTGGCATCCCTGGCTACCAGATAGGGAAGGGAAGCTATCCAATTAAAGAACATTTACAGTCATCACTGGTAAACACATTTCAATAATTAAGAAATATAATTTTTTCAAATCATGAACCCACCTCTTAGGAGTGTGGAATGTAACTGTGCATGTTTGTGTGGAAGAATTACCTAATAAAAAGTTAACATCAAACTGCCATATTTAACTGCCATTTCAATATTATACATTAGTTTTGCCAAAAAAATTAGAGAAACAATTTGCCTCAACATTTTGATGAGCATGTTTACTCTATTAATAAAAAGAAGACAATGACTTATTCCGTCACTGGGCTTCACCTTAATCTCAGCTACTCTAGAAGAAAACAGGCTGCGGGTGATCTCTCGCTCCATCTCTCTCTTGCTCTGCTTGCTCTCGGCCTGCTGGCCACCTCCACCATAGACAGCACCAGCAAACCCAGCCTCGCCTCCTGCTGTCCAGTCCACCAGAGGGTCGTACACAAAGGCCTCCAGCAGCGTCAGCAGGGTCTCTCTGCCACGCCGCATAATGTGTAAAACCTGTTTTCAGGAGAGTTTTTAAAATAAGGTCTGCCACAAGTTTCATCACTAAAGTGTGGTTTTCATTCCACAGGTTTTGCTCATTTAACAAATACACTAAAAGGGAGAAGAGAAAACAGCATACCTGCTCACATGAAAGCCTAAATACACCTTCTACTCCAGTTACACCCAGTGCTGTTTCAATGTTTTGTGTCATTCGAAAAGGTACTTTCTCAGGAACTCTAAGGCTTTTACCTTGAAAAGACAAATCATTATATTTTTGCCCTTTCACCAAAAAACATTTGGCCCTCATAAATGTAAAGTCTACTTTTATATTACCTTTTTCAAAGCAAACATTGTAATCTATGTGAACAACTTCTCCAGTCGTCATATCTATAAGAACATTATCCAGATGTCTGTCTCCAAGGCCAATTATGTATCCAACCATAGACATGACTGCAGTAGATCTTGCATAAGACTAAAGGAAAGGAAATGGGGGCAGCAAGTGAAACACCATTAAGAAATTTCCCTCCAACATGGACGTGATACTATAAAATTTACAAAGCACCATTAACCTACTCCCTTATTTTAAAATAAATCAACAAATAAAAAGCATTCCTCAAGGTTGCTGCATGTGGTTATGCAGGCATACAACACTGTAGACCTGATTGGTCCTAGTTAATCAGCTATCAGGATGCTGGATTAAAAAAAACACAAACAAACAAACTTTTCTTCAGTCTTCCTAGTTTGTCCCTTTCTAAATTTTTTATTCTTTTTTTTGTTTTGTTTTGTTTGTATTTTTGGTTGAAACGGGGTTCAGTGTTGCCCAAACCAATGTTGGGCAGGCTGGTCTCAAACTCCCGACCTCAGATGATCCACCCACCACAGCTTCCAAAAGTGCTGGGATTACAGATGTGAGCCACTGTGCCTGACCTCTTTCTTTTTTTAAATTTAAATATTGATTTTATTTAAAAAAATTTTTTTCCTTCTAACTTTTAGGTTTAGAGGGACATGTGTAGGTCTTTACGTGAGTAAATTGTATGTCACTGGGGTTTGATGTACACATTATTCTGTCACCCAGGTAATGAACATAGTATCCAACAGGTATTTTTTCCTACCTCACCCTCCTCCTGCCCCCCACCCTCAAGTAGGCCCCAGTGTCTGTTGTTCCCTTCTTTGTGTCCATGTGTGCTCAATGTTTAGCTCCCACTTATAAGTGAGAACATGCGGTATTCAGTTTTCTGTTCCTGTGTTAATTTGCTTAGGATCTCCTTTTCATTTCCTCCATAACTCTTTCCCCATCCTGCCCTCGGACACAGTCATGTTCATGCCTTTATAACTGTAATATTAAACTCAAATATACGTCTCAAACTACCAAGTCTGGAGGGACAGAGGAAGGAAGGGAAGGAGGACAAACAAGATAGGCAAGAAGGTAGCAGGCAAAAGAAATACTACTACTGAGTATAGTCTAAAACAAAGCACATACCTGCGTAACTCTCCACCATTCATCAGGTGTTGTGCAAGATGACCAGAGCTCTTTGGCAAGGAGATTCGGGGGTGTGGCCTCCATTAACTCTTCCAATACTGCCTTCATTACATGAAGAGGCCAATCCCGACGGGACACATCCAGGCTAAGCCCAACTGTTTTCAAAGCAGGGCCAATTTTACTGTAATAAAGTTCACTAGGACGGGGTACAATTCCAGGATTCTGAGGAGTTTGGTAGGAATCTTGGGCCTTAAGAAAAAACAATTTTTTTAAAAAAGAAAAGATCAATTTTATATAAGGAAAAAGAGTGCCTTTTGTATGTAAAGTAGAATTTTTAAAAATGATTTTTCAGTAGCATTCTCTCATTACTCAACTAAATTTCATGTATTAATACAAAATAGCTAATTATTCTGGACTATGGATCTTTCTTATGATATATACCTTTTAATTAGGCCCATTCACTTTATTGAAAAATTGGTCTACTGTTTAATTTTCTTGAGGTTCAATTCAAAACTAAACACTCAAGTTACTTTCTTCTTTATAATACAGAATTCAGTTTTAAAATTATAGTTCATAATTTATGCACATACTTCATTCTTCACACACAACTTAATCGTTAATATAAAATTAACAACAGAAATTCAAAAACACATTACATGAGAATTTAGATAGCCCTTCTCTAATTACTATTTGAAATTACCCTTCAATAACAGTTCTGCAGTCTCCTGTGCCTAGGTTTAAAACTTGCCTCCTTTCAAACTCATGCTCTTTTCCCCTACCTACCCTTATCAAAAGCATTTTCTTTAGCTAGATGTGGGATCCTGAAGATAAGACTGTATAAAATTTATCTCAATATCCTAAGAGCTTAGTACTGTTCCTGGCATATATTAAGCACTCAGATACATGGCTAAAATATATTCTAAATTAAACTCCTAGTCTAAATCAAAGCATAAAATTCATAGATACAAAATAGGATGCCATGGTGATTAATTCCAAATTTAAAGTTGCTTCTTATTTACATACATAAAAGAACCTGGGTTTTAAAGCGATTATTTACAAATTTAATTTAAAAGCATGGTAAATCCAATAAAAACACTAAGATGTAAATTATCAAGTTACTGAGTGATGAACAACCACACATTCCCCCTCTCCAAATTTGTCTCAAGTTAAGATAAACCCAATGCCATCACTTTTGCCTCTTATATAACTATTTTTGGCTGGGTGTGGTGGCTCATGCCTGTAATCCCAACACTTAAGAAGGCTGAGGTGGGAGGAATACTTGAGCCCAGGAGTTCAAGGCTGCAATGAGCTATGATCATACCACTGCACTCTAGCCTGGACAACAGAGCAAGACCCTGTCCCTTTAAAAAACAAAACCAAAAAAAAGCAAACAACTTTATTTTTATAAAAGGTACCTCAAGGCCAGATGCGGTGGCTCATGCCTGTAATCCCAGCATTTTGGGAGGCTGAGGCGGGTGGATCACCTGAGGCCAGGAGTTCGAGACCAACCTGAGCAACATGGCAAAATCCCATCTCTACTAAAAATACAAAAATTACCCAGGTGTGGTTGTGCGCCCCCCATAGTTCCCGCTACTCGGGAGCCTGTAGCAGAATTGCTTGAACCTGGGAGGCAGAAGTTGCAGTGACCCAAAACCACACCACTGCACTCCAGCATGGGCGACAGAGCAAGACTGTGTCTCAAAAAAAAAAAAAAAAAAAAAGTACCTCAAAAATACTCTCCTAGGGACCTCAAGTCTTTTCCTTCTTTAACTGCTTATAAACATGCAAAAATGGTCCAGTAAGTCTACAAGTATTTCACATAATAACAGAGAATAGACTAATACACTGTGTAGATGATTTAATCAACCTTTTGTGCTTGTAAGGCAGCTTCCCGTTGTTGCCATCGTTTGTAAAGACCAAATAAGGGTGTGGCTCCATCTACCCACTGGATTAGTCCTGATCTTGTTCCTAGTGGTGTTACAGAATAGTGTCGAGCATGGAACCGGGGTGTTTCTTGGCGATTAATTGTAGCAAACATGGTATTCACAATAGATAGGAACTGCATTATTCTCTCATCCAGATGTAAATCCTCCAGTCCTATGAAAACAAAATTAAAATAGCTAGGATAGGTGATTAAACAGGGTTGGGAGCATACCACTCCTCTTTTTCAACTAGCAGTGGCAGTCAAAAACTGACAGTCCATGAGGCACACTGAGAGCATTAAAGAATTCTATTTTGGGACAAGATATTGGCAGTAGATATTAGCATTATTAGCTGTACCTCACTTGTCCTGCTTGTACAAGTTCATACACAAAGTGGGGGTGGAAAATCTTTCTGCACGGCATCCAATCACTGCCGTTCAAAAGCACATAAGATATAGGGCACTGCAGGCTAATAATGACATACAGAAATTCGCCTGAAATAATCTCCTACTATACACACCCACACTCACACAAAGCATTAGTAAGACTAATACTCTTCTGAAAAATGGAGGAAGTCTTAAATCCTACCTTTGAAAAGATAAGGATAGCTCTTCCCATCTGATCCAAGAAAGAGAAGTTTCTTTGGCTTGGTTTTAGTCGGTAAGATTGTGATGGTTCCGCCCACACTATGGATTGTGACAGTGTCTCTGGCTGAGACTTCCCCAGGAAGAGCAATTTCAGTGTTAGTCATGGCAGCCAACCATGGACTGATTTCTTCAAGACGCAAGATGTAACTTGCACGTTTCTGTGCTCTCTGTTGCAAACTTAGCATTATCTATATTCATAAGATGGGAGAAACAAATTTACATTACATTAGAACACTTATTTTCTTCCACATTCAATATGGCATAAAAGTAAATTTTAGGTCACGGCGGCAGCTCATGCCTGTAATCCCAGCACTTTGGGAGGCCGAGGTAGGCAGATCACTTGAGTTCAGAAGTTCAAGACCAGCCTGAGCAACATGGCAAAACCCCATCTCTACAAAGAATACAAAAGTTAGTCAGGCACAGTGGCTCGTGCCTGTAGTCCCAGATACTTGGGAAGCTAGGGCAGGAGAAGAGGATCACCTGAGCCCAGGGGGCAGAGGTTGCAGAGAGCCGAGATTACGCCACTACATGCCAGCCTGTGTGAGAGAGGGAGACCCTGTCTCAAAAACAACAACAAAACTAAATTTTAAAATCCACACAACTATCTGCTGTTCTTATTTCTACATTTAACTCAGTACTGGGATCTGGGCCATCCTGGATGGGTTAACGCTGGTGGCCGATGTGCATTACAGGATTCTTTGTTAAGACTCTTTCTTTTCCTCTGTCCAAACATGCAGTGAAATCACAGGAGATAGAAGGAAAACACTGCTGTGATCATCACCCAATTAGGGGCTTTTAGCAAACTATTAATAATTCCCCAATGTTGAGCTATGTATGCACAACACCAAAACAATCCAGTCCTTGCAATAGGTACAGCTAGCAGTCGGCTGTCAGGTCGACAAAACTTTAAAAAGCCACCTGCAAAGTTATTAACCTTAAATTACAAGAAAAAATGAGGCTCAATCTACTCTTATCAAACTGGAGTAGAGGAAATTTGGTGGATCTCTAAGAGACTTAACAAAACTGAAGAAAAGACAAAGACAAGTAAGAACATTTTTAACAGAGAAGTAACCATTTAGGTCTGACCACTTGAGGTTTGCAGAAAAGCCCTATAATACTTTCTAATAATCACAGGGAACAGACTGTATGTACAGTTGTGTTGCTACATGCAGCAAACTCAATAATATGCACCCAAATTAACAAATTCTGGACTCCGCTTCCATGTGAAAAAATGTAAAGCAATTTTTAGCAAGCTCTGTTCATAAAAAGAAAAAAACCAATTGGAAACACCCCAAGTGCCCAATGACAAAAGAATAAATTGTGGTATTTTCATATAATAGATCATTGTTTAGCTACACAAACACACACACAAAAATTGATCAATTATTTTAAAACTTAATACCAATCCAATATGGCAGTAAAAAGAAGTAGACGTACACACAATATGATCTCATTCGTAGAAGTTCAAAAACAGGCGGAAACTAAACAGTGTCATTTAGAAATGCATCTGTAAACAAAAACTATTTTTTAAAGTAGATAGTGATTAATTAAAACTCAGAAAACTGGTTGTGGGTGGGGAGATAAAATTAGGGAGAGAAGTGGGACTTCTATAAAGTTTAATTTCTTTAGGTAATTCCTTTTTTTTGAGCTGTACTATATCTAAAAGAGAGACACAGGTATTCTTAATTTTTAAAATTATTCTTTAAATGTACAAAATCATTTTAAAAATTTTCTATGATTATACACACACACACACACACGTGCGCACACAAACAGGGTTTACAGGGTTTCCTCCTATATCCTCTTCTGATTTTCTAATTTGATTTACTGAAAGGGAAACAAAGAAACAAGAAACTGGTCTTAGAACACAAGGAAACGCAGGCCGGGAGCAGTGGCTCACACCTGTAATCCCAGCACTTTGGGAGGCCGAGGAGGGTGGATCACTTGAGGCCAGGAGTTCGAGACCAGCCTGGCCAACATGGTGAAACTCCGTCTCTACTAAAAGTACAAAAATTAGCCAAGCATGGTGGTGTGTGCCTGTAATCCCAGCTACACGGGAGGCTGAGGCAGGAGAATCACTTAAACCCGGGAGGCAGAGGCAGCAGTGAGCCAAGATCGTGCCACTCACTCCAGCCTGGGCAACAGAGACTCCATCTCAAAAAAAAACAAACAAAACAAACAAACAACACCCCCCCCCCCCGCCCACCTACACACACACACACACACACACACACACACACACACACACACACACACGGAAACTCGAGTTTTGGCAAGAACACATAATAAACTTCATCCTTCTCTCACACACACACACGGAAACTCGAGTTTTGGCAAGAACACATAATAAACTTCATCCTTCATGTTAGTTTTCTTTCTTGTACTTCTAGCTATTTGCTCTGAATTTAGCACCTTGCATTTGCTAAAGTTGGCTGTACTTTTTGTTTCTACATGTATCTTTTAATAGCTTTCTCACTGCTCAAATTCAGTAAGGAAATCAGTTAGGAGCAATAAAGGTAAGAGACAGAGAAAAGAGGGAGGGAGAAGGAAAAGCTGGAGCTACAAAGTAATAAGCTCCCCCAACTAATGGTGTTATTTGCTAGAAAAGATAAAGACCTAAGAGAATATAGAATTAAGAAAACCAAAATATAAAAGATAAGGATTCTCAAATATGTGAATACACTAATCATCCCACGCAGCATATGTGGAATTGATTCCAGAACTACTTGTAAAACTTTATGTTGTTATAAGCGACTATTTTATCTGTTAGAAATACTGAATGCTCTCCTTGTGAAAAACTACATAGGCACAAAGTTAAATTTCTTATCTTTAATGAGGTAAATAAAGCAGGCAACCAATATTTAGCTCAGGGTCACAGCCCCTTCCTTGGCTAATTTCTTCATCTGTTGTTCACTGGTGTGAGCCTTCCATACATGAAAGATTGGGCACCTTTGCCGTCCATCCCCCTTTGCCCACTGATTTCCAAATTCTTAAACAGAAACACTTTTTTCTATGTTCCTTATAAGCAACTGGCCACAGGCTGCCTCCTATAGGCTTATAAAATCTCTTACATTCCAAGTAAGAAGTCCACTTATTGAAATTTCGTATCTCATGGGAACTGTGATGTGCCATTTCAGTAGCATGCTTGGGATTATTCTGTACCTCTTTAAATGGAATCCAGCTGCTCCCAGGCTTTGCAGGGTTCAATGGAGTCTTCAGTTTTTCTAGGGCATTTTCAATGGCATCACCATAGTTATCCTGAAACCATTTTTCATGAGGTGTTTCTGCAGGAGCCGCTGTGATACTCCTCACATGCTCCAAAGCAAATACGATGGGCTTCATCAAAGCTGTGTGCTTCTCCCTCATGATTGCAATTTTCTCTTCTCTGACCAAGAAGACATTTTTATTCAAAAACTTAAATGTGTACATTAAAGTTTTACACAAACATGCAACAATTTCAATATATCAATTGTTAAGTAAACAGTACCAAGGAATAAGTCTAAATAAAGCAATAACATATTCACAAAGTAAATTACTAACAAAGAATTTTTGGTTTTGTTTTTTTTTGGAGACAGAGTTTTGCTCTGTCACCAGACTGGAGTGGAGTGGTACAATCTTGGCTCACTGCAACCTCCACCTCCCGGGTTCAAGCAATTCCTCTGCCTCAGCCTCCTGAGTAGCTGCGACTACACACGCGCGACACCACGCCCAGCTAATTTTTTGTATTTTAGTAGAGATGGGGTTTCACCATGTTGGCCAGGATGGTCTCGATCTCCTGACCTCGTGATCCGCCCGCCTCAGCCTCCCAAAGTGCCAGAATTACAGGTATGAGTCACCGTGTCCAGCCAAGAATTTTTTGTTTTTTAAAAAAATGCAGCTCATAAAAGAGGCAGCTCCTCTTTTCAATGAACTAAATGATACAAGGAAAATGTGATATCAACATGCAAAAGAATGAAGCAATAACTCAAAATGGATCAAAGACCTAAACTTAAAAGCTAGAACTACAAAACTCTTAGAAGAAAACATAAGGGAAAGGTTTCATGACCCCAGACTTGGCAATGATTCCTTGGATATGGCACCAAAAGCACAGACAAATTAAATTGAGCTACATCAAAATTAAAACTTTTGTAAATCAAAAAATACTATACACTATGAAGAGAATGAAAAGACAACCCACAGAATGGCAGCAAATATTTGCAAATCATGTATCTGATAAGGGTTAGTACCCAGAATACATAGAGAACTCCTACAATTCAACAATAAAAAAACAAAAAACCCAATTAAAAAATGGGCAAAGGACTTGTAATGACATTTCTCCAAAGATAGGCAAATGGCCAATAAACACATGAAAGGAAGCTCAACATCACTAGTCATTAGGAAAATGCAAATCAAAACCACAGTGAGATACCACTTCGCATCCATCACAACAGCTATTATCAAAAAAAGAAAAGAAAAGAAGTGTTGCCAAGGATTAGGAGAAACTGGAACCCTCATGCATGGCTAGGAGGATTGTAAAATGGTGCAGCCACTGTGGAAAAGTTTGTTGGCTCCTCAGTAAGTCAGACGTAGAATTGCCATATTGCCATACGATTCAGCAAATCCACTGGATCATCCACAAAATATACATGAAATTCACAAAAAATAATAGAAAGCAGAGAGTCAAACAGATACTCATACACCAATGTTCACAGCAGCACTGTTCACAGAGCTAAAATGTAGAAGCAACCCAGCTGTCCATAAACGGATGGACAAAACGGTATAATCATACAGTATTATTCAGCGATAAAAAAATGAAATTATATCACGTTACAACATAATAAACCTTCGGGCCATTATTCTAAGTATAAAAAGCCAAACACAAAAAGATGGATAGTTTATGTTTCTACTTCTATGAGGTAGCTAAAATAGGCAAATTCATAATAGAGATGGCAAGTAGAATAGAGGTGGCCAGGAACTGAGGTGAGGGGGAAATGAAGAGATAATTTTTAATGAGTACAGAGCTTCTTCTGCTTAATATAATGAATAAGTTCTGGAAATGGACCGTGGTGATGGTTGTACAATATGGTGAATGTATTTAATGCCACTGAATTGTACACTTAAAAATTAAAATAGTAAATTTTATGTTATTTATACTTTGAAACAAAGTGGCAGCTTCACTGTCTCAGGACAAGTGTATGGAAACATACTTGCGTAAGGTGTTGTTGTTCTGGACTCTCTTCACCTCATCTTCAAGCTGCTGAATTCGTCTCAGGACATACATGTGTTGTTGCAGCAAAACTCCCAGCCAGAGCTCATCCCAGAGCACAGTGACCCTGCGCAGTTCAGCCACGAGCATCTGAACCTGCATACACAGCACACCCAAATAGCTCATCTACAAGCCTATGCACAGCACAGCTCTTCAAACACTGGACTTTGTAAGTTAAGTGTGTGCAATTGGTGCTCATTATACAATTGGAGAACCCTGACCAGTGATTGTCAATACAGATTGGCAAAAGCAATTTTTATTATTCTATAAAAAATTCTTCTACAACATGTGAGTTTCTTTGTACCTGTAATACCATGGTGGGGTTTGCAGAGGACAGCTTATCTACAATTTTGCTGTAACAATCCTGCATCATGGCTTGGTCTTCATTTAATCCACTTTTAGGTTCATCCTTATTGCTATCCTGAGATGCAGGAGGACTTCCTCCCTCACATTCAGAAACCAGCAATTCTTCTCCTTGAATATTGCCAAGTAAAGTTGGAATTGCAGTGGAAAATTTATTTCCTGTAATGAAATAGGAGAACAAGGAATATTTTGAACATTTCTCCCATGTGCATATGCTAGGTTAGGGAAAACACTGATAATCTATTTGACTCAAGAGCACTCATTGAACTCATTTGCCTTCCAGGCATAGAACTGATTAAAGATTGTGGATATTCTGCCTTTTTATAGGTTGAGCTTTCATATTTATTAATATTATAAGCTAATGGAAGATACAAAGGAGAAAGATAATGAGTGTTTAACAAATAATGTATTCTTCAAGCCAGAGTTCAAAACTTGGTATAATCCTTTTTTTTTTTTTTTTGGAAACAGGGTCTAGCTCTGTTGCCCAGGTTGGAGTACAGTGGCACAATCTCGGCTCACTGCAACCTGTCTCCTGGGTTCAAGTGATTCTTGTGCCTCAGCCTCCTGAATAGCTGGGACTACAGGTGTGTGCTACCATACCCAGCTAATTTAACAGAAACAGGGTTTCACCATGTTGTCCAGGCTGGTCTCAAACTCCTGGCCTCAAATGATCCACCCTCCTCGGCCTCCCAAAGTGCTGGTATTACAGGTGCGAGTCACTGCTCCTGGCCAAAAATTGGTATAATTCTTATCCATCAGTAACAGCTCAGTGAGCCTGGCAGAGGTACTCCATTTCTCCACGTCTTGGTGGATTACTGTCAAGGCTACAGATAATGTGTAAAGCACATGTCCTGGTGCCAGATACATAGTAGTTACTCCCTCAATAAATGCTAATTATTACTATTAAAAAACCTACAGCCGGGCACGGTGGCTCATACCTGTAATCCTATCACTTTGGGAGGCCGAGGCAAGTGGATCACGAGGTCAGGAGTTCAAGACCAGCCTGGCCAAGATGGTGAAACCCCGACTCTACTGAAAGTACAAAAATTAGCTGGGCGTGGTGGCACGCACATGTAATCCCAGCTACTCGGGAAGCTGAGGCAGAGAACTGCTTAAACCTGGGAGGCAGAGACTGCAGTGAGCTGAGATGGTGCCACTGCACTCCAGCCTGGGTGACAGAGTGAGACTCCATCTCAAAAAAAAAAAAAAAAAAAAAAAAAAAAAAAAAAAAACCCTACAAACTCTAACAACTCTGGAACATAAAGCTTAAAAACTTTGACCTCACTAAAATTATTGGCACAGTCATTTATACTCAAAGTAGCAATATTTGAATATTCCATACCTGAAGCCTGGGATTCACTACTAAGCGATATGGTACCCACTATTGCAGGATACAATATGAGATGTGGGGAATCTTGAGCCACACGGCAGAGAAGGTTACAAATACTTTGGCGCACATACACTTCAGGGTGGTTTAAGCGTGAGAAAAGTTGCGGAATAATTCCTTCAGGACAAGAAGAGAGAAAGACACTTTAAAGTTATTTAAAACTATGAAGAAACTATCAGCATCGTAGATCAAACAGATAAAACGTGATGTGTGTCGGCATTAGTACGGATTTTAAGAGTTCAAATTTCTCCCTGTGATAATAAAGAACCATACACAATAGTTCTTGATTCGCAAGTCTGGTTAAGGTTGGTTTAGATACAGAGCTGTAATCAAAGTCCAGGGCAGCTCAAAAATGTTACGGAGAAATGTATCTTCTGTGAATGCCTACAAACAAGGCAGGCACAGACAATTTTTACAGAGGGTATATAAAACCTTTTGAAAATTTTTCACCACCCTCTCCAAAACTCATTTTGTATATAAAAAGCTCCTGCCTTTCAGCTTCCCATTTCTTGGAAAGGTGGGAGGAAAAGTCCTAGTGATGTAACAAGCAGTGCAGGGTGTCCTAGGAAGTTAATCTGGCTATTCTTTTTACACATTCAAATAATAAACATAAGGAAACCACTTTTTGAAATCTTATATATCCTAGTGAGAAACTATTTTTCCTGAAACATTTTATGCAGGTCTCACCTCTCCATGGTGCAGTGGGTGTTGTCTCCAAGCCGTGCTCCAGATACTGCCGAAGCTCACCAGCATGCTTCACGAGCAACCGCAGCAGGCGCAATGTGGCCATCACAATCATGTCATCAGTGCTCTGTTCCACTCTGTGACTTAAATGCAGCCTAGGGTCATCCTCATCTAAAGGAATCTAAGAGTGAAAGATGAGGGGAATAAATAAGAAAATAACTCAGAACACTACTTTTGTTTAATAAGAAAAAGTTTCCAAAATAAATTTTCTTAGAACACTGTGCTACATACTTGACCAGCGTTGAGTTTAAGGAAAGTAAAGTATGCACTGCAAGAGAGTTTGTACAGGCTGAATATTCTATCTACAACTTTCCTCCACACTTTAATAACTCCTTCAGTTGCACTTTCATCAAGTTCTGAAAGCCATGGGCAGCTTGATATCAACTGACGCCAGATAACATCAACCATGTCATCTTCTTCGTTGTCTTCACTCTCAGTTATCTGAAGTGTTATATCTTCATCCTGAAGAAAAATTGTGCACAAAATGCTATTTTAAATACAAACTGAAAAGGGAAAAAGGTATGTAATTTGACTATCATAAAAAATTCTTCTCATATATAAAAGATAAAATTATCCCACATTTAGTGTTATACACAGTAAGTCAATGTCAGTATGCTTCTCTTTATGATATATTTACTAATATGAAGCCAGTGAAGAAGAATATAAGCATTTAGCAAAGACTAGACTTTTCTGGGGTTTCGTTGTACTTTAAATGCTTCCAAGTTACAATACAGTATTCTACCTGCAGAAATTTTTTTTTCCTTGTGACAAAGTCTCACTCTGTCACCCAGGCTGGAGTGCAATGGCACAATCATGGCTCACTGCAACCTCTCTGCCTCCCAGGTTCAAGCAATTCTCATGCCTCAGCCTCCTAAGTAGCTGAGATTACAGGTGCCCACTACCACGCCCTGCTGTTTTTTTGTGTTTTTAGTAGAGACAAGGTTTCACCATGTTGGCCAGGCTTGTCTCAAACTCCTGACCTCAGGTGATCCGCCTGCCTCGGCTTCTCAAAGTGCTGGAATTACAGGTGTGAGCCACCGCACCCAGCCTATGCCTGCAAAAAAAATAAGCACAATCTGCTCAAAAGTTTGAAGCTGAATGTACACAGAATACATATACTAAACCTCATTCTCTTCACAGTACTGTGCATGTATCAGACACCAGCTTAGGGAGAGACTTAGATACGCTGCTGTTTACAGCAAGAACTGATCGATATAGCTTAGCTTGGCAAATAAAATCCATGCCTTTGAGGACTGCAACTAAATAATATATTGCTTTGGCATTCTAGAATTGACGGAACTCTGAAGGGAGAGAGTGTGAATTATACAGATCATCTAGTCCATTTTCAACACTGGCTGCACATTAGCATCACCTAGTAAGTTTAAATACACACACACACACACGCGCACGCGCACACACGTCTCATTCAGAGTATCTGGGAGTAAGTTTCGTGCACTGGCATATTTTAAAAGCTCACAACCAAGGATTAAGAACTTACAATTTCTGATAAAAGTAATTAAAAAATAAATGTAATTTACCTAAAATGAACTTCACTTAATAACTTTTTTTTCTTTTGAGACAGTCTCACTCTGTCACCCAGACTGGAGTGCAGTAGTGTGATCTCACTGCAACATTCAAGTGGTTCACCTGCCTCAGCCTCCCGAGTAGCTGGCATTACAGGCATGCACCACCACACCCTGCTAATTTTTGTATTTTTAGTAGAGATGGGGTTTTGCCATGTTGGCCAGGCTGGTCTCGAACTCCTGACCTCAAGCGATCCACCCACCTCAGCCTCCCAAAGTGCTGGGATTACAGGTGTGAGCCACCGTGCCAGGCCAACTCACCTATTTTTAACAGGACTCTAAGGAAATGCCTTATTTTCTCAAAAGTATATTCTTCTTAGAAAAATATAACTCACTTTCATCTTAAAATGCAGAAGTTTTTATTTACAACAACAATTGGTAAGCCCCATTCAGTATTTTATCAAATATATATGATCAATTTTCTCAAAATCAATGATTTGGAGTAGCAATCTTGCCCCAAGCACCATGTTTTCCTTGCCTGAATCCCCGCCGGCCGACACACAGCCTGTCCAAGAATACCATATATTCTCTCTTTCTCTTCCTCAGTTATAGTGTCTGGAAGTAGATTCTGAACTTCAGATTTTTCTCTAGGCAGCAGACGAACACCTTCTCCCTGACTATAAAAATAAACAAGTCATCAGTATTTCAGCTACCCAAACTTTACCATATCAGCAGACATTTAAATATCTATTTATGCAATGCATAAATAAACTACACATTTAAACATACCTGGCATTGTCAACCACCTTTCTGCCCCACCTATAAGCCCAGCTGGCCAACGCTGCCCAAGATTTGGCTACTTCAGGTGCCTGTACTGAAGACAGGTGATACAACTGTCCCAAAATGAAGTCAGGTTCTCCAACTCCAATATGCACTGCCAAAATGGACAAAAAAATAATTATAATAAAAGAACTCAACAATGTTACATTCATAAATTCCTAACGACATTTCCATTAGCATTTTAGGTTTTTATCTGCAAGCAATCAAAAGTTCCAAAATATTACTGTACATAACTTGAGAAGGCACAAATATGAATTATGTTCTCTAAAAGGTTGGTATGTTGAAATGAATTCATTAGCTTCCCAAGTAAGATTATATTATCTCCTGTGGAAGACATCAATATCTTTCATGACACTGAACATTGTAAACAGTCAGGTGTCAGCTGTGCTGTAGAATGTCTTGCATTATGAATCGGACTGGCTATTTCCTCATGATCAGATTCACTTTAATCATTCTGGCAAAAATAATAAATAGGTGATGAGTATACTGTTTCATTCATACAGACTCATGAGGCAAACATCTTTATTCCCTTGTTAAAGGTGAAGACACTGCCTGCTATAGTGCATCTGACAAGATGAAGATTTATAATGACCACAAGACATATCCTTTATGAATATCAAGACTCTATCAAAATTATTAACACCAATGTAAGTAATTAAACTCTTAGGCTTCAGAACAACAAAATGAAGGTATATTCTCATGTTTCAGCAAAGAAAACCATCTCCCAAATTTTCTCTCAAATTTTAAAAACAGGGGAATTATGCCTTCCACAACAGGCACTCAAACATGGACAGAATCAACTACCCTATTTGTAAGGTATCTTTGTGTTACTAGCACTAGCACCAGAATGGGAAACTTGAATCTTTATATAGTTTCTGTGTTCCACCAATCAATAGGAACACAGGTAACTATTTTAAATCTTTGTTGCTCCTTCTATTGTGAGGTGAAATTTTTTGATATGAGGGGCAGGATCTTATTGCCAGCAAAAACATCTAAGTCCATAAAAGCAAATACCTGGGGGCAGAGTTCAGTGACTCCCAAAATGGCATTCGATCCTAAATATGTTTTAGTTATTTCCCAACAATAAAATAAACTCAACTTCCACAGATATACTTTTTATGGAAAATTATAGCCAGCATAACATTATAAACTTTAAAACAGAAAAAAATATAGCTTCTAAAATTAATATTCTAAAGCTAATAAAGCAACTCTACCTGTAGATTCACTCTCGATCCGAGGATACTCTTCTTCCATCGTATTAACAGATGGCAGTTCTATTAGAGTGAGTATGTTTTTAGACAAAGTAGAAAGACCTGTGAAGTTCTGTTGGTGCTGAGCTCTGTAAACCTGTTTCAGCTGTCCTGAAATCTCTTTCCATTCTGCCTGGATCCATTTAGCCAGTGTCAGAATTGATTTAGCAACTGCATATTCAGCTTTCACAGACTTGCAGAAAGATATGGCACAAGAACTCAACATTTCCATTGCATGTGTTGACTGGCCTACAGAAAACCACAAAGTCAGAACTTAGAACCTTTAAAAGCAAATGATGGAGGGAGGCACTTGGATTAGGAAACAAATATCAACATGGTGATGACACCACCATGTTGATGGTTTCAAACTCCTATGCTCAAGCATAGGAGGCTCCTACTGTCTTAGCCTCCCAAAGTGCTGAGATTGCAGGCATGAGCCACTATGCCTAGCCAAAATACTAAACTTTTTTTTTTTTTTTTTTTTTTGAGGCAGGGTTTCACTCTGTCACCTAGGCTGGAGTGCAGTAGCACAATCAGGGCTCACTGTAGCCTCAACTTCCCAGGCTCAAGCAATTCTCCTGCCTCAGCCCCTCAAGCAGCCGGAACTACAGGCATGTTCCACCACACCCCCCTAATTTCTTTGAATTTCAGTATAGCTGAGATTTCACTCTGTTGCCCAGGCTGGTGTCAAACTCCTAAGCTCAAACAATCCTCCCATCTTGGCCTCCCAAAGTGCTCAGATTGTAAGCATAAGCACCTGGCCCAAAATAATAAAGTTAAAAAAACATGTAAATTCAGTGACCAATGATCTCCGGAAATACTTCTTACTGTAATACATTGCAACAAAATTCTTTTGAAAGCACAGAATTATAAAGGTAAGTCAGTAATAAGCAACTTATTATTCAGGATGCAAATGTTCTGCAACAGCTGGAAATGATCAACTTTGCTATTACTACCTTATACCATACATACACAGTAACATTCATATACATGATTTTTATTATACTCATGTATTAACCATAATTAATTTTACTAACCTGCTGTATAAAGCAATTTGGTTTTTTCAATATCAAGTTCGGGCCCCCATTTTTCATCCACTTGACCTTGGGTTGATAGTTTTTTAAAATGTTGGACTAAATCCTGTGCAGTGGTGGTCTTTCCCAGCTGAACTTCACTGCACTGTGCCAGCAGTCTTGTTGCAAGGGACACATTCCCTCGTTTTCTAGCAAATTTTGCTGCTGTTAGACCTAATTCCATGAGATGGCTTCTAATTGGGACTGTTTGTTCTGAAGAGAGGAAAACGTTTTATTAGTTCCTAATTTGTCTAAACCAGACTGCATGGAAACATGGCCAAAAAATTATTCCCCAACTATCCCTCTTCTGCACCACCTCCTGAAACAAAGATAACTCATCCTCAAATCCCTAGCAGCTAGCACAGTGCTTGAGATACAATGAACAGGTTTTGCTAAATTAAATGTATACAATGAAGTAAAGTCAAGTCATTCATTTCAAGAAATTTCTTTTTAGTTTCTGAATCTTTGGCAAAAAGCCTGGGCCAACGGGTAGGGAAAGCAAGGAAGCAGGGAAGGCTAAACCATCCCCCCGCACTTCTTCTGTAAGTACTCTCTGCCCTTCCACCATTCTCCTGGTTTTCTTCCTATCTTGCTGAAGAATCCTCAGTCTCTTTCTCTTCCATCACTCATCCATTAAACACCAGTGCTCCTTGGACTCAGTCCTAGGCTCTCTACTTTTCCCACTGCATACTCTCCCTGGACATCATCATCTTTTCCTGTGTCTTCAATTACCACAGAAATGCTGACAACTGCTGAATCTTCACCCAGACCTGATATCTGAATCCCACCTGCCAACTGGTCATCTACACTCTATTTATTTCAAGAGTGCTTCCTCTAATGTCAGTCATGCCAAATGGAGCTCATTTTCCACCACCCTCCAAATCTTTTACTCCCTTTTTCCATTTTCCCCTTCTCAAGGAAGGGCACAGGATGAGCCGGCTGCCTGTGAAAGTACTTGGCCACCATCACAGACTTTACTTTCAACCCTCATGGCCCATTTGCTTTTTTCTTTCCCTACTGCCACCCTAGTTACCCTCTTTAGCAGAGACTTCAGCATAACTTAGGTCCCTTTGACCCCATTCTTATACTCTTCTAATCCATTTTCCAACTTGCAATTGAAGTGACATTACACAAGGGTAAATCTGAACATTTCACTTCCCTGCTTAAAAGCCTCTGATGACTTCTCACTGACATTCTGACAAATCCCAAACTCCTGAATTCAGCTTGTTACTGATGCCTTCCAGCATTCAATTCCAATCTCAATCTCATCCAGCGCTCCACCTCTTCCTACTCTCTCTTAGGTGAACTGAGTCAACTAAGAATCATTATTTTCTCTGGCCTGCACACGTTTTTTCTAACCAAGTCAGCCTGCCTTCTTCCTCATCTTTATCTTAACTCTCAGCTTAAATGTTACTTCCCCACAAGTCTTTTTCTGATTCCTAGGATTAAATCAGGTGCCCTCGTTATTTGCTGTTCCTTCTTATTTTTTGAGACCGGGTGTCACTCTGTCACCCAGGCTGGAGTGCAGTGGCATGATCATAGCTCGCTGCAGCCTTCATTTCCCAGGCTCATGCTATCCGCCCACCTCAGCCTCCTAAGCAGCTGGGACTATAGGCACATGCCACCACACCCAGGTGATTTTTTTTTTTTTTTTTTTTTTTTTGAAATAGAGTCTCACTCTGTTGCCCAGGCTGGAGTGCAGTGGCGTGATCTTGGCTCAATGCAAGATCCGCCTCCCTGGTTCATGCCATTCTCCTGCCTCAGCCTCCCAAGTAGCTGGGACTACAGGCACCCGCCCCCACGCCCAGCTAATTTTTTTGTATTTTTAGTAGAGATGGGGTTTCACCGTGTTATCCAGGATGGTCTCAATCTCCTGACCTCGTGATCCACCCCCCGTCAGCATCTCAAAGTGCTGGGACTACAGGCGTGAGCCACCGCGCCCAGCCCACACCCGGGTGATTTTTTAAATTCTTCTAGCAGAGACAGGGTCTTGCTATGTTGGGTCACCGTGTTTGATGTCAGTTTTCCCTGCCAGAATCTACAATCTCCTTGATCACCATTATATCACAACGTAGAGCTCAGTACCTAGTACAAAGCACATTTGATCAATACTTGCTGAATAAAGAAATAAAAATGAAGAGGCACTCCAGCCTGGGCAACAGAGTGAGATGGTCTCAAAAAAAAAAAAAAACAGGACTGGAAAGGAGATGAGGGTACTTGTGAAGCCATATTATATGACACGCTCTGTGCTAGGACTTTTATATACCTTGTCTCATCTCTTCATCTCATATAATCCTTACAAGTATCTCAAAAGTGGGGAAATCCCCATATAACTGAAGAGGAAAGCAGTTCAGAAGTTCACTGATTTGCCCTAAGGTTCCTCAATTTGCAAACATCAGGCCAATGATCCAACCCCAGGTATATTTGGCAGTGAAGGACCAGTTGAGTCACAGCTTCAAGTAACCACTCTGCAGTGGTCCCTATCTTGGCTGTTAGCTTACATTGACATTTAACACTCAAATTTACTCAGTAACACCAGCTATCATGTTTTCCACTAAAACTGCACAGCATTCTGGCAACTTTTCTATTTTAGAGCAATAAAGTAAATTGTTAGCATCCCTTTGACATATAAATATTTATACAAATAGTAATTCTCTAGCCATTCATTTGGAGTATTTAAAACTCAATATTCATAGCGCATTTTACGTGACAAAGAACTTAGGTTCAGAACACAAAAATAAGTCTTATGTCTTCATTAAAAATGGGTGAAGAATTTGAACAAACATTTGCAAACTAAAATACAAATGAAATACACTCAGCATCATTAATCAAGAAAATGTAAATAAAATTATGAGATAATCACTAATAATCACTACATATGCACCACAGTGATTAAAATTTTTTTAAGTTAAGCTACGTGACCCAACAAGGTGCATTCACTCGAGAGAAACACAAATATACGTCCACTCAAAGACTTGCACATGAATGTTGAGAGCAGGTTTATACTGAATAGCGCAATGTGAAAAAACCCCAAAATCTAGCAAAGGATGAAGGGAGAAATAAACTGGGGTATATACATACAATAGAACTCTACTCAATAATAAAAAGGATTGTATTCCTGATACATGCAATATGGGTGAACCTTAAAAATATCATGTTGAGCAAGAGAAGCCAAACACAAGAGAACATGTTGTTATGATTTCACGTACATGAAACTTTAGTAAAGACAAGTCTAATCCATAGTGACAGAAAGCAAATCAGTAACTGCTGACAGGGGCAAATGAGGAGATGATCCCAAGGGAACCTTCTGGGGTAAGACGGTGTTCTGTATCTCGATCGTATTGGTGGTCACACAAGTGAAGACATGTTAGAACTCATCAAACCATACACTTAGAATGTGTAATATAAACCTCAATAAAGCAAAATTTAAAAAAAGAACACCTTTAATTTTCTCTTACAAGAAAAAAAAACCACTTACCTTTAATTTTCTCCAACAACTGATTCTGGTACATAGTATACCTTAATGCCTGCATCCATGGCCTCACGTCATGCTGTTTACATGAACGTAAAGCTTCACTGAAGAGTGGAATAAGACAGTCCTGCCAGAGAAAAACCAAAATTACTCAACATAAAACAGGCTGTTGATATGTTTGCAGATATATAGCAAGTCTTAAGTCCAAGACTGCAATATAGTTTGGCTACTTCAGATTGATTGCAGTAGTTTTATCTATTACACTATACCCTTACATCATTTATCTTCTACTCACAAGAGGCAAGCACACAGTAAGAGAAAGCCTTTTGTTTTGAAGGGAAATCTTCTTCAGAATATTAAGTCTAATTTATCAGTATACTTAATAAAGCACATTACAAAAAAAAAAGTCACAGCACATTTACTATAAAGCAGACTGCAGAAAAACATTACAACTAATGCTTTATAATGAAGTTCTCGAAGATCATCATTCATTCAGAAGCCCCCATCTCTGGTTGAACTTTACCCCATTTAGGATGAAGAGGAGAGATCTTTGTTTGCAGCAAATCTAAAATTTACGTAATCCGCCTAAAGGAACTGTCTTTACATACACCACCTCCCACCCCGAAATTAGAAGGAAAAAACTGAGCAATTTGCCATCCTTGAGATTATCTCAGGTTCTTCCATCTGCCCCATGTACTTCTCAAATGAAAAACTGCCTGAAAACAGCATGTTAGATTTCTGGATCTACTAGCTTGCCCAGCTACAAATCCTATTTCAAAAAACTAAAAAAATAAGGTCTTTGTTCTACAGTAATGACCATTAATAGTCATAAGAGTGTGCTTGTAAAAATATACAGACCTCTGTTGAAAGTCTGTTAGAAACTGTGTTCTCCAAAGCAGATGAGCAATACAGCTGCAAGGTACTTAGAACTGGCAAAGACTGTGAAACTGTTAAAGTAGAAAGTCTCAGAGGTCCAATAGCGATGCGGGATGTTTGCTTCAAGTACTTTACCACATTTCTGAAACAAAATATTTACTGCCAATTAATAAAAATTACAATTCATAACCACTCAAAGAATAAAGCAATTGATAAGATGCTATCAAACTGACATCCAAAGTTAGGGGGCAGTAAGAGGAGCAGCCTGCTCTATAATAAAATGATATTAGCAAGTCAAGACATTTGCTTTTGGGGATTTTTACATTTTATTTCATTTCAACCTCAGTTTATGTTGGCAAGCAGCATTCATATATCATATGACTTCTACAACTAAAATGAAGCTATTAGCACTAGTATTTAGTAATCTAGTAACTCTCCTTCCAGCCCTCTTCACCCCATGTATGTTTATCACATGATATACACAATGTACATTTACCTCCGTAAGAGTAAACTTACTCAGTTATAGACTGCCACTTCTGATCTTGTTCTATCGGGTTTAAAGCAGTTGCCAAACAAACAGAACTTCTTAACAATTGAACTTCAATGGATTTCTGAAGTTCCCTCGGATCCGGACTTAACATGTTAGGAAGCAGTTTTTTCATGTCTACCAAAGTTAAATAAAACGTCATTAAGTTCATGTGCTTTTATTATAAATTTTGATTTATGTTTGGCATTATTAAAAACTAATCACCAATGAACAGCTCCTTTAATATTTAAGGCAGTTAAACACTATAAGCATTACTGAGAGCTATATAAAAATCATACTTCATACAAAATTACTGTACCTCAGACCCCTAAAAAGCAGTTGCCTTCAAAGGCCAAAAATCAGTAAGTCGAGGCCAGGCGTGGTGGCTCACGCCTGTAATCCCAGCACTTTGGGAGGCCAAGGTGGGTGGATCACGAGGTCAGGAGTTCAAGACCAGCCTGGCCAAGATGGTGAAACCCCGTCTCTACTAAAAATACAAAAAATTACCTGGGCACGGTGGCAGACACCTGTAATCCCAGCTACTCAGGAGGCTGAGGCAGGAGAATCACTTGAACTCAGAGGGCAGAGGCTGCAGTGAGCCGAGATTGCGCCACTGCACTCCAGCCTGGGCAACAGAGTGAAACTCTGTCTCAACAAAAAAGAAAATCGGTAAGTCAATCTACTATTTAAGGGGACAAATCTAGACCTGCATTAGCAAATCTTGCTCAATCCAGAATACTCATTAAACTTTTTAATAACATTTTATAAAGTGTTCTATTTGTGATAAATTAATGAGCCACATCAAGATGAAAATCAAGAAAAATATTTAGCTGAAACACTACTTTGTCCTTTATCAAACAAAATGGCTAGATAAATCTCAAAGTATTAAGGTGGTCATTTTTTTTATTTGACTTAATTTTAAGTGCTTTTCATTTCCCAAATCAAACATAAATAGGGCAGCCCTAAATTTGTTGCTTCACATGGGATTCTGCCCCCACAAAAATGTAAAATAACTTCCAGATTTTCCAGTAAAATATACTAAGCCAAACATTTTGAGCAACTTGTCCACTAAAATAACTTTAAAACTATTTTCTCAAATACCTATTTTTTCTTTTGATCCTCCAGCAAGTAGATTGATATTTTCTCCTGGTAACAATTCTAACTGCTCGGTACATTCAACAAATTTTCCAGACTCAAAGCTGCTTAATGATCTGTAATTAAAATATTGGTTAGCTTGTATTCCTATGCAGCCTGTGGAACCATTAAAAAAAAACAAACAAAAACAGAACAAATCCTAGGAAGACAGCAAAGTACACAGCATTTTTCTGACAAAATTCCTTCCACGAGGATGCCATTATTTTGGTTTTTATGTTGAAGATGTGACTACCACTTAATTAGTACTCAAATTGGAGTGGCAAACCAGAAAGTCACAGCTACAGACTTTCAGTGGAGCTGACTCGCCCCTGTGTCTCCTTCCTGTTTTCATGTGTTGCAGCCTGTTCTCTTCAGATCCTAACACACTGACAGTAGACCTCTGCAGGACAACTTTGACACCCAGTTCTCTCCAAGCTGCCAGTGAGCTCCCTGTGCAGCCTCACTCCTCACCTACAGCATGAGCCCTTGCACAGCTCTCCCAGCATCACAATCTTGTATCTCAGTCCTGGCTTCTTTCACTGCTGGCATCCCTCCGTCTCTCCCTTTTTCACCTACTTCTCTTTTTTCAAAGACTTCTTCTCTTTCATCTGCTTATATGAAAAATAATGACACCTCTGAAATTCTTTCCTGTAGTCCTGCAGCATCAATGCCAGGAAGACAGGCCTCATCCTCCCAGCTTCTATGCTGCTCCTTTCAGATCCCTTACCCTGTCCCCATTTTCATGACACGGGCTCTCCAGCCAGGAAGAAGACACTGTTTCTCACTCTCTCTCTTTTCCATCTTTGCCTGTCCCTCTCGCTGTGTAACTTCCCTTATAAATCAGCCTGAGGCCAGTGCTAGAAAGGCACATCACCTGACTTATTCTGTGCCTGATTCTACCTAGATCCGTGCAACCACTGGCTTCTCAGGGGGACCCTTGAGTACTGGGCACTGATGAACTGCTGCCAACACATTCATCATTTCTGCCATTAAAAGGTCCTAAGTCCTCTCCAGGTGGCAGGTTCCCCAAGTCCCCACTATGCTCTATAATGCCCTATGCTTTCAGCTAATGACTCAGTCCTCAGAAAAACAAACAAATAAACAAAAAAAGTAGGCTTTAATTTCCTCTACCCCTACCCCCAATCCACCATACACTGCCAAAATTCTGTCTATAGCAACTTTGACTGCTTTCCTTGAGGCAGAGAAAAGGTAAGGGCCAGTTAATCTATCAATGTTCTTTCTCCTGTTTCTTCAACCTCTGCTTTCTAGTGGCTCCTTCCCCTTGGCCAAAAGAACATAATCTCTCCAACATTTAAAATAAACATCTCATATTTCCCTCCAGCAACAGCTTCCTATCCTCGACTTCAAGAAAAACTCACTGACCAAATAACTTACCTCAAGCTTTTCATTTTCAAATGTCTCTACCACTCAATAGTATTCAATCTAGCTGCTTCTGTCTCTCTACAAAACTCTTTTTCCTTATAATCCCTAGAGCATCTGACAAGGCTGACTACTCCCATCTGGATGTCCTATATCTAGGACACTTCCCTTCTCAATGTCCCTGTATTTTTTTGAATGGCCTCCTCTTCTATTCTTTCACAAAAATGCTAAACTAGGATTCTGACCCAGGCCTGCCTTTCTCTTCACTCACTATTCTTCAGAGGCTTCTCTCTGGTTTGGTTGCTTACAAAGGCTCTAGAGTATAGAGACTGAAAAGGAAAGAGGGCCTTTTCTGTGTACTAATGATCTGCAAATCTCTCAAGCTTAGACTTTCTCCTTAGTTCCAAATCCAATTCTTAACAGCTTACCCAACAATCTCATCTGCACATTTCATTACAAATCTTAAAACATGGCTTGTTCTCTGTGTGCTCCTACTCCAGTTAATAGCATTGTTTCTCTTCCCTCTACCATTGCCCCCATAAATTAATGGTCTCCATGCTTCCATACTTGCCCCCCACCTCCAGTCTCTTCACCATAGCAGAATGAACCACCAAGTCAGATCACAACACATCTCTGTTCAAATCCCACCTGAAATTTTCAGTCTTACTAGAATAACAGCCAAAGTTCTTTTCTCAGTTCCCAGCTACTTCTCTGCCCTTATATCCTACTGTTTAAGGCACTCCTAAACACAGAGGCCTCCCAGCTATTTCCAGAATACTCCAAGCCCACCATTCTCACATCAGGTCTAGGGCCAAAGGGCATCCTGATGGGCATGCCTTGACCTTGTGTCTTCCCTCCCAAGAAGGTCAGCTTTACCTAACTGCTTTCCTTATGGCACAGAAAAGGTGAGTGAGGTTCAATTAATCCTTCTATCAATATTCTTTATCTAATCTTTGCTTTAAAAGGTTGGAATTTGTGTCTGTTTTATGTGCTGCCTGGGTCATAGTACATGCTCAGTGAAGCAATTACACATTAACCCATTTAGCAGTAGAAGGCAAGGGTATCAGACAAAGTCTAATGACCTTTATCTTCCCAGCCAAGTGTCTGCAGCAGAGTGAGTGCTCAGTTTTGAATTACAGAATAAAAGCACAGAGGAATGAAAAGAAAGTTTAATTTACAGATGTTCACAAACTGTCCTCATTAGAATAAATGTTTTTGATATATTCAGACCTCATTTAGAAACAAAGCCATCAAACATGATTCTTTCTAAAGCAGTACAAATTTTTCTTTATATTCACTCTGGCATAATCTTCAAACTGTATTAAGGTTTTAGAACAACAGGTTCTGAAAATTAATACCAAATGACTATCTCAGCAGTGTTTTCCCATTACACAAATACCTTCCCTCACCTCTGACGTCAGTTTCCTGTTGTCATTTTCATAATGGCAGTAAGTTAGATATATAACCATTTTGTATTACTACATATGACCAATTTTAATATTTTCTTGCCATAGGAAAAACATCATAGTTATTGGAAATTTGTTTTATAACTGGAAAAAGTAAGCCTTACTTTATATAGTTGAAGTCAGCTTTCAGGTTGAGGGAAGTGCTACTGGTACTCTTTTTCAAGTCATGGATAGCGTTCTGCCATTCCTGCACAGCAGCCCAATCGGCAATTGAGATGTAGCACTCACATGCTTTATTTCCTAAATAATTTATAACCTCAGGGGAAGAGTCAGTCGGTTTGGACAGCACAGTTTTTCTGGATTCACCTGAAAGTATTTTATAAAATAAGAAGAGAGAGATTCAGATCAGTTAGAAATATTTCAAAGAGCACAGAAACCTAAAAACATAAAATAAGATCATCAGTACGAAATATATTACTATAACTTTTGCTTTATTTAAAAATACTGAACGCTCACCATTCAGAGAATGTTTCGGGCTGGCACTGTTACGCCCAGCATTGGCTAAGGTGAGCACCGATTTGTCAAAGCTGGAGATGCAGCAATCAACACCTGTCATGGCACACAGGTGTTCCTGGTACTCCACAGAGGCCTTTTCAAACCTGAAAAGCAAATTGAAGCAGTCTTATTTATTTATCTACTTACTTTTTTTTTTTTTTTTTTTTTTTTTGTGATGAAGTTTTGCTCTTCTTGCCCAGGCTGGAGTGCAATGGCACTGTCTCAGCTCAATGCAACCTCTGCCTCCTGGGTACAAGCGATTTTCCCACCTCAGCCTCCTGAGTAGCTGGGAATACAGGCGCTCGCCACCATGCCCGGCTAATTTTCTTGTATTTTTAGTAGAGACGGGGTTTCACCGTGTTGGCCAGGCTGGTCTTGAACTCTTGACCTCAGGTGATCCACCTGCCTCGGCCTCCCAAAATGCTGGGATTATGGGCATGAGCCACCGCGCCTGGCCTTTACTTACTTATTTTTTGAGACAGAGTCTTACTGTCACCCAGGCTGGAGAGCAGTGGCATGATCATGGCTCGCTACAGCCTTGCCCTCCCAGGCTCATGCAATCCTCCAACCTCAGCCTCCCAAGTAGCTGGGACTATAGGCGCCCACCACCACACCTGGCTAAAACAAGGTTTTGCTATGTTGGCCAGGGTGATCTCAAACTCCTGGACTCAAGCAATCCGCTCACCTCAGTCTCCCCAAGTACTGGGATTTCAGGCGTGAACCACCGCGCCCAGCCCCAAAGGAGTCTTATTTTAAACACACATATCTCATTTCCCCCCTCCCACAAAAAATGGTGCAAGAATAAACTGAGCTAAAACAGTGAGTCGACTATGGTGGGGGGAGGTTTGATGTCTTCCTCACAACTATGAAACTAAATTTAAAAGTGGTTAAATGTTTTTAAAAAAATGTAAGACAGTATAAAAGAACTAGTGGAAAATATTGATAAGTAGCTGATGTCAGTGTGTGGAAAGGCTTTGTAGAAGGATAAAATCCAAGAAAAGATGCACAAGTAACAGATCTAGATGCATAATGCTGAAATACAACATTAAACATTAAAAACAAATTATAAATCAAGAAATTGGATAGCATCAACAATCTTAGTATTTCATAAAATTTCACAGATTAACACAGGAAAAATTGAGAGGCCACGAAGACATGATCCATGTTTTAAAAAATCACAAAAGGTCACTATATGGGGCAACTTCTACTATTAGTCATTAATAAATATAGAAATGTAAAGTACAATAACTATTTTTGCTGACGGTGGTGGCAGCATTCTTGTTTCTCAGTGACTCTCAGTATCCACAAAGATGAAGGGAAGGGGGTACTCTATTATTAAGGGTATAAACTGCAGCCACCTTTTCTGTAGAGTAGCTTAGCAATAGAATATATCATAAGACTTATGGTTTGGCAGCCTTTCTTCTAGTAAATCAGTTTATGAGAATGGATTCCAAGAAAGTAATCAGAAATATAAGCAAAGATATTAAGTGCTACGGTACATTTAGTAAAAAAAAATATCAGAAACAACCTTAATGCCCAACAGTAAGAAATATTAAATTATGGTACACTCATAAATACAAATCTTTATTAAAAATAACACTGTAGAATATTTAACATGGCAATTTTTTTTTTTTTTTTGGAGACAGAGTTTCGCTCTTGTTGCCCAGGCTGGAGGGCAGTGGCACAACCTGGGCTCACAGCAACCTCCGCCTCCCAGGTTCAACCAATTCTCCTGGCTCAGCCTCCCAAGTAGCTGGGATTACACGTATGTGCCACCACACCTCGCTAATATTTTTTGTATTTTTAGTAGAGACAGGGTTTCACCATGTTAGGCTAGTCTCAAACTCCTGACCTCAGGTGATCCACCTGCCTCAGCCTCCCAAAGTGCTGGGAATACAGATGTAAGCCACCGAACCCAGCCTAACATGGCAAATTTTTTTTTTAATATTGAGTGGGAAAAACAGATCATAAAACCATGTGCCTATGTACGCTGCTGTTTTGGTGAAGAGTGGAGAAAACGACATGAAAGAAAAAAGAATTACAAAGCATATGGATATGGAAATACAGAACTACAAAAGGACACACAACAGAAGTTACTACAAAGATATGGAAGTATGAGCAGTTCTTTTATTTTCCTAAATTCGCAAGATTTCATTAAACTAACATAAATGGACACAGAATATTATGGTACAAGCTCCTCTACCTGGAGGAAGCAATGAGTCTGAATGTAGAGTTCACAGGACTAATGAGCAAATACTCTGACAATAAAGGGTAATTTGTATCAGACTCTGAGGGGGAAGGAGCTCAACTAGGGATCAAGTTCAAAAGCATTTATAAAATAACTGACAGGTCTTGTTTTACAGTGTGATTTGCCACTAATTCTTCAGTAAGAAAGGCACTCAAGTATTGCTGCTAACTAAAGAACAAACTGAAGACGCCTCCTGGTGAAGTGATTTATAGCAAGCTTCAATGCTGAAAGCAAACAAAGCTGTTTTAAGATTTGGCTACAATGTCAGTGAGTAATACACAGAACTTAAACATAAAGTAATTCTATCACCCATTTCCTTCCCTCCAACCTACCTCCCTTCAGCCTGTTGAGCCACTGAGTTAATCCACAGAAGATTTTTTCCAACAATAGATGATGACCAGACAGCAATTCCCTGTATAGCTTCAGGACAATGAAGTTCACATAATGCTTCTACCACCATCATAATGGTTACTTCCAATTCATTCCCCTGAAAACGCATTCAGAAAAATTAGTCACCCAATACCATTAAAACATAAATCCCTATAAAATTTACAACTGATCAGTCTGTGCCTGCTTAAAGCCAAATGTATTTAACAATTATTTTCACAATTTTCACATTATTTAGCTCAGAATTCTTTAAAATGTTACATATAAAATAGCCACAAAGGGTGACTAACAGAACCTTAGCAGCACATGGATGTTTGCACCCCCACCCCAAAGTTACCCAAACATTCAACCTGTGACCTCTGTAGGAACAACACATGGAGTAAAAAGAAAGCAAAAATTAAATATAAATAAACAGGAATTAAGGAATGATTAACTTCATGTGTTTGAATACTGCTTGACATTACCTGAATTGCTAAACATTTTGTTATTTTTGGATTCCAGTTATTTATTGTGAGCCCACTTTCAAGCCAGGAATTACTCAAGCATTTGTCATACGTTATAAAAACAATTTCTCCTGGCCAAGTGCAGTAGCTCATGCCTGTAATCCCAGCACTTTGGAAGGCCGAGGTGGGCAGATCACTTGTGGTCAGGAGTTCGAGACCAGCCTGGCCAACATGGTGAAACCCTGTCTCTACTAAAAATACAAAACTTAGCCGAGTATGGTGGCGGGTGCCTGTAATCCCAGGGACTGAGGCAAGAAGAGGCTTGAACCTGAGAGGCAGAGGTTACAGTGAGCCGAGATCGCACAACTGCACTCCAGCCTGGGCGACAAAGTGAAACTGTGTCTCAAAAAATAAATAAATAAATAAATAAATAAATAAATAAATAAATAATTTATCCCATAAACAAATTTTCAGAACTACCTTTAAAGTTCTAAACTTTGCACGTAAGAAATATAGTTTTAACGTGTTCTAACATGAATATTGTTTTAACATAAACAAAAACATGAACATTATTTTAACTTCTTTTTTTTTTTTTTTTTTTTTTTTCTGAGGCGGAGTCTTGCTCTGTCGCCCAGGCTGGAGTGCAGTGGTGCGATCTCGGTTCACTGCAAGCTCCGCCTCCCGGGTTCACGCCATTCTCCTGCCTCAGCCTCCCGAGTAGCTGGGACTACAGGCGCCTGCCACCACGCCCAGCTAATTTTTTGTATTTTTAGTAGAGGCGGGGTTTCACTGTGTTAGCCAGGATGGTCTCGATCTCCTGACCTCATGATCCGCCCACCTCTGCCTCCCAAAGTGCTGGGATTACAGGCGTGAGCCACCGCGCCCGGCCTATTTTAACTTCTAACACTGTAACTCTGGCAGTTGTTGCTTTTACAAAATACAGGATCAAAACCTTTGAAAATGAATCCAAGCTTTAACTTATTTTATCCATAGATTAAATCATACCAAAGGAATTAAACCATGCTTTTCTTATTAACAGACTTAAAATGAATTTCAAACACACCACATTACCTGAGATAGGCTGGTTGTTTTCATCTCTGTAAGCAAGTCAAAGCCATGTCTCACTGTCACTGCAGGCTGGCCTGCCAACAATCCTACCCTCATGATGGAGAGTCGAATCCGCGTTAGCCAGTCCTGACAAGTTTGGCGATTGGTATAGAAAAAAGTTCTAATGACCTTTACGATAAGAGAAAGAAAAGCTCAGGACTGGTTCAATTTGTAGGTAAGGATGTCTCACCTATATATAAACCAAATACACAAGTCTACTGTGATTTCAGCTCTGCACATACTGCCAGCTGTGACCATTAAACTGCTATAAAACAACACTATCTCATGGAAACCAACCTTGGGAGGTGAAGTTAATGCATTAGCACATCCCTCGTATGCATTATACATTAATTTCTCCAGATTTTCCAGATACTGCAGAAGAAGAACAAGTCTAAGTTGGTTGTTACCATGGCCTTCATCATTGTCTGCAGTTGTCCACTGACTAACATCCTGATCAGGGTTTAATGTGTGAGCTGCGAGACTTCGAATGATACCTGAAAGCAAAGACAACATTCTGAATTTTTAAAAATCTTAAAAGTTCCTAGAATAAGTGTGAGTTTTTTATGACCAATTCACATTTATCAAGTATCCTCTGTCTACCCATCATTTAAAAATAAAAAATCCCAACATGAAAGATCTTTCATTTTAGGGGAAAGAAATATATATTTTTTCCACACAACTCCCTAAGTTTTGGGGAAAAAAAAACATATTTCCAATGCAATTATTCAATGAAAGCTTATTCTAACAAACATACCTGAAAATTATTGACTTTTTTCAAAAAAATCATATACTCTCAAATCTTTAACAAAGATTTAAGAATCCAGTATTTCTTAATAAGGCTTTGAAAGTATTCACATCACAAAGCTTGAGTGAGTTACCTTCAATTGTCTGGAAGGTGTCTTGAGCTCTGCCCAGTGGGGTTCTCAGCTTAGAAAGAACAGTGAATTGTGCAGCTTCCCATATGGCCCACTGCCAAAGGACAGCATCTGTCTTCAGGAGATTGCGTGGAATTGTTGACTGGTCACGCTTATCCAGTCTCTGGCAGCTATAGAACAGTCTTTCCAACCAATTGTCCTTCCTGGGAAAAGCAGTTTCATATTTAAAAGACAATGACAACTTCATTTTAATAATGAAAAAAAAAATGCAAGGGGAATAGGAATAAGGAACTGTAATTTTCCCTACTCCAAAAAAGGCAAAACCTATGAAATTGAGAAGCATTGTGTCCCCCCTCTCATTTTGAGGTCTTTTATAGTTAACAGGTTGAGGTACAGTGTGGAAGGATGATTAGGGTAAATGGCTTATGCCAGTCAGGAATGAAACTCACTCAATTCAACTAAGCATGTCTAGAATATCTCCACCCCCACCCCATTCCCCAAAGTGTTAATGACATCACATCAGTTAACTGTTAACCACATTTCATTACTCAATTTCAAAGCCCATTTTTGTTTCTACAGATGCTATCTTCAAAGCAATTTTCCTATTGATGAAAACTAAAATAACCCATATGAGAAGAATGTTACTTGATACTCTGCCACCCCCAAACATATTTTCTCTTCAAAACTGCATGTAAAGTCAAAAGAATCTTAAAATTATGTTTCCCAGATAAAAGAGTCAAAGAAATGCCTTACCCTGTTCTATGAGAGTTCCCATACAAAATAAAACTAATAACATCAGAGAAATCTTGGGGGTGGAATGTATTACTTGGTGCTTTACTCATGTGACTTCTTAATGCTAAAGAAATTTCTTGAATTTCTGTGTGATTGTTATTGCTGTAGACAGAAAATAAAGTTGTTATGCAAAATATTTTAGCTTAAAAGGTTAGCACATACTGTAAGTGGATTATTTACTTATTAACTCACTGGAGGTAAAAATATAGTAAAATTGAGACTTTCAAATGGATACAGAGATGTGATTACAACTTTAGATCCTTTTTTTATTCACCTCAGATGGGTAATGTGCTGACATCATAAGAGGATTTGAGGGAGGCATATCAAACATGTGAAAATAAAAACCCAATCATTATGCTTATGTATTACAAAAGGATCAAGTTTAGGCTCTTAAAGCTCCCAAATCAACTTGATCAAAAACAATAAAAGATTACTGTTTAGTTTTTCAAATATCTGAGCTACTAAGAAACATATTTTGGCACTACATGAGTTATTCTATACTAATTATTGTGAGCCTATAAAGCTCATTAAAAATTTTTAATTTTCTTGCAGACCTGCAAAATTCGATTATTTGACATCACTTCAATCACTGACAAACAGGGCCATAAAAGATGTGTCATTAATGCTCTAATAGGTGATCTGTCTTCTCCTAAAGTAGACAACCAGTAGAGGCTGTAAATATCACAGAATGTCTTTGCTCCAAAACAACTGTTATACCTTAGGACAACATCTAAAGGAATTGATTTCAACAGTTTTCCAAATGCTTGTCGAATACGAGTTCCACTGTGCACTAGTTGAACACGGCAAACATCGACACATCTATGAAAGAACGAAATAGACAAAGCAGGTGTGTTAACATTTCCAGGTTATTAGGGTTAATGTCAAAAGACATGATCTTAATTTCATACCTCTGTAAAAGATCATCTGGCAAGGAAGAGGACAGAGCATGTAGACTGCTGCATGCCTGCAGACAGATATTCACATCTTCAACGAGAGCTATTAAACATTAAAAGACAGTTACTTTCAGCTGGCCAAAAGAAATTATATCCCAGTTTGTCATAATTATCTGAATCCATTCATTCATTCAACAAAGAGTGAGTGCCTACTATAGACTAGGCACTACTCTTGTCCAGAATTCTCACTGACTGTCACATTTGTTAAAATGATACATTCAACAAAACCCACGTAATGTAACTGATGGGTCATCACACAAAACTTTTTCTGAGAGAAAATGTAAAAGTATATGCAAACTATAAACATTCACGTAAGCTTAAAAATGTGACAATCACTTCAAAACATTTTTCTAATACTAAGAATGAAAAAAAATCAAGACTGTGTATCTGTCATTAAAATGAGGATTACACATCTTCAGGTCAGGAAAACAGCTCGATTCATGACCATCTCCCATTACCAAAGACCCTTTTAAGGATTGATAAACAAAATAGAAAAAAAAAAAAAAACAGAGTCTTACTGTTGGCTAAAAGGCCTTTGCAAAATTTATGGAAAGACGGAAGAGAGAATAAAGGTGCGTATGTTTCAGACTTCTTCATTAAAACAGCTGCTTCCAAAGCCCAAGTCATTAACAGTTTCCTGAAACACAAAATATACAGTTGACTGTACATTAAAAAAAACAAAAACCAAAAAACATTAAAAGCCTAGTCTTCTTACATTGGTCTTCTCTTGGTTTTTCAAACATCTCAAACAATAAAAAATAAAAATAAAAAAATGAAACTATAGAAATTACTGTCAAAATTGTTGTGTGCCTTTTAAGAAAACCTCCCAACGCAGCATGATAATAGCAAAGAGGCCGGGTGTGGTGGCTTACCTGAGGTCAGGAGTTCAAGACCAGCCTGGCCAACAACATGGTGAAACACCATCTCTACTAAAAATACAAAAATTAGCTGGGTGTGGTGGCGGGCACCTGTAATCGCGGCTACTTGGGAGGCTGAGGCAGGAGAATTGCTTGAACCTAGGAGGCAGAGGTTGCAGTGAGCAAAACTCCGTCTCAAAAAAAAAAGCAAAGAATATTAAAAATCTATATATATTCTTCTATGAAACACTGGGGGGTGGGGGAGTGAGGTTTTTCATGTATTTCTTTTCAGAAAGAATAAGAAAGCCTAGATTAAATAATAAAACCAAATTATAAGGTGTTTGACAATAAAGAAGCTGCTCTACCTCACCTCTATAATCCACATTTTTAAAAATTTTTTGTAATCCACATTTCTTATTCTCAAATTATAAAGGCAAATTAACAAAGTTAGGAATAGTTAATACTATATAATATCTGTTACCTCGTGTCCTGGTTAAGGTTATCTTTCTTAAGTAATATTCCCAGAAGATTTAATATAATTGAGAAATGTTTCTTTGTAGCCGTAGTTACAGTGCTAATCACAGCTCCATCAAACAAAGAAGGAGAGGAAGAACTGAGGCTACTAGAGATAAAGTGATCATGCCTGAAAGACAAAGCACAGATTATCTTTTCATCTTTAATCAAAGAAAGCAAGCAAGTCCAAAGTTAAATCAACATACATCTTTAAAATCTATCCATTAAAAAAAAAAATGTTTTGTGGGGTTCTTAAGAAAAATTTGTAAATACAGTACCTGGTACAATGAGAATACAATGTGTAGAGCACAGCATACTGAATGGCAGGGAAGTGAACAGCCAGGTCACTGTGCACAATCATCAGATTCTTACTCAGAAGTGCAAAGACAGTTGGAGATAGCGCCCACATCTGATCATGTACAAAACAAAGTAAGTTTATGGCTTCTCCAAAATAAGCACAAGCATACAGAGTTTATCCTTCAAAATAGGGGTATCTGGACATTTTTAAATTAAAATTACAGACTGCAAGGGATCTAGTACACTAAACCTGGGACAAACACTTTTTTATGAAGTCAGTAAAGCCTTTGCGTGCAATATACCATCTCTATGCAATGCAGCAACTCCTCGTCTATCGCTACAGTAAGAAAACAGCCACAGGTCAGGTGTTGTGGCTCACACCTGTAATCCTAGCACTTTGGGAGGGTAAGGTGGGCAGATCACTTGAGCCCAGGAGTTTGAAACCAGCCTGGGCAACACAGCGGGACCCCATCTCTACTAAAATTACAAAAATTAGCTGGGCATGGTGGCATACACTTGTAATCCCAGCTACTCGGGAGGCTGAGGCAGGAGAATCGCTTGAACCTGGGAGGCAGAGGTTGCAGTGACCCGAGATCATACCACTGCACTCCAGCCTAGATGACAAAGTTAAGACTCTCTCTCTCAAAACAAAACAAAAAACACCAGCCACATACAAAACACAGGAATGAGAGTACCTGTGTTCCAAGAAAACTTTCTTTTTTGAGTCAGAGTCTCTTGCTCTGTTGCCCAGGCTGGAGTGCAATGGTGCGATCTTGGCTCACTGCAACCTCCACCTCCGGGGTTCAAGCAATTCTCCCTGCCTCAGTTTCCCAAGTAGCTGGGATTACAGGCGCCCATCACCATGCCCTGCTAACTTTTGTATTTTTTTAGTAGAGATAGAGTTTCACCATGTTGGCCAGGCTGGTCTTGAACTCCTGAGCTCAGGTGATCTGCCCCCCTCGGTCTCCCGAGGGATTACAGGCGTGAACCACTGCGCCCAGCCCAACGAGAACTTTCTTTACAAAAACAGGCGCTAGTGTTGTGATGGTTGTACACTTCTGTGAATATACTAAAAATCAGTGAATTATACATTTAAAATAACAAACAAAAAACAAGTGCTGGGCTGTATTTGGCCCATGGACCATAGTTTGCCGATCTCTGGTCTAAACAAAGCCCTCTGTATGTGCCTTTTGCGGAAGTAGACTGTATTTCCTCAATTTTCCATATACTGCAAATGGCAAGGTGCCCTGTTCAATAAGGAAACAAAGGCACACCCTGCCACTCTACACCTTTTCCATCCATCTTTTTCCTTTACACTGCCAAGACACTCCATTCCACCTGACTGCCCCATCCCCACCCACTTTCTCCTTATTTCTAGAGTACAGGACATAAACATCTCTGAATCTGTAAATAATGTGAATTCCTCAAAAATCAAGCTTTCGTGTTCGAAGAAGAATTTATTGTGACTTCAAACATAAGCTGTAACTGGTAATAAGCGAAGCAGCTATGGAATTATACAAGGCAATCCAATCAAACAACCCAGAGCACATGTAAGCGCAAACATCAAGTTTTACCTTTTTCCTCCTAAAAACTTTATTCCCTAATTATGTCCATTACTTTCTTTCTTTGTGTTTTTTTTCTTTTGAGACAGAGTCTGGTTCTGTCGCCCAGACTGGAGTGCAGTGGTGTGATCTCAGCTCACTGCAACCTCCACTTCCTGGGTTCAAGCAATTCTCCCAACTTAGCCTCCAAAGTAGCTAGGATTACAGGTGTGCACCACCACCCCTGGCTAATTTTTCTATTTTTAGTAGAGGCGAGGTTTCACCATGTTGGCCAGGCTGGTCTCAAACTCCTGACCACAAGTGATCAGCCCGACTTGGCCTCCCAGAGTGCTGGGTTTACAGGTGTCAGCAACCGTGCCCAGCCCACACCTATTACTTTCTATTAAAAAGAATGTTTTTCAACTCTGTGTGGTCCAATAGGAAGAAGAAATACACAAACCATAAACAATAAATACAAATCAAGAGCAGGGCCATGTCGAATTACTTAAAAAAAAAAAAAAAAAAAAGCAGGCTGGGCGCGGTGGCTCACGCCTGTAATTCCAGCACTTTGGGAGGCTGAGGCGGGTGGATCACCTGAGGTCAGGAGTTTGAGACCAGCCTGGCCAACATGGTGAAACCAAGTCTCTACTAAAAATACAAAAATTAGCCCGTCGTAGTGGTAGGTGTCTGTAATCTCAGCTGCTCGGGAGGCTGAGGCAGGAGAATTGCTGGAACCCGGGAGGCAGAGGTGGCAGTGAGCCGAGATTGCACCACTGCACTCCAGCCCAGGCGACAACAGCATGACTCTGTCTCAAAAAAAAAAAAAAAAAAAAAAAAAAAAAAAAAAGCCTTTTTTTTTTTTTTTTCCCCTAAAAGAAGGACTACGGGTTGAGTATCCCTCATTCATAATGCTTGGGACCAGAAGTGTTTCAGACTTTGTATATTTTTGGATTTGAGAATACTTGCATATATATAAAATGAGATATGTGGAGGATGGGACCCAAGTCTAAACACGAAATTCACTTATGTTTCATAGACACCTTCTATTCATAGCCTGAAGGTCATTTTATGCAATATTTTAAATAATTTTGTGCATACAACAGTTTGGACTCATCACATGAGATCAGGTGTGGGATTTTCCACTTGGGGCATCATACTGGTGCTCAAAAAGTTTCAAATTTTGGAGCATTTTAGATTTAGGATTTTCAGATTAGGGATGCTCACCAGTAAGTGTTATGAAAATACTCCAAAATCCGGCTGGGCATGGTGGTGCCCACCTGTAATCCCAGCATTTTGGGAGGCCAAGGCAGGTGGATCACCTGAGGTCAGGAGTTCACAACCAGCCCGGCTAACATGGTGAAAACCCATCTCTACTAAATACAAAAAAATTAGCCAGGCATGGTGGTGCATGCCTGTAATCCGAGCTACCTGGGAGGCTGAAACAGGAGAATCGCTTGTACCCGGGAGGCGGAGGTTGCAGCGAGCCAAGATCGCGCCATGGCACTCCAGCCTGGGCAACAAGAGTAAAACCCCATCTCCAAAAAAAAAAAAAAAGTATTCCAAAATCCAAAATCCAAAACACTTCCAGTCCCAAGTATTTCAGATAAGGAATATTCAACCTGTATGAATGTTCCTAGGGAAAAGAGACAGCCAAAATATAAGACCATGTATAAGAACTAACTTCAGTAGACAGAAAGAAAAAAGTACCAGGGGAAGAAGAAAGAGACCGCATTTTAAAACAACTACACAAATTTGAGCTGTAAGAAACACTGACATTTTCTATAAGCATGCTAGAGCAAATAGGAGAAATTCATAAGACATTTTCTAGAAAATAAAACTAATATAAAAAAACTTATCAAGATTTGTCAAGGAAAAAGAAGAAGAAAAGTTAAATATAATGCCAAGAAAACATTCCTACCAATTTTATTTATCCAGGCATGTCTTAAATATGGCTGTTTGTTACACACAGTGATTCTGCAGACATCTTGACATGACAGTGAAATACATAAATATGTAATGAGAAAAGGCTTAACTGTGGATAAAACAAAGTCATTACAATTAAAGACTCACCCCTATTAGTGAGTTTTTGGCATTTCCAATTGTAGTCAGGGCACTGAGGTCAAATATAACTACAAATTTTGCATTGTCTACATTGAACACATGATTCTTAAAAGCCTCATGTTTTATTTCAGAACAGGCCTCAGGAAGTTGTAGACTGTGTAGGAGGTTGTTTAGGGCACAAGTCATTTCTCCCAATATTAACTTATAGGCAGTCTCCAAAACAGGAATATTCTTCAAGCTGAGCACTGCTTGATAAACAGCATGGGCTACAGCAACAACCTGAAAAACAAAAAATTCAAGGAAGTGATAAATGGAAAATAAATCTTCTAAAATTATATGGAAAATAAATCACTATCTGTATTAGTGCTGACGATACAAATAAATTTAAGATCGATCAATTCACTGTCCGTAGCACTTAATATTTTAACTTTTTAAAAACCAGTCAGAAAACTGACACAGATCAGTATGCTATTTCAAGTCTATAAAGTTTTATCACAAATACAGAGTACTATAAATGAAAACTGTCAATATGAAATTTCCGAAATGGCCGTTTTTTTTTTTTTTTAAATAATCAACATCAGAAGACATATGCAAACAGCAGTTTAAGACTGGGTTTCTTAAATCTACCAGGAAAGTCTGTGGTGGATTTGACTAGGGGGTGGTTGAAAAGCCAGTCATTTTTGTTTACAAAATATACAGTACTTCTTAATTTATAACGTTATAAATGTGTCAACTTGTTTTACCCTTATGAAAATTTAAATTTATAATAAATTTATAATAAATTTAATAACAGCAAAAGATGCATAGTCTGAAAAGAGTATCTGGCACATCATTCATGAAAGTATTCAGTATGATTCTCAAGAAATACAAACTTAAAAGAACAAATACAATCACTATATTCTAAATCAAACATTTCACATTTCACTCAATTTCACTTATACAGCCTGGTAAGCAACATTAGGTCCAACTCTTCAGTGACTCAAGTTGTCAAAATTCATTATCAATGTATTACTTACCTCTTTTTCTTTATGATAACGCAAGAATAGTAGTTTAGATGATGGTATAAACAGTTTTTCTACAAATGATGATGGCAGTTTCGTATTTATCTGTTCAACAATCTAAAAGAATAAAATTTTTAAAAAATGAGCTTCTCCAATTACAAAAAGACATGGAGAAACCTTAAATGCACACTGATAAGTGAAAGAAGCCAATTGAAAAGGCTACATACTATATGACTCCAACTACATGGCATTCTGGAAAAGGCAAAACGACGGAGACAGTAAAAAGATCAGGGATTGCCATGGGCTTAAGATGGAGGGAGGGAGGAGTGGGGAGAGGGAACGAGGAAGGAGTGGGTGGAACATAAAAGATTTTTAGGGAAGTGAAACTATCCTGTATGATACTGGTAATAGGGGATACATGTCATTACACATGTTAAAGTCCATAGAATACATAACACAAAGTAAACTATAAAATTAGTTAATAATAATATATCCATATTCGCTCCTTTGTAATAAATGTACCACACTAACACAATATGTTAATGAGGGGGAAACTGTTGGGATGAAGAAGGTATATGGGAACTCATTGTTTTCTGCTCAATTTTCTGTATATCTAAAAAATAGTCTTTTAATTTAGAAAAATATATCTAAGCTATATTTTAAGGCCTTAATACTGTGACATTAAAGTGTTTAGACACCTAAATAGGACACACGTATTTTACAGTTATCATGGGCATTTTTTCACATTAGTAAAAAGAGGTGTAATTCTGGCAGAAATGCTCAGCAGAATGTCATCTAGAATTTGCTTTAAAATACTCCAGTTGGAGATGAAAGGATAGCAAAGAGGCCTAGATGAAACCAGATGGGCCATTTGTTTCTAATTATAGAAGCTGAGTGTTAAATATGTACAAATTTATTATACTATGCTCCCTATTTTTATGTGCTTCAGAATGTCCATAATAAAAGTGAGGGGAGGATATTTATGGTTAAGAAATTAAAGGAGGCCAGCCGGGCGCGGTGGCTCACGCCTGTAATCTCAGCACTTTGGGAGGCCAAGGCAGGCAGATCACGAGGTCAGGAGATCGAGACCATCCTGGCTAACATGGTGAAACCCCGTCTGTACTAAAAATACAATTGCACCACTGCACTCCAGCCTGGGCAAAAGAGCGAGACTCCGTCTCAACAAAAAAAAAAAAAAGAAATTAAAGGAGGCCAGGCATGATTGCTCACACCTGTAATCCCAGCACTTTGGGAGGGCAAGGCAGGAGGATTACTTGAGACCAAGAATTTGAGGCCAGCCTAGACAATGTAGTGAGACCCCTTCTCTCCAAAAAATACAAAGGTTAGCCAGGCATGGTGGCATGCATCTGTAGTCCCAGATAGTCGGGAGGCTGAGTGGGAAGATCACTTGAGCCCAGGAGTTTGAGGCTGCAGTGAGCTCTGATTGTACCGCTGCACTCCAACCAGGGGAATACAGCAAGATCCTGTGACAAAAAAAAAAAAAAGAAAAGAAAAGAAAAAAAAGAAAGAATCTGGTGCATAGAGCAATGTTTCCTCAAAAAACACAAGTAAAGCTACACTGAGACTAGCTATCAACCAGTAAAAATAGAGGCCTGGTAGAGTGGCTCATACCTATAATCCCAGTACTTTGGGAGGCCAAGGCAGGTGGATTGCTTGAGCCCAAGAATTCAAGACCAGCCTGGGTAACATGGCAAAACTCCATCTCTACAAAATAATACAAAAAATTAGCCAGGTGTGGTGACGCACGCCTGTAGTCCTAGCTACCTGGGGGGCTGAGGTGGGAGGATCACCTGAGCCCAAGAGGTCAAGGCTGCAGTGAGCCAAAATCATGCCACTGCACTTCATCCTGTGCAACAGAGTGAGACCCTGTCTCAAAAAAAAATTGCATTAAAAATAAAAGTAAATAGACACTAAAATGAAAGCACAGATTATAACTGATGAATGTACTCTAAGAAAATAATATAATAAAGCAAAGCCCTTATTTTTTTTTCTTTTTTGGAGACAGGGCCTTTTTTTGTCACCTTGGCTGAGTGCAGTGGCACAATCAGAGCTCTCTTCAACCTCAAGTTCCTGGGCTTAATCGATCCTCCTCCCTCAGCCTCCCGAGTAGCTAGGACTACAGGTGCACGCCACTACACCAAGCTAATTTTTGACTTTTTGTACAGATGGGGTCTCACTACATTGCCCAAGCTGTGCCAGAATTCCTGGATGCAAGCAATCCTTCTGCTTTGGCCTCCCAAAGTGCTGGGATTACAAGCATGAGCCACCATGCCCAGACAAAGCCCTTAATTTCTTACATATCGATTTAAGGGCCTGAATAAACCAACACATTAAAAAGGAAAAGAATAATTCACATACCAGCGTGAGTAAATTCAAGACTGAGATGATATAATCGGTACCACAAGTCTGGCAATTCTCCAGTTGGTCTAATCCATATGTAATGACCATGTCACAATGTATAGTCATGCTAGGATCCAAGCTGCCGAGCAAAACACCAACACACTCATTAGCAGCTGTCAACACAGCCTCAGAAAAAAACACCTGGTTTGCAGCCGTCACACATCTCATTACTCTGTACAGAACCTGTAAATGGGGAAAACAAGCAGCTTTTTAAAAAAATTCACGTGCTTCCACAAAGCAAGAAAATACTTTTTATTTAATGCAATTTCAACTGAAAATTAACTGCTTGCCTTGCCAGCAGTCTCTTAATATTCTAGTTCTCAGTAGTTGAATAATAATGATATCTTTAGTACAGTATGTAAACATGATCTTGGCTAAAAAATCCTAAAGTGCTATTATGACAGGAAATGGAATCTGCCATCCTCTATTTCCCATATACCCAACTTCGTTTCTCCCAATGTCACTAAATGGCGGAAGCTCAGAATCTTTATCATGAAATACACCACCACAACAGTAATGGTATTGACAGCATGGGAATAGCCTGCCCACACATACTACAAGCTAGCTCTTGGGCTTTTGGGAATCAATCTTTTAAAACTAAACAGACAAGTCACTTTAAGCTTATTAAAGTTTCTATCTACTGATGGTCTCTTTTGAAAGATAAGCACTCTCATGCTTACCACAAAATACCTTCAAAAATCATATTATTTCCAATACACACACAAACAAAATCCCCCACTTAACTATAATGGCCAATAATTGTGTACTAAATTTCTAATAAAATAGGGGAGAAAACAGAGCAAATGTTAAAAAATATTTCTATAATATTTAACAACCAATACATACAGGATTTTATTTAGTCTACCCATAGTTTTCATTAAAAGTATCCTTGGAGGTTAGGCACAGTGACTCATATCTATCATCCTAGCACTTTGACAGGATTAGCTGGAAGGTTCTCTTGAGTCCAGGAGTTTGAGACCAGCCATGTCAACATAACAACACCTCATCTCTACTAAATTTGTTTTTAAATTAGTTGGGCATGGTGGCTCGCACCAGTAGTCCCAACTACTTGAGAGGCTGAGGTGGGAGGATCACTTAAGCCTGGGAGGTCAAGGCTGCAGTGAGCCAAGATCGTGCCACTGCACTCCAGCGTGGGCAACAGAGACCATGTCTCCAAAAAAAAAAGGGGGGGGGCGCGGAGGGGGAAGCATTCTTGGCCATGCACAGTGGCTCATGTCTATAATCCCAACACTTTGGGAGGCTGAGGTGGGAAGACTGCTTGAGGCCAAAAGTTCAAGACCAGCCTGGGAAACACTGAGACCCCATCTCTACAAAAATAAAAAATTAGCAGGAGCTATAGTGGGAAGATCACTTGAGCCCAAGAGATAGAGACTGCACTGAGTCGTGATGGCACCACCCCACTTTAAAAAGAAAAAAAAAAAAAAAAGCTGGGTATGGTGACACTCGCTTGTAGGGCTGAGTGAGGTGGGAGGTTCATATGGGCCCAGGAGTTCAAGATTACAGTGAGCTATGATTGCTCTACTACACTCCAGCCTGGGTGACAGAGTGAGGCTCTAGCTCCAAAAAAAAATTAAATTAAATTAAATTTAAAAAAAAAAAACCACCATTCTACCATTCTCAAAGGCCTAAAAGATCCTCATAAATCAATATACACCTATCCTATAAATTATGTCCCTTTTATTTTATGTCTGAAGTAATGGCTTTTTATTTCAACTCTGTACAGTCTTCAAACAACCACCTTTTAGATATTAAAAATGAAGCAAAGATATTAAACCATTTTGAAACCATATTGGTTTAAAATACCAATATGCTGGTTTCATTTAAGTTCTGACATTTCTGCTCAAGTACGCAACTTACTAAAAATTTTATATATCTACATAATCAATATCCTATTTTATCTAGCAACGTGTTCAGCAAAAGTATATGCTCCTAAAAGCAAGTTTTATCCTAACAGTAAAATTTTCATCAGTTCGATTAAATCTTTTATGACTATATCACACATGCTTCTTTCTCCTTATTCAAAGCAGAGTACAATGCCTGGGGTTCATTTCTTGTGTCTTTTCCACTGAACCCTCATTGGATGTGCTACATACAGTGCAGCTAATGTTTGAGGCTGCTGAAGTGTGGCAAGCTAGCTACCTCATTTTTAATTTGTTTATGTTCTTTGATATCAGGCTATCAAAGAATATAAAGGTATACAAGTTTTCATATGAGTTCCATCTTATGTTCAGAGAAGATTACTTTCTGAGGCTTTTCCTATAGTGTGCTATTCGTAGTATGCTGAAAAACTAAAAGGAAACCCAATAATTTAAAAGTAAAATTATAATAAATATTATTTAAAAACGAAAGAATAAGATTTAAAAATTCAGAGTGGCCTTTTGTCATGGGAGGGTAGGGGAGTTGGATGAAAGGAGGATGAGATGTAACAGGATTCCCTACTTTTCTAGTTATTCAAGAAAACAGTCAGACAATATATACATATATACATACATACATACATGCTAAACAAATGAAGGATTAATAACAGTTCACCAGGTAAAGAGAAGCATTTACAGTGTAAAACAATTTTATTTTTGAATGACACTTGAAATGCCCAAAAGCACTTACATCTGTTACATATGCCTCAGTAATTGGAGGACCCCGAATTGGGCTGAAGCGTTCCCCAATGCTCCTCACCACAGTACTAAATACCCGGAGAAGTGCAGCCAGCTTTGGTAATGACACTGATGGAGGAGGGACATCTTCATCCACTGATTCCCCAGAGGCCACATGGCTGAGGTCCTAGATGTGAATTCACAGCATTCTTAATAAGTAGTACATTGTTTTAAATAAAAAAAAAAAAAACTCTAAAATATTTCAATCAATTCATTTTAGAATAGATTTTTAGGCTTTTAGAAAGAGAACTGTGGCCCATGAGAATATTCATGACTCTAAATATAAAAATGGGTTTTACCTAATTATTTCAAAAAGCCAACATTAAACCCAACAGACAACAAATTAAAGAAATAATCTCTTAAATCAACTCAGAAAGCTGTTAGGGAAAAATAAATTCTAGCACATATGCTCTAGTTATATGTAGGTATAAATGAAGACGGAAGCTTTTGCCACTCCTGAATTAGTTTTTGGCTAAAAATCTCATTCTAGGTATTCTTTGAGCCACTCAGCTCAACAGTAAGTCCTCCAAACCAAGAGCATGCACATGAAGAGCAAAGGGAGATTACAAGACCTGGTCTACAGATGTGTAATTGAAGAAGTACGATATATGAAAAGGACAAGATTCGCAAAAACTGGGATACTAGAACCAATGTATGCATCTACCTAAAATTAAGCAGCAAAATAACAGAAGAGAATGAGATCTTAAGGATAACAAGGGGAAGCATCTCTACAAACTAGAATGTGTGGCTTATGAGAGGTAAATCAGCTTTAAACGTGGGCTGTGAAAAAAAGACGTTCTAGGTGTGGGGGCAAAGAAAAAACAACACAGAAGCGAAACACTTCCTTGCTTTTCTAGGAAAGAGTAAACAAATCAGTACAGCTAAAGGTACTGAATTCCTGTCGACTACAAGCAGCAAAGATGAAAAAAACAAAATGAGGCTAAAATCTTTATGGGAGCCTTGATTGGTTGATCTGAATAGGGGAGAAACACAAAGAGATTCAGATAAGAGATGGCACAGAGTTAAGCCACGACAGTGGGGCCAGAAAAGCCAAGTGCCAGTAACAGAGGCTTCAGCAGCGCTCTTAAAGCTCCTATGCTATATTCGTACAGCCACAAAAGCTGGCTAAAGCCAAGGCTTGTCCTCCAAAGTACGATTCAAGATCTCCTGTACATATGTAAGAGGAAAATCTTTAGGGGCTTTTGGTGTTTTGTGTTTTTTTATAACACCACATCAATTTGCTTTAAGACTCTGAAGACCGGGAACAAAAAATAAAAATAAATAACAAAAAATGTCTTTAGAAAAATACCAGCTACCAAGAGTATGTAAAGCTTTGCGAAATACGAAGCTTGCAACGTTTCTTTTAGTCTCTCCAGTAATTCTCCTGGTAACTTAAACACATCTGAAATAAATGTTTAAAATATTGACTGGGCACGGGGGCTCACGCCTATAATCCCAGCACTTTGGGAGGCCGATGCGGGTGGATCACCTGAGGTCAGGAGTTTGAGACCAGCCTGGCCAACATGGTGAAACCCTGTCTCTACTAAAAATACAAAAATTAGCTGGGCATGGTGGCGGGCACCTGTAATTCCAGCTACTCGGGAGGCTGAGGCAGGAGAATCATTTGAACCCAGGAGGTGGAGGTTGCAGTGAGCCGAGACCGTGCCATTGCACTCCAGCCTGGGTGACAGAGCGAGACTCCATCTCAAAAAAAAAAAAAAAAATGTTTAAAATATTGCAATGGGCATGTAATTTCTGCTTAAATGTCAGGAGGTCTGAGCCATTTTAAAATAAATCTAGCACAATTTAAGATTTTTTCTTAACCAAAATTTTAAGAAACAGCTTTCTATATACTCACCTCAGCATATGCTTCCATGTCTTCCAGAAACTGACCAAGAAGAGTAGTAGAAAATGCAAGATCAGCTACCCAAAATGGCTCCAAACTCTGCAACCACCCTTGGAATCGTATAAGAAATTGTGAAAGGGTAGGGGGGAAAAAAACACCAAAAAATCCAAATTAAAAAAAAATAAGAGGCTTGTTTTAAGAGGTATCTGGTTTTCAAGCAGCATACCCTAAAACATGTCCTATATCATAAAATTAAGACTGTTAAACATGCTGATCACAATTAACCAATACCTCTTTAATTAATACCTCTTTAATTTCTGCAGAAATTAACAGGTAAATGTTATTTCCTTACTTTTTCAGTAAATTTCATATCTATATTGTCACTACACATGACTTAAGACTAAACTGCCACAATCTACCATTGGCCCAGCTAATCCCAGGGCCACATCTAACCATTAAAGGTGTATACTCATCTCCTCAGTGAAAATGAAACAGGCCACTATCACCTGAATATCCTATTTTCAAAAGTTTATTACACCATGTAAGTTACGAGAAACTATGACACTTGAAACAAACTGAAATGTGCAAATGAGCCACGTTAGTCATTCACTTAAACTCCAAAAAAATGGGAAACAAAACCATTTCTCATTTATGACAATTCTCCAAATTAACCCTGTATTTCCTTTTTTAAAAAAATTACCAGAAAAACAATAAAATGTGACAAATAACTTGGATCTTCCATTGTCCACTTCAGGGTATTGCCACTACAATATATTCTTACCATACACTTTCCTACCAGTACAAACTACAAATAACTTGGGTAAGTCCTGTCTGTACTTACTGTACCCACCTACTAGTAATTTCCTCTGAAAATACATATTTAGCTAACAAGTAATGTTCATTTACAATAAAACATTTCTCTGAATTAGTTTTCTTGCATTATTAAAGAAATGGTATTGATAGATGGTCACTGGGGGACCACTGCTCCTCCCCGACAGTATTTAAATAACTGGTATAGGCTGCAAGACTTACCAGATACCTGCTGCGTGAGCGAAGGTTTCTGAGTATGATCTATATGCCATCCAACTAATATATCAACTGTATCCTTGATGGAAACAAAGAGAGAGGGGGCCAATCATTTTAAGATATTACTGCCATTCACCTGTGGACCATTTCACAGCAAAAGATCCTAAAAGGAGCATCTATGTTCTACCTACTTGACATTCTAGAAACTTAGAAAGGGGAGAGGGGCAGGAAAATAAAAGAACTACATTTCTGACAACAATGAAATAGTTTATTTTCTTCAAATATTTTAAGGTATGAATGTCAGAAAGAAAAATGCGGTATTTAACCCTGGAACCTCAAATATCACTGATTATATTCAAAGGAGCTGAGGCATTGTTTTCCATCTGTTTCCTCAGATCCTCACACACACAACCATCCCCCTCACCCCATGATCTGAAAAGCGGAATGAGGAACTCACCCTAAAATTAGTGCTGAAAATATGAGGGTAACATCGAGCCACCAAAAGAATGCACTTAACACATTTACAAAGCAATTCTGGTGTATCCACATTTTCAAGAATAGACTGCAGGCTGGTCATTACAAGCTTAAAAATAAAAAGTTACAAACCGTGAACATTCAACAAAATAGGGAGAAAACAAGCAAATTAGGTTCATTATTTACTGACTACATAAAAAACTGAATATGAGACCAAGAAAAATAGATTCTGTAGTTTTAGTTAAAAAAAAAAAAAATTGACTTGTAAATCCCAACTACCTGGGAGGCTGAGACACAAGAATCGCTTGAACCCAGGAGGCAGAGGTTGCAGTGAGCTGAGATTGCACTGCTGCACTCCAGCCTGGACAATACAGCCAGACTCCATCTCAAAAAAAATAATAATTAATAAATAAATAAAATAAATTGAAAATATTTCACTCCACTAAGATGTTAAGCTAAAAACAAATACTGTTTTCTCTTCTTCAATGTTTGTTAATATTAGTCCTTTGACATCAGTTAACATTAGTCCTTAATAACATCTGTTTACAATATCCCTAAATGCTCTCTTTAAGATTCTACCTGTGATTAAATTTCAAATACAAAAAAGTAAAATGGATTTGGGAAACTTTTCTATAAAGTACAACAATTACTTTGCAATCCGAAATATAAAGCAAATTTTATATAATCTATGCTTTAGTATATTAGTACTTGCTTCATATTAAAATTAAAGAAGATCAGTATGGGACCACACATAAATAACATGCAGGCTCAGGTTACCATTATACATAAATTTTTAAAATAAATATAGGGCAAAAATAAAATAATAAATCATTATTTGTCATTCCATTGAAAGAATATTTATTTTGCAGCTGTTAGAAAACATTTTTCCCTAAAAAAGGAAAAGCTCTGCTTTACATAGCAATCTTATAAAAGAAATGCTAGAATCAGAAAACCATCATTTTAGGCTGGGTGCAGTGGCTCACACCTGTAACCCCAACACTTTGGGAGGACGAGGCAGGTGGATCACTTGAGGTCAGGAGTTCAAGACCAGCCTGGCCAGCATGATGAACTCCGTCTCTACTAAAAATATAAAAATTAGCAGAGCACAGTGGCACATGCCTGTAATCCCAGCTACTCAGGAGGCTGAAGCAAGAGAACTGCTTGAACCTGGGAGGCGGAGGTTGCAGTGAGCCGAGATCGTGCCACTGCCCTCCAGCTTGGACAACAGAGCAAGATTATGTCTCAAAAAAAAAGAGAAAAAGAAAACCATTATTTTGCAATAGCCAATGTTATAATCTACACAGGCACAGACTATCAATGCTAAAAATCATTTAAAAGACATCTTAGGGGTAATTACAGAAATTTGAATATAGAACACATATGTAATAAAATTCATTTACTTAGGTATGATTACAATATTCCTGTTATACAGAAGAAAAACCTTATTCTTGGGAGATGCATACTAAAACATTATGGGGTGAACTGTCATCATGTGTATGGTTTTCAGATGCTCAACAAAGTGTGTGAGAAAATAAAACTGTGGCAAAATATTAGTAACTGGTAAATCTAGGTGAAGCATATATTATGAAATTATTATCATATTTACAGGTATTTATTTAATACTGGTGCATCTATCTTTCTATGAATGTGAGAATTTTCACAAGAGCTGGGAAAATGTTCATAATTGTGCATGCAGAATAAGCCCGAGCTGGTGGCATTCTGTTTAGTTACAGGTAATTTTCTGAATCTTCCCTCAAATTTTTCTCAAACCTCTATAATCAAGGGGAAAAATGTTTTGTTTTGTTTTTTTGAGATAGGGTTGCCTATAATGGAGTGCAGTAGCTTGACCATAGCTCACTGTAGCCTCAACCTCCCAGGCACAAGCAATCCTCCTGCCTCAGCCTCCAAGTAGCTGGGACTACAGGTGCATGCCACCACGCCCGACTTATTTTTTTTTCCTTTTTTTTTTTTTTTTTAATAGAAACAGGGTTTCACCATGTTGCCCAGGCTGGTCTCAAACTCCTGGACTCAGGCGATTCACCAGCCTCAGCCTCCCACAGTGCTGGGGTTACAGGAGTGAGCCACCATGCCCAGTTAAAAATACACTTTTTATTTAAAAAAAAAAAAAAAAAAAAAAGAACATTCCTTATATTTCCTTTATATTTTTTAAACTACATACCCAAAATAAAGCATATCAAAAACAGTAAAAAAAAAAAAAAAAAAAAAAAAAAAAAAAAAAAAACCCTAATATCAGATATTCCGAACACATCAATACTATAATTTAATCACTTAAAATCTTACTCAAAACTAAATCAATGATCTTTTAGGCCAGGTGTGGTGGCTCATGACAGTAATCCCAATACTTTGGGAGGCCGAGGCAGGAGGATCACTTGAGGTCAGGAGTTCAAGACCAGCATGGCCAGCACAACGAAACCCCATCTCTATCAAAAATACAAAACTTAGCCAGGCTAGTGGCACACTCCTGTAATACCAGCTACTCGGGAGGCTGAGGCAGGAGAATCACTTGAACCTGGGAGGCAGAAGTTGCAGTGAGCCGAGATCATGCCACTGCACTCCAGGCTGGACAACAGAGCAAGACTCTGCATCAAAAAAAAAAAAAAAAAAAAAGGAATGATGTTCTAATATATTCAGATACACAAATGTGAAATAAAACTAAGTAGAGCTGGTATTCATTTACACATAATTATCTTATACCATTTGGAATAAGAATTTGGGGCACGTTAGCAAACCAAAAGGCTCAGAAAGAAGTTGTGATATTTAGTTCTTGTCTCCCTCTACAAATGTGAAGCACTCTTCTATCCAGCATTCCTAGTGGAGTTCCTATTTTCAAATTTGCAAATCATTCTGGTCCTAAGCAATCTCAAAAAAACATTTCTAAAAACCAAAGAGGAAAAAAATCCTTTTTTTTTTTTTTTGAGACAGAGTCTGGCTCTGTTGCCCAGGCAATGGTGTGATCTCGGCTCACTGCAACCTCGGCCTCCCAGGTTCAAGCGATTCTCCTGCCTCAGCCTCCTGAGTAGCTGGGACTACAGGCGCGTGCCACCATGCCTGGCTAATTTTTGTATTGTTAGTAGAGACGGGGTTTCACCATGTTGGCCTGGATGGTTTCGATCTCTTGACCTCATGATGTTTCCACCTCGGCCTCCCAAAGTGCTGGGATTATAGGCATATAGGCCACCACGCTTGGCTGAGGAAAAAAATCTTAAAACTAACTTATTTCAAATCTAACTTCAACATGTATCTTTTTTTTTTTTTTTTTTTTGAGACACAGTCTCACTCTGTTGCCCAGGCTGGAGTGCAGTGGCGTGATCTCGACTCACTGCAAGCTCCGCCTCGCAGGTTCACGGCATTCTCCTGCCTCAGTCTCCCAATTAGCTGAGACTACAGGTGCCCACCACCACGCCTGGCTAATTTTTTTTGTATTTTTAGTAGATATGGGGTTTCACTATGTTAGCCAGGATGGTCTCGATCTCCTGACCTCATTATCCGCCTGCCTCGGCCTCCCAAAGTGCTGGGATTACAGGCGTGAGCCACCGCACCTGGCGTGTAAGCCAATTTCTTAGAAGAAATCTCTCCCTCTTTCTCCACATATATGCATATATGTATGTAGCACTGATCCTTGAACAGTGTATCCTTTACTCAAACTGAGAAAGAGGAATTTTTAAAACATATTTCCTATCAGTAGATAACCCCTATTCTATGTTTCCCTTCTTCAAGCTCCCCTCCAAGGACATGTGTTAAGGGACAATTTTCTTCCCAAGTACATCATGCATTTTTCCCCCTTCATTCTTACCTGCATTACAGATGAAAAGGCTTTCTTTTCTCCTACAGTCTCTAGTGCTTTGTAGGTGGCACATAAGTAGAGGAGTTTAACTTCATCTTTTGCAGATGAGCTAAATTTGCTAAAAATCCACTTGAAGATCTTCTCAGCCTCATAGCTCAGAGAAGCACAAAGAAGGCCAAGACAGCAAGCTCCCTCCTGTCTCAACTCCTGAAGCAATTTGCTACTGTGTTTATTTTAATGCAAACAAAAAACACACACAAAAGGCTTAAGTTTTCTATGATGACACGAGTAATACATCTTACAAAAGAATGTCTTAAGTGGTTTTTTAAATTTCTATTCAAACTACATAAAAGGTTGAAATTTTCTCCACTCTAAATACTACAGTCTGTCTAGCCTGCATTGCCCTCAAGTATCTGTCTGATATTACTTTCTTTTTACAAAATCAATTATTTACAAACAGTGAGGGAAGGCCCAAAAATGCTAAATTCCATCTCAAACTGTATTAAATAACTCTCAGAAAAGGGCAGCAACAAATAATTAGATAAAACACACTATACATAACTACATTCTACATAATATCCAATATGTAATGACTATAAAATAAAAAATGGTAATAGTTAAATACAGAAACTTAAAAGGATAACAGTAATGAGTAACTCTATAAAATAAAACCATCAAAAGGCACTAAGGTTTATGACCAGCTGAGATAAATTTTGGGTACTTGCCAACACTGCAAATCTTTGGGAATCACCATAACAAGAAATGACCACACACCTCTGGAGATTCTAATAGCCAGAGAATATATGATTTGGATCCACTCTTACCCAAAGAAGGAAACTCCTTTTTACCTCTATTCTCCAAGCAGTTTCAAATTCTCTAGTTTACAAAAACTAATTTTATTCATTCATGCCTGCATCAAGAGTTTATGCCATTCCATAAGTCAAGACTCGGTTATCCAGTGAGACTAGCAAATTAAAAAAAATAAAATATTCCAGCCAGGCACAGTGGCTCATGCCTGTAATCCCAACACTTTGGGAGGCTAAGGTGGGTGGATTACCTGATGTCAGGAGTTTGAGACCAGCCTGGCCAACATGGTGAAACTGCAAGCTCCGCCTTGTCTCTACTAAAAATACAAAAATTAGCTGGCAGTGGTGGTGCACACCTGTAGTCCCAGCTACTTGGGAGGCTGAGGCAGGAGAATCACTTGAACCCGAGAGGTGGAGGTTGCAGTGAGCTGAGATCGCACCACTGCACTCCAGCCTGGGCGACAGGGTGAGACTCCGGCTCAAAAAATAAATAAAGTATTCTTTTCAAGTGGATTCCATTTGTATTCAACCGTAATTAACACATAATTAATGCAGATAAAAATGACAAGACCCACTGAAATGTCAATAGATGTTCATAAACAAAGCCAGTGGGTTTGTCTTCTTGTGTATTGTTAAGTAATTTCTAAAAATATATTTTAAAGTCATTTAAACTGAACCATTATTAGTTACTTACCTTTCATTAAGCACGTCATGTACAGCAGCCAAGATATTATCCAATTGTTTAACTAGTACCTTTAAAAGAAAACACATTTATAAAAACTTCAAATTCCTATACTTTTAAGAATAGCATTGTGTACTTTTTTACTTGTCTTCCCCTCCAAATTCTAATTCAACAGTACTTTAGTTTCTTTATTATTCCCACTCCCCAATGAGCATGTATCAGGAATGTCATGTTTCCTTTCAGACTATGAAAGAAATTCACCCACTGGAAACACAGAGCTGTGATCATCAACAAAAAAATAAACTCAAAAAGCTTGTTTTATTTACTTTGAAATCCATTTGAAAAATTGACTGATGGATGGAGGGATAGATGGAGAGACATGTGACAAGGCAGTATTTAGGGTAAAATGTTAACGACAAAAATTAGATGACGGGTTTAACAGATTCAATGTCAAATTCTTTCAACTTGCTATATATTTGAACCTTCTCATAATAAAATTTGGAAGGAGGAGAAACTTGCTTTGATCCAAGTGTCATCTGCCTCACTAGACCATTTTCATTAATTTTCTCCTGCTCATTATCAAGTTCTTTTTTTTTTTTTTCAAGATGGAGTTTCACTCTTTTTGCCCAGGCTGGAGTGCAATGGCATGATCTCAGCTCACTGCAACCTCCGTTTCCTGGGTTCAAGCGATTCTCCTGCTCAGCCTCCCATGTAGCTGGAATTACGGGCATGTGCCACCACGCCCAGCTAACTTTGTCTTTTTAGTAGAGATGGGGCTTCACTATGTTGGGCAGGCTGGTATCGAACTCCTGAACTCAGGTGATCCGCCTGCCTTGGCCTCCCAAAATGCTGGGATTACAGGCATGAGCCACCACACCTGGCCCATATCAAGTTCTTAATTGGTGTAAAGAAAGTGAAGAAAAAAATTTAACCCTTCCTATACTTTGTTACATTTCTGTTGTTGTTTTAAGAGACAAGGACTCCCTCTGTCGCCCAGGTTGACATGCAGAGGTGTGATCACATCTCACTGCAACCCTGAATTCCTGGGCTCAAGTGATTCTTCCACCTCAGCCAGGTGTAGTGGAACATGCCTGAAGTCCCAGCTACTCAGGAGGCTGCAGTGGGAGGATAGCTTGAATCCAGGAGTTTGAGACTGCAGTGAGCTATGATTGTGCCACTGCACTCCAGCCTGGGCGACAGAGCAAGATCTTGTCTTTAAGAAGAAAAAGAAATTACATATTAGAGAGCATTAAGTTCTCGATCATCATAATACAGACTTTCCCCATTCTTAAACTACTCAAGGTAGCATTACCTAGTTTATTATGGAAACACAAAAATCCTCATATTTCCAAACATACTATACTTACCAGCTTATTTTCTGGTTGCTGAATAAATTCTTTCAACTGCTTTACAGTAGCCAATCTTCGGTCTCTGTCGTCTTCCCGGGTGATCCTCCGAAGAAGATTCGACAGTCGAGACTCATCAGAATAAGACATCGATCTCTCTGTGAATATATAAACATTTTGTTGTCCATTGAGTATAAATAAGCAAAGATATTTTTAAATTTTTCAAATTAAAAATTATTTAAATAATAACTAAATTATTATGGTGGCTCATGCCTGTAATCCCAGTACTTTGGAAGGCGGGTAGATCACCTGAGTTCAGGAGTTTGAGACCAGCCTGGGCAACATGGTGAAACCCTGTCTCCACAGACATACAAAAAATTACATAAACTAGCCAGCCAAGGTGGTGTGCACCTGTAGTCCCAGCTACTCGGGAGGCTGAGGCAGGAGAATCACTGGAGCCCGTGAGGCGGAGGTTGCAGTGAGCCAAGATCACCCCATTGCACTCCAGCCTGGGTGACAGAGCAAGACCCTCTCTCAAAAATAAAATTACATCAAAAGTCACAGTCCACTGGTCAATAAAAGCTCAGGGAATATAGGTCCTATCACTCTTTTGTTCATCTCTATATTCCAGATCCCAGCAGAGTACCTGGCAAATAACAGACCCTCAAAAAAATATTTGCTGAAGGAAACAAGAAATGAATAACCCTAGGCCAACCGAACACCTCAATCCAGAGGACTGGCTGGGAGAGAAAAAAGAAAGGCCTTAGTAACAACTTTCTTTGGGTCCATTCCAAACTGTTTTCAACATGCAGGTAAAGAGCCCGGGTGTAGGTAAATTAAACAACTTCCAAGGGGTACGGATAAAGTCTCAATCAAGTAAAAACAGGATATAGGCTTCTACTTATCATCTAGGTATCCCACTGGAGGAAAGCCTCTTATTCACATTATCATCATTTCCCTGGGATGAAGTTTTCACACATTTAGTTCAACAAATGTCTAATTATCATCTACCACATGCAAGGCATGCCTCCACTAGAAAGGTAGCAAACCACAACTTTTCTCCCCTTATTTTTTAATCACAAGAACAAGCAAACAATAGTGAATACTATGAGTATAATAAAGATGCCTTTAAAAACTAGATTTTTGCTGGGCGAGGTGGCTCTTGCCTGTAATTACCCAGCACTTTGGAAGGCCAAGGCAGGCAGATCACTTGAGCCCAGGAGTTCGAGACCAGCCTGGGCAACATGGTAAAACCCCATCTCTACGAAAAATACAAAAATTAGCTGGGCATAGTGGCACATGCCTGTAATCCCAGCTACTCAGGAGGCTGAGGTGGGAGGATCGCTTTAGCCTGGGAAGCGAAGGTTGCAGTGAAATCACACTAGTGCATTCCAGCCTGGGTGACAGAGCGAGACTGTCTCAAAAAACAAAACAAAAAAAAACCTCAATTTTTGCAAAACATTTTCAACTGTGCTATTTACCATAATTAGCCAATACATACGTAAACAACAAATCACAAAGGGTCTGACAGTTTCATTTCTAAGGTATGAGAAAACATTGGTAAAAAAAGAAACCAGAAGGCTGGGCATGGTGGCTCACACCTGTAATCCCAGCACTTTGGGAGGCCGAGGAAGGCAGATCACGAGGTCAGGAGTTTAAGACCTGCCTGGCCAACGTGGTGGAACTTCGTCTCTACTGAAGATACAAAAAATTAGCCGGGCGTGGTGGCGCGCTCCTGTAATCCCAGCTACTCGGGAGGCTGAGGCAGGAGAATCATTTTAATCTGGGAGGTGGAGGCTGCAGTGAGCTGAGATTGCGCCACTGCACTCCAGCCTGGGTGACAGGGAGATACTCCATCTCATAAATAAATAAATAAATAAATAAATAAATAAATAAATACAAGGGGAACAACACACACTGGATCCTTTTGGAGGGTAGGGGGTGGGAGAAGGGAGAGGATCAAGAGAAACAACCAATGGGTACCAGGCTTAATACCTGGGTGATAAAATAATCTATACTACAAACCCTCATGACACAAGTTTACCAATGTAACAAATCTGCACTGGTATCCTGAACTTAAAAGTTAAAAAAAAAGAAACTACAATGTCTGAGAGAAGAATAGGGTTTTTACAAATCCCTAGCCCATAGAGTATTTCAATAAGGACAGATACCAAAAATGTCATCAAGTTACCAGCTGGGAAATTAGGCTCTACTTACAATTCTGTCACTAGCAAACTACATGACCCTGAGCCTTTGAAGAAGAGGAATTGTTTACTGAACTACTTTAGAGTCGCTGTTTAGCTTCTATAATATCATAAGTCTCAGGCTTCAAATACTCTATTTTAACAAACAGCATAGCCTTTGAATTCATTCCACTTGTGAAAACATAAAAAGAAATCAGTTTTTTAAAAGTTATATACCAACAATAAAAGCTACAGGCACAAAGATTTTCACCAAGATACACAAAGCACACACACAGTATTAAAAAAAAAAAAAAAAAAGTCAAAAACTAAATGTCCAAAAAGTAATTACATCTGACAAAGCCCCATAACTCAGCTTTACCGATAAATTTCTCTTTAAGGAAAAAAATTATCATTACCTCCAATCCTCTGAACTTTCTTTTTTGTTGTTGTTTTTTTGAGACAGAGTCTCGCTCTGTCGCCCAGGCTGGGGTGCAGTGGCGCGATCTAAGCTCACTGCAAGCTCCACCTCCCGGGTTCACGCCAGTCTCCTGCCTCAGCCTCCCGTGTAGCTGGGGCTACAGGCGCCCACCACCGCACCCGGCTAATTTTTTGTATTTTCAGTAGAGACAGGGTTTCACCGTGTTAGCCAGGATGGTCTCGATCTCCTGACCTCGTGATCCGCCCGTCTCAGCCTCCCAAAGTGCTGGGATTACAGGCAGGAGCCACTGCACCTGGCCAATCCTCTGAACTTCCAAGGCACTCACCTATACAGTGAGGCTACATCATAAGGCAGAAATGCTATCAGTGTATTTAACTTTAGAAAAGTGCCCACTCTAGGCAGGGCCCGGTGGCTCACGCCTGTAATGAGCACGCGTGATCACTTGAGGTCAGGAGTTCGAGACCAGCCTGGCCAACATGGTGAAACCCTGTCTCCACTAAAAATGCAAAAATCAGCTGGGTGTGGTGGCATGCACCTGTAACCCCAGCTACTTGGGAGGCTGAGGCACGAGAATCACTTGAACCTGGGAGGCGGAGGTTGCAGTGAGCAGAGATTGCAGCACTGTGCTCCAGCCTGGGTGACAGAGCAAGACTGTCTCAAAAAAATATATTGAAAACAACAACAAAAAAAAAAACCAGAAAAGTACCCACTCTAGGGGGCAGGGGGAAGGAGAGCATCAGCAAGAATAGCTTAATGGATGGTGGGTTTAATACCTAGATGATGGGATGATCTGTGCAGCCAACTACCATGGCACACGTTTACCTACATAACAAACCTGTACATCCTGCACACGTACCCTGAACTTAAAAGAGAAAAAAAAAAAAGACAGAAAAGTACCCCCTCTCTATATATATCTATATCCTCCACAGGCCCAAGAGTTCAAGGACTTGCTGTAGTAAGAGCCTACTATGCACTATACATTCAATATCCACGATAATTGGGTAAACCTTTTCTGTAAGATCTTATCCAGTCTTCTAATCTTGTTTTAAGAGGCTTCTCTTTTAAAATGTACTATAACCTTTCTAGTGGGAAATGAATGTAAACAATTTTTACCTGCACAGTAGGCTAATCAACTTATGCCTGTGCAAGGCGTTAGTAAGAGGCATCCAGAATAAGAGGAGATACAAGTCTTTGGAAGGTGTATGTGATTGGTCCCCGTTTTCCCAGCCTTACCCTGTGATTTCCTCATGTCTTTGGTGGCTAAAGCACGACTGCCATGCTGAACACTGGTGAACTCAGGGCTGGTCACATTGTTAACCCTCAGCTCTTGCCCCAACGACTTCCGACCATAAGTATTTTCCCCAGATCCTCCATTGACACTGTAGCCACCTACAAACAGCAATGTGTACGTTATTTAAATATGATTGTTCGTTTCATTCAGTCAATTTCCTGATAGCTCAGGATCTTATTACTCAATCTGCAGCTCAACCAGCCTTTGCTTCTCCTACCTTTTTCCTGTACTGTCTGCCTTGAAAATCATTTTGATTTCTTTTAATACACCTTTGAAGTTAAATTAATTTTATTTTGATCCCTTCATTGGAAAATAAGCAAAGAAATGAAAACTAAATTAAATCAAATTTTGTACCTTGTTTTAAAACTTTCTTGAAGTTTAGAGATAGTAGCCAAGAGGAACTTCAACCTTAGCTAAATATTTTTGAAAATAAAAACAAAAATAGTATTGTATCTTCCTTGTAAGAAAACTGCATTTATGAATTATGTATGGAAAAAATTTTAAATTTTAAAAATAATAAAGTGGATAAATGTCCTATGAGGTTTTCAGAAATAACACTGCATTTGTTATTCATATTTTAAATATATTAGAAGAAAGCAAGAAAGTTGGGGGTATAAGAAGGCAGGAAGGTGAGACAGGTAGGTTCAAAAAACATGCTTGTAGCAATAAGAAAATATATATACCCTTTTCGTCATTCTGTATGTCAGCGTGGACTCTGGTATCATCGTGCCTTTGCCGAGACACCACAGCTGAATTTGAAGGTTGCAGTCCATAAGAGGAAGAACCACCTCTATCTCTGGATGAAGAATATTTTAAATTATCTGGGTCGGCTGATGCACTATCAGTTCTATAAAAAGAGAAAAGTTTAAGATTAGAACTTTAAATAACATAAATAAATATTTCTTTATACAAGCCTCTCTTCTCCCAAATTTTACATTTAACCATTACTATTTAGTGTAATATGTACTATATATTATATGTAAGCACTCAGCTGTCTAATAAGAAGTCTTTCACTGGGAAGAGATTCTCAATGGATGAAATGCCAACTTTTCAGTCTCTTCTATTGTTCTAAAGACCCATTCAGAAATATGAACAACTACTGGGATTAGGGTGACTTTGCTGGTTTTACCATTGAAAGTCTCCTGTCCCAGGCAAAACAGAACAATTGGTTACTCTGGTCCAGTGTTCTCCTCACATGACTTGATAATAAGAATAATTCTTTCTAAATTCTCCCCCATGGAGAGGGTTAATCAGTCAAAAAATTTCAGCCTTTCCTGTCATAAAAATAAAAAACACTGGCAGCATGTCAGGGACGGGCAATGTCTTACCAAGTTATTTTCTAAGTACTGATTAGGTACTGTAGTATTGAAGACCCCATTGCAGATGCCTTAATTGTAAAGAGTAGCAATCAGAATTTTAAAAATTAAAAAAGAAGACATTTTAAGAAAATAAAAGGTATCAGAAATGCAATAAAGTGATATCAGAAAGTTGTAGTTCATAATCTATTTAAAATTCAGGTACTGTTTAGAATAATACCTGATGCTTATTAGTAAACAAGTAGGGTACAGCCAAGGGTAAAAGTGTGTCCTCATCTAAGTATCTGCTCTACGCTTCAACTACCTCATAAGTAAAACAGAGCTGAGTTACAAGACTTCTCATGAGTGTTACTCTTTCAGCCATCAATCATAAACTATCAAGAAAGAAGACAACAAAATAATCTATTATAGCATACGAAAAATCCAAGTAAGTTCTTCCCCTACTGATTTTCTCCTGAGAGGAACAACTTTGAGAAAAAAAAAAAAAAGAAAATCACTTCTATGATATTTACTAAAAATGCTTTCTCAACCTTTTAGAACCTGAATCTTTTAGAAAAGTTTAGGACACTGGCAAGGCCAGACACTAAGCTATTCCTCTATGCTTTGCCCCTCCCTCTATGGTGTAAAAGTGACAGCAGTGTTTGTATACTGTATATATTTCGTTTAGAGTTTATTAGTCTTTCCTTGCTTCCAAAAATACTAAACATAAAACTTAGCATGAGCTCAATCAGTTGGACACCTTGATCTGCACTTACTGCAATCACTGTTAATACAGAATGCAGACAACAGGTCCAATTAAACTTGGATATCTAACTGGTACAAGTCATTACTTATAAAGGATCTCAATCTGAAACTTCATGAAATTCAAAACCTAGCATACTAAAATGACTAAGGCTCCATAAGGAGTATCTTCTAATATTCAGAGTTCATTTATTCATAAAGCTAAGTACTTAGAACATAAGGGAAAATAAAATCTATGGAATTTCAAGAAAAATGTATGAGAATATTTTCTGAGTATACTAAGTCTATAAGCATTAAAATATTAACTCAATGGACCATAACTTTTTTAAACTAATGAAAAGACATTCCTTATGTACCTAAAAATAGCACATTTAACATGCATCTATATAAATCATAGCATACGATTACTTTCTGAAAGGAGATTGAAACATAAGAGAGCTTATAATCTTTTCTGACAGAGTTTGAACTTTATATGTATGCCACAGTAAGCTCTTATTAGATGAGCGAATAAAATAAGCACTTGACTAATTCGGAAACACAAAGATAAATGGAGTCTGCCAATATTTAAACATATCTTCACTTCCTGTTTTCATCATGTTTACTTATCTCCTATACTACCTTTACTATTAAGAGTTAAATATTTGTATCACTTTCTGGTGACACAGTAGTACCATAAGGCAGCAGAGAATACAAGTTAAAAAAAGATCTGGGCTCAAATCCCAGCTCCAGCACTGAAAAGTATGTGTGCCTTTGCACAAATTACTTGATCTCCAAGCCTTGGTTGTCTCTTGCATAAAATGAGGATGATACCTACCTAACATGCAAGGTTGTTGTGAGGCTTAAATAAGATAATGAATTATAAAGAAACGCTTAGTTTGCAGGGTATGTTAAAAGTTATTATGACCATAATACAAAATAAACTCAGTTTCCAGTCTAAAAGACAATGTACAAACAGTTCATGAGTATATGAATATAATCAAGACAAGTTTTTACAGTCAATATAGAGCAACTTAAATACTTCACTGAAGAAACCGGGTAATCTGTTGCTACCAACAATGTGTTTCCAACTACGAAGCATCTGATTTCAAACTAAACTGTAAAACCAGGAGCCGCTTCCCCGTTGGTTAGAAATAAGGTTTCTAAATCCCCTAAGTTATGAACACTGAGATTTTTTTCCCAAAAAAAATTTGTGTTTTCAGAAATATAACAAAAAAAAACTAACTGGAATAGAGCCACTGTCTCAGAAATACCTAAAAACTCCCTAGTTGCCAAATTATTTTAATACAAATTGATCAAAGCATCCCCAACCAGAACTCAGGTTGTAAGCATTCTGAACCTAAAAGCACAAAATGCTTTAGCATTTATATGAAATTTCTATTTTTATACAATCTTGACTACTTAGGTTTCAAAAAATGTCAATGTCAGGCTGTTAGCACCAACAAGATCATCCCAGTCCAATAAATAGAAAACTGTTAAAGAACGGAAATGAGCACTTAAAATGAGGCAATCAAAGCCACAAAATAGAAACTGCAGATTTGAACTCCAAGAAGCAGGCATGAATGTTAGGCTAGTTAGTTAGAAGAGCTGAAAGGGATATCATCTGCCAGAATTAGTGTCTCAATTTAGTGAAAAAAGAAAATCTATCTGTTAAGTCTAAGAATCCTAGCAATGATCCAAAAATACCTCTACAGCCCCTTTAATATTCTAAAAATATCATGGAGAGAAAAAAAAAGAAATGCATAAATTTCCCCACAACGATCAAACTGAAGTTAAAGCCTGATGTACATGCCACATGAGAGGTAAGTTTCTAAAGCTCATACCTCAAAAATCGCATACTGTATAATATGGAGCCTTTGTGATGTTTTGCATCAAGTCAATCTGTAAGACAGTAGTTACAATATTAGTGAAGACAGTGGGTTAAAACATTTGTTGTTCAAACATGGAGCAAATATCATTCATGAGTTAGGTGCCTTTAGTTGAACTATGGTCCCATTAGGGTTCATACATTAAAGCAAAAATTGAGGTGGAAAGCCACTCTGTGCCTTACAGGATAAAGAGGCTTAATGTGGCAACCAAAAAAATTTTAGTACATAAGAGAATTTAAATGTTAACTGTAACATACAAATCACATGCAAATATAGTTACCACTTATTTTAGCTACCTATTCTCAATATACAGAAAAATGCCACAAATCTAGGAGGCCATTCGTTTCAAATGACCAGAATCCTTAGACCTCACACCAACAATCCACCATGTGCTGGGGATGGTATCGCCTGACTAAATGTAGCCTTGCAGTCCATTCTTGTAAGTATTAGAGAGAAAAAGAGAGAGAGTGTCATCTCTGGAAAGTGTGAAGTCAGGGAATTCCCTACTAGGAAGTATTTCCATAAAGCACCCCAAAATGACTTGATGCAAACACCATACCTAGTGGTGTCACTGGAGTAAGCATCATATTACTTCAAATTGCTTTTACCTAGGTTTATTAAGGGATTTTGCTCTCATGGTGAGATCTAATTTATAATGGATATAAACCAGGAAATGAGATTTGCACTAAAGCCAATGAAGTAGGAATGTACTTATTCTCTAAAGTAGCAAAGATAGTCTCACTGTCACAGAGCAGTTATAGGATATGTTGCTTTCCATACTAATGGTTAATACCACTTGAAAATGATTTACCCTTCAAAAATAAATTCAAGGTTTTCCCCTGTAATGCCTCTTACCTGGATTCAAACATGCTTTAATGAGGAATAAGAGAAAGGGTGAAACTATGAATAACCCTGGGCCTTGTATCATTACATTAAAAACACTGCTCTAAATATGAGTCTATGGCTAAAATATTAATTTGAGAGGCTCAGGGAATTTATTATACAAATCTCTTCTTGCAGAGAACTTTAAGTTCAAATTTAATAGAACCATTCCATGTCAAAATTATAAATGAGTATGCATCAGTTTTGCAATACTGAAATATTAAATTAATATAATTTATCGGTAAAACTAGTTTAACTACCTCAGTATTAAGTGTCTATAATAACCAAATCTTAATTATCCATTTATGGGTGATTTGTTTCCTTTTTTGAGACAGGGTCTCACTCTGTCACCCAGGCTGGAGTGCACTGGCATGACCATAGCTCACTGCAGCCTCGACCTCATGGGTTCAGCCTCTCAAACAGCTGGGACCACAGGTGCATGCCACCCCATTTAGCTAATTTTTTATTTTTATGTTTTTTGTAGAGACAGGTGTCTGATTATGTTGCTCAGGCTGCTCTCAATTTCCTGGACTCAAGCAATCCTCCCACCTCAGCCTCCCAAAATGCTAGGATTAGAAGCATGAGTGACCACATCTGGACTGTCACCAATTTTTAACTGTCTGTCAACTAAACAGCCAATATAGACTGATAAGATATACTTAACTATTGTAAAATTGTAAAGAATTGTATCTTCACCAAGGAGAGGTCTGGCTTTTACCTGTGAATTCTGGAAGGTAATCTCTAAACTCTTGAAATGTCATACCTAATAAGAGGGTCCTGGCCAGAAGCAGTGGCTCACACCTGTAATCCCAGCACTTTGGGAGGCCAAGGCAGGTGGATCGCTTGAGGTCAGGATTTTGAGACCAGCCTGGCCAGCATGGTGAAACCTGTCTCTACTAAAAATACAAAAATTAGCCAGGCATGGTGACGGGCACCTGTAATAATCCCAGCTACTCAGGAGGCTGAGGTTTCAGTGAGCTGAGATCATGCCACTGCACTCCAGCCTGGGCAACAGAGCAAGACTATCTCCAAAAAAAAAAAGGGGGGGGTGGCGGTGGGGGGAAGGTGTCCTTGTTCATCTGGGGGTTTTAGGCCACAGCAGAGTCTAATAATGTGACTTATGGTGGGGGCTTTGAGTCACATGGATCAGCTTGACCTCCAGTGGGGCTGGAGACTAAGGTTAGCCACATGGGCATGCAACCATGGAACCCCAGTAAAAACTTTGGACATAAAAAACAGAGTGAGCTTCCCTGGTAGGCAATAATTCATGAGTATTGTCGCACACCAGTGCCACCAGGAAGGTATCATTTTTCACAACTCTACAGGGACAGGACAATTTGAAACTCCAACATTTGGAACTTCCCCGAACTCTGCCCTATGCACCTCTACCCTTGGCTCATTCTAATCTGAATCCCTAAACTGCAATAAACTCTAACCATGGGTATGAGAGCTTTCAATGAGTTCTAGTGAGTCCTCCTGGCAAATCATCCAACCTAAGAGTCGTCTTGGCCAGGCACAGTGGCTCAAGCCTGTAACCCCAGCACTTTGGGAGGCCCAGGCAGGCAGATCACTTGAGCTCAGGAGTTTGAGACCAGCCTGGCAATATGGTGAAACTGTCTCTAAAAAATATAGAAAAACTAGCCAGGCGAGGTGGTATGCGCCCATAGATCCAGCAACTCAGGTGGCTGACGTAGGAGGACTGCCTGAACCTGGGAGGGAGGAGGTCAGGGCACAGTGAGCTGTGATCATGCCACTGCACTCTCGCCTGGGTGACAGAGAGAGGCCCTGTCTCAAAAAAAAAAAAAAGAGTGGTCTTGGGAACCCCCAAACTTGCAACTAGTATTAGATGCAAGGGTCATCTTATGGACTGGACTCCCTCTTACTCTGCACTCATATTTAAAACCATTAAATATACTGTAGCTCAAAAAAAGTTGTTTGTTTGTTTTGAAACAGGGTCTCACCCTGTCGCCCAGGCTAGAGTGCAGTGGCGCAATCCGAGCTCAAGCAAACCTCCCACATCAGCCTCCCAAGTAGCTGAGACCACAGGCTTACTCCACCACGCCCAGCAACTTTTGTATTTTTTTTGTCCCATTCCCTACAACATTCCCAAAATGTTACCCAAGCTGGTCTCGCACTCCTGGGCTCAAGTGATCCACTCACCTCAGCCTCCGAAAGGGTTGGGATTACAGGCATAAGCCACTGCACCCGGCCATAAATTTTGTTTTTTAGTAACATTTCTAGCAAACATGATAAAGATTTGACTTCAGTGTTGCTTATTTTCCTTCCAAGGAACCTCTAATATTCTCTATTTTCAGACCTCCAATCAAATTAGCCAGAAGGAGCAAACGAAGCCAGTAACTCCAGGAGGGCAGTAGATCTGATTTTAACCTTTGTTTTACATGCATAATTGTCTTCAGAGAAAAGCTGAAGAAAGTACCCCCTCACATCCATGCCCCAGTGCTCCTTTTCTCTGACTTCAAGTGGGCCTCTGAAGTTGCCCACATTTCCCTCACCGGGTTTCTTTCCTTTCCAAAACATCTGTAAAACTTTCTGCACCTTCTTCCTTCTCCCACCACTACCAGTGGATGACCTTATAGATTTCTGCTTCATGAGAAGTAGAAGCCATTTGACAACACCCTCAGCAAGAGCTAACATTTTAGCTCCTAACAAGAGCTAGTGGGCAACTGATCCAAGCAGTTTACATACGTTTATCATGTCATTTCATGTTCAACACAATCCTATTAGTTATAACTTGATGACTAAGGTTTCATAACTGGCCTAAGGTTGCACAGCTTGTAAAAGGCAGAGCCAGAACTCAGACCCAGTACTGTCTAATGTTTGAGCTCTTCAACACTCCATCACTGCCTGTCATCTTCCTTCTAATATATCCACAAATTCACCTGCATCTGCACATACAGCTTTTCTTCCCATCATCTTCGCATAATGGAACAAATAAACCTCCTATCCATAGAGATCATCTGGATCTGTCTATTCCCCCCATTTTCCAAGGTATGTCTTGTCTTTTTTTTTTTTTTTTTTTTTGAGATGTAGTCTCGCTCTGTCGCGCAGGCTGAAGTGCGGTGACGTGATCTCGACTCACTGCAAGCTCCGCCTCCCGGATTCACGCCATTCTCCTGCCTCAGCCTCCCGAGTAGCTGGAACTACAGGCGCCCAACACCACGCCCGGCTAATTTTTTATATTTTTAGTAGAGACGGGGTTTCACCATGTTAGCCAGGATGGTCTCGATCTCCTGATCTCGTGATCCACCCACCTTGGCCTCCCAAAGTGCTGGGATTACAGGCTTGAGCCACCGTGCCCGGCCTGTTTCTTTTGTACGTTGCAAAATCTCCCATTTTACTACTGCTTATCACATCATCAACATATGAGCACTCTCAAAAGTCTTACTTTAAAAAAAACAAAAAACAAAAAACAAAAAATGGCCGGGCACGGCGGCTCACGCCTGTAATCCCAGCACTTTGGGAAGCGAAGGCAGGCAGATCATAAGGTCAGGAGATTGAGACCACCCTGGCCAAAATGGTGAAACCCCGTCTCTACTAAAATAGAAAAAATAAAATTACCTGCGTGTGGTGGCACGCACCTGTAGTCCCAGCTACCTGGGAGGCTGAGGCAGGGGAATCGTTTGAACCCAGGAGGCAGAGCTTGCAGTAAGCCGAGATCATGCCACTACACTCCAGTCTGGTGACAGAGCAAGACTCTGTCTCAAAAAAAAATAAAATAAAGGCCGGGTGAAGTGGCTCACGCCTGTAATCCCAGCACTTTGGGAGGCCGAGGTGGGTGGATCATGACGTCAGGAGTTCAAGACCAGCCTCGCCAATGTAGTGAAACCCCGTCTCAACTAAAAATACAAATATCAGCCAGGCGTGGTGGTGGGTGCCTGCAATCCCAGCTACTCAGGAGGCTGGGGCAGGAGAATCGCTTGAATCCGGGAGGCGGAGGCTGCAGTGAGCCGAGATTGCACCACTGCATTCCAGCCTGGGCAACAGAGAGACTCCATCTCAAAAAACAATAATAATAATAAAATAAATCTAAAAATTAAGAAAATAAGGCCGGGCACGGTGGCTTACGCCTGTAATCCCAGCACTTTGGGAGGGTGAGGCAGGCAGATCATGAGTTCAGGAGTTTGAGACCAGCCTGGGCAACATAGTGAAACCCCGTCTCTACTAAAAATACAAAAAATTAGCCGGGTATGGTGGTGGGCGCCTGTAATCCCAGCTAGTTGGGAGGCTGAAGCAGGAGAACCACTTGAACCCCGGAGGTGGAGGTTGCAGTGAGCTGAGGTCGCGCCATTGCACTCCAGACCAGGCAACAGTGTGAGACTCTGACTCAAAACAAAAAACAAAAAACAAAAAAACCCTTTAACTGCCTTTCTCCCTCTATCAATCTAATAGCCTGGACTCTTCGCAGACAAACCTGTTGAAAAATTTATCTTCCTTGCCTTCACTTACTTTTTAACCCACTTTAATCTGGGTTCCACCTGCAACACACCACTGAAGCTATTCCTACCAAGGTAGGAACTGCCACTCAAGACCTTCTTGGCTCTAAAATCCCATGAGACTTTTTCAGTTCACATTACAATTTCTCAATACCATTCTAAAGTTTATGAGTTTTTTAGTTAACTTTAATTCCAGTGACTCTTTCTACTTTATCCCAATCCAAGTATTCTCCTCCTTCTTCATTTCATTTTTTTTTTTTTTTGAGACAGACTCTGACTTTGTTGCCCAGGCTGGAGTATAGTGGTGCAATACTGGCTCACTGCAACCTCCACCTCCAGGTTCAAGTGATTCTCCTGCCTCAGCCTCCCAAGTAGCTGAGATTACAGGCCCCTGCTACCACACCCGGCTAATTTTTGTATTTTTAGTAGAGACGGGGTTTCACCATGTTGGCCAGGCTGGTCTCGAACTCCTGACCTCAAGGGATCCAGCCGCCTCGGCCTCCCAAAGTGCTGGAATTACAGGCGTGAGGCAACATGCCCGGCCCCTTCCTCACTTCTTTAACCAGCTTAGATTTCATTGTGTATCATTTCAACAACACTCTTGCCTATACCCTTAACTCTTAAGGTTTTCATCACACCCATCTGGTAAAACCCCAGTCCTGGATAAACTCAATGATCCATCAACAAGCACCATACTCCCAGGTCCTCCAGTGTTTACTTCCCATTCTATACATGCACTATCCAGACATTCCCATTCTCTTCAAATTCCAAAATATCCTATCACCTCCCCTCCCCATACACACATTCTACTTCACCAACAAAAAAAAAGGTACCAGCTGCGCACGGTGGTTCACGCCTGTAATCCCTGCACTTTAGGAGGCCAAGGCGGTGGATCACTTGAGGTCAGGAGTTGGATACCAGCCTGGCCAAAATGGTGAAACCTCATCTCTACTAAAAATACAAAAATTAGCTGGGTGTGGTGGTGCGCACCTGTAATTCCAGCTACACGGGAGACTGACACAGGAGAATCGCTTGAACCCAGGAGGTGGAGGTTGCAGTGAGCCAAGACTGCACCACTGCAATCCAGAGCCTGGGCAATAATAAGAGCGAAACTCCGTCTCGGGGTGGGGTGGGGAAGATACCATAAAATACCTGCACCTGATTCTAGACCTTACTTAGGATTCCATCTACTTCCACCTTACTGTAACTTTTCAAATACTTTCCCACTGAACTAAATCCCCCCCATAAACATGCAACACTTTCAATGTATCCCATTTAAAAATACAAAAACATATAAAAAGGAAAAACTCCATCAATCCCACATGTCCCTCCATCAAACAATCTGCCTTTACTTGCTGCAGCCAAACTAAAGTTGTCTAGACTCCTCTCTCCCATTTCTTCACTTCTTCTAGCTCCTTAACACACACTGGTCCAATTTCTGCCCCATCACTCTTGGCAAAATCCATTATGACCTCCAGGCTGCTAAATCCAAGATACAGTTCAGGCCTCAATCTGCTCATCCTTTCAGCAGCTTTCACAGGGCTGCTGAGTAGGGTTGAGCAGTTTTGCCCTGCACACAGGTGCCCTGCTGAGGAATGAGGTCGGCTGAGTGAAACTCCTTTTTTAAAAATTCTTGGCTGGCATAGTGGCTCACGCCTGTAATCCCAGCACTTTGGGAGGCTGAGGCGGATGGATCACTTGAGGTCAGGAGTTCAAGATCCGCCTGGCCAATATGACGAAACCCCGTCTATGAAAAATACAAAAATTAGCTGGGTGTGGTGGCAGGCGCCTGTAATCCCAGCTACTCAGGAGGCTGAGGCAGGAGAATCACTTGAACCCAGGAGGCGGAGGTTGCAGTGAGCCGAGACTGCGCCAATGCACTCCAGCCTGGGCAACGAGAGAAACTCCATCTCAAAAAAAAAAAAATCGTTTATGCCAACTAATTGTACACCTAAATGCACCAAGTTCATGACTTTCTCCTTGCATTTATTTATTTATTTATTTTTTAATTAGGTCTCACTCTATGTTGCCCACATTGTAGTGCAGTGTGTTATTACAGCTCACTGCAGCCTTGAACTCCTGGGCTCAAGAGATCCTCTGGTTTTAGCCTCCCCAGTAGCTAGAACTACAGGTATGGAGTGGCTCTCTGCCTTTATTTCTAACCCAAGCTAGCTTACAACCTTAAAAAGTGACCCTGCTTCGCTGGGCACAGTGGCTCTCGCCTATAATCCCAGCACTTTGGGAGGCCGAGGCGGGCGGATCATGAGGTCAGGAGTTCGAGACCAGCCTGACCAACATGGTGAAACCCTGTCTCTACCAAAAATACACAAAAACTTAGCCAGGCCTGGTGGTGCAGCGCCTGTAGTCCCAGCTACTCAGGGGGCTGAGGCAGGAGAATCATTTGAACCCGGGAGGCAGAGGTTGTAGTGAGCCAAGATCACGCCACTGCATTCCCACCTAGGCGACAGAACGAGACTCAAAAAAAAAAAAAAAAAAAAAAAAGAGACCCTACTTCAGCTCTCAATTGCATCACTTATCTTCCCCTTTTGTCAGTAAGTCCTGGAAGTACCCTAGAAACATATCATTTGGCCTGGGAAATTGCCAAGATTGAAAGGAAATATCTTACTCTATGACCTCTTTAATAGATGAAGGACAAAAAAGGCTGAAAATGTACAAAGATATGCATCCCTCCCCGACCAGTTAAATGCCAAACATAGGCCAGGCGCAGTTGATCACTCCTGTAATCCCAGCTGTTTGGGAGCCTGAGGCAGGCAGATTACCTGAGTTCAGGAGTTCAAGATCAGCCTGGCCAACATGGTGAAACCCAGTCTCTACTAAAAATACAAAAAAATTAGGCAGGCGTGGTGGTGCACATCTGTAATCCCAGCTACTCGGGAGGCTGAGGCAGGAGAATCGCTTACCCAGAGGCGGAGGTTGCAGTGAGCCGAGAGCTCACCACTACACTCCAGCCTGGAGAACAGAGTGAGACTCAGTCTCCAAAAAAAAAAAAAAGGCCAAACATAGCCCATTCCAACGAAGATTAAGAATCACTAAGAGTTACATTGCACCACTGCACTCCAGCCTAGGTAACAGAGCGAGACTCCGTCTCAAAAAAAAAAAAAAAAAAAAAAAGTTACACACTGCAGAAATCTAAAGAATCTCAAAAATAGACAGGGACTTTATAATCAAGGTAAAGGTGAAGTGATGTTTACCAATATAAGAAATGAATGGGCCAGGTGTGGTGGCTCACGCCTGTAATCCCAGCACTTTGGGAGGCCAAGGCGGGAGGATCTCAAGGTCAGGAGATCAAGACCATCCTGGCTAACACAGTGAAACCCCGTCTCTACTAGAACTACAAAAAAATTAGCCAGGCGTGGTGGCAGGCGCCTGAAGTCCCAGCTACTCGGGAGGCTGAGGTAGGAGAATGGCGTGAGCGCGGGAGGTGGAGCATGCAGTAAGCTGAGATCACGCCGCTGCACTCCAACCTGGGTGACACAGCGAGACTCCGCCTCAAAAAAAAAAAAAAGAAATGTATGCAACCATTTTTTTCAACTCCTGAAAATAGATAATAACTGTAGTTATTCTGATAAAGTTCCTTTAGCCAACAGGTTGAAGCACATTCCCAGGGAATGACATGTTTATAAGATTTTCTAACAATTACATATGTTAAATCTTCTCTTTAAAAATAATCCTGGCCAGGCACGGTGGCTCACACCTGTAATCCCAGCACTTTAGGAGGCCGAGGCAGGTGGATCACTTGACATCAAGAGTTCAAGACCAGCCTGGCCAACATGGAGAAATCCTGTCTCCACTAAAAATACAAAATTAGCCAGGTGTGGTGGTGCATGCCTGTAATCCCAGCTACTCGGGAGGCTGAGGCAGGAGAATCACTTGAACCCGGGAGGCAGAGGCTGTGGTGAGCTGAGACGGCGTCATTGCACTCCAGCCTGTGCAACAAGAGCGAAACTCCATCTCAAAAAAAGGAAAAAATAAAATAAAATAAATAAAAATAAAAATAATCCTAGGCCAAGCCAGCTGCAGTAGCTCACACCTGTAATCCCAGCTACTCAGGAGGCTGAAACAGGAGGATCACTCGAGCCCAGGAGTTTGAGACCAGCCTGGGCAACACAGTGAGACTGTGTCTCTAAAGAAAAAAATCATCATCATCATCCTAGGCCAGTCCACACAACACAGCAAGACCTCCAACTCTAAAAGAAAATGAAATAAAAAATTTTAAACGTCAATTTAATTAGAGGTCTCAAGTAATTCCAGAAGATATGGTCTCACAAATCAAATACTGAAAAAGGAAGATGCCTTTCAAGATAATCACACTATTAACTGTAGGAAAATGTATTAAATGAAGACAGCTTTTGCTAGCTGCTGAAACATACTAGTAAGAACAGGAAACGATGCTCCCACCATGCTCAGCAGTAGCCAGAAATTTACTGAGGTCTTTGTATTTAGCCTTAAGTATAAGACACCTAGGAAACTTCAAAATCATCACTTAAGCCACTTTAAACCCACAGTCTACACAAACCCTATCTTTTTCTTTTGTTACATTTTATACTAAACACACTTTAATCAGATTGACATAAGTGATTTAAAAGAAGTAACTTTTATAATTCCCTTTTACAAGAAAAAAAAAACAATGTTTCTAGATATTAAGTTCCTTAAGAGACAGCAATCATTTATTATAGATTTACAGTACTACAATTTCAAATAGTACCAGAATCTTTTTTTTTTTTCTTTGAGACAGTGGCACAATCACAGCTCACAGTAGCCTCGACCTCCTGGGCTAAGGCAATCCTCCCACCTCAGCCTCCCAAGTAGGTGGGACTAGAAACTCACGCCACCATGCCCAGCTATTTTTTTTTTTTTTTTGAGACAGAGTCTTGCTCTGTTGCCCAGGCTGGAGTGCAGTGGTGTGATCTTGGCTCACTGCAACCTCTGCCTCCTGGGTTCAAGCAATTCTCCTGCCTCAGCCTCCCAAATAGCTGGGATTACAGGCATGCACCACCATGCCCAGCTAATTTTTGTATTTTTAGTAGAGACGGAGTTTCACCAGGTTGGTCAGGCTGCTCTCGAATTTCTGATCTCGGTGATCTGACAGCCTCGGACTCCCAAAGTGCTGGGATTACAGGTGTAAGCCACCATGCCCAGCCAATTTTTTTATTTTTTGTAGAAACGAGGTCTCACTATGTTACCCAGGCTGGTCTCCAACTCCTGGGCTCAAGTGATCCACCCACCTCCCTGCCTTGGTCTCCCAAAGCACCACCATGCCCGGCCCAAAATCTTGTAATTGCTTAATACTGTATATACATTCTTATAATGATATGATATTTCCCATCTTTGCTTAGAAGATGCGTGTGGTTCTTCTCCACCCCCTCAAGTACTTAAAACTATCACATTGGCAGAATACAACCTTTCAATGTTTCTGGCATCCTCCCTCCTCCCATTAAAAAATAAAATTAAAATAAAAATATGTATATACACAGCCATACACACTACACCAGAGGGAAAAAAGCAATTCATCGTTCAACTGGTGTTCTTATAAGAATCAGTTCTTAAATTCCAACTGTGTAGTAAAAGGTAAGCAAGCTATAAGCTACCTTTTAACCTACCCTTTCTCTATATACATTCCATTTACATTGTACTTGCCCTCCAATCTATGCAAATAGTCACAAAGATTAGATTATGTTTGCTGGCTTATCATTTCAACTAGTAACAAATTCTTAAGGTGTGAATACAAGATATGGAGAAAAAATGATGATGCAGAGCTATGCTGAAATTTCTTATTGTTCAACTTGAAATAGGTTTACAGCCTAATGGGAGTACACTAGAAAATGTAGAAGGAGGGCAGGCATGGTGGCTCACACCTGTAATCCCAGCACCTTGGGAGACAGAGGTGAATGGATCACAAGGTCAGGAGTTCAAGACCAGCCTGGCCAACAAGGTGAAACCCTGTCTCTACTAAAAATACAAAAAAAAAAATTACCTGGGTGTGGTGGCACATGCCTGTAATCCTATCTACTCAGGAGGCTGAGGCAGGATAATCGCTTGAACCCGGGTGGCGGAGGTTGCAGTGAGCTGAGATCGCACCATTGCACTCCAGCCTGGGGGACAGAGCGAGACTCGTCTCAAAAAAAAAGAAAATGTAGAAAGAGAGCCACTCCACTGCGGAGCAATTAATTCTATCTCCACTAATATTTTTCTAAATATTCACTGAAACAGTTTTAAAAATAATTTCCTGAACTTTAACCCTCCCAACGTCTTCAAAAGGCAAAAATTACCCCCTCAGAGGGACACAGCTGGTAGTGCCAATACAAAAGATCTTTGTCTTCCCATTCTTAGTCCACAGCTTTTTTCATGACACCAGCCTCTCCCTAAGATAAATATCTGTGAAGGATTAACTTTTTAAAATACACACATTCTAGCTAGGCACGGGGGCTCACTTCTGTAATCCCAGAACTTTGGGAGGCTGAAGCGGATGTATCACCTGAGATCAGGAGTTTGAGACCAGCCTGGCCAACATGGTGAAACCCGTCTCTACTAAAAATACAAAAATTAGCCAGGCGTGGTGGCATGCACCTGTAATCCCAGCTACATGGGAGGCTGAGGCAGGAGAATCGCTTGAACCCGGGAGGTGGAGATTGCAGTGAGCCAAGATGGTGCCAACTGCACTCCAGCCTGGGCAACAGAGCAAGATGCCATCTCAAAAAAAAAAAAAAAAAACCATTCTTAAAAATAAAGACACTTAGAGAGGAATCTAAAACACACTGGTTCTATTTTTAACTTCACCAATGCTAAAACAGCGGGTGGATTTTTTTTTTTTTTGAAAAAGAAAAGGGAACAAATTTCACATAGGAGAATAGTTTTTGAAATCTTTGCACAACAGGGTGGCTATAGTAAATAATGATGTATTTATTTGCAAAGAGAAGACAGAGATAACAATAGCAATAATAATAATGTATTTCAAACAATTAAGAGTAAATTTCAAATGCCTCACCACAAAATATAAGTAAGCAAAGTAAGGTGATAGTATGTTAATTAGCATGATTTAATCATACTACATTACACACATATATATAAACATTACGTTGTACCCTATGTGTACAATTATGATTTTTGAATTAATATTAGAGTGGGGAGAACAATAATGATTAATTTTTACTTCTTCAGTAAGATTACAATGAAAATGTAGAGAGCACTACCATCATAGTAACTACACGATAGGCCACTTTAAATAAAAGGTATCTTTTACAAAATTTTTAGTCAATAAATTGATTACCACATACTTACGACCTATTTGCTATTAAGTGTAAGTTAATTTATAATTTTAGTATTCTCAAAAAAGGAACATATTAAAATCCTATCAATATTTCAAATAATGACAGAATTAATCATTTTTAATAGAATCCTTACTCAGGTCCTTCAAAAACAATATAAACTACGACTTCAGGTTGATTCCTTTAAATCTGACTAATGAATAAATGTTAAATCTCAAATTTCATAGTCCCAGTGCTGGAAAACCTATATTTTTATTTTTCTTCACGTTTATACAACGTTCGGACAGGCAAGAAATGTAATCAACCTTTTTAGGAAAGAATCCCAGGATTTGTTTTCTTTTCAATTAAATATATATGAATTCTGGGTGATATTGGTGATCATCTCTGGATCTTTTTACTCATCTAATGAGAAAAGGGTCTCATTATACAAAGAGGATAGTCAAAAAGCCTAATGATTTCCTCACATAAGTAGGTTTTTCTGTCTGGCAAATCTGAAGAAGTCAACGTAGAATCTGTCATTAATGCATTGAATCTGAACTTCCACTATTAAAATCAAATTAGGGCCTGGAAATTAAGTGTTAACACTTCAGACAAGAAATTCCAGGGTTTGTATCATCAGGAATATAAACCAGGGACACCCTCAAGAGGCTGAAGAGCAAGAGTCATGCACTGCTTCAGAGAATTAAATACTCCAAGATGAAAGTTAAAATTTCAAACACACGTATCACACATATACATCTTTTAACATCAGGTTGAAATGCTAAAGGGAACAGAGTAAAGGTACGTTTTTAATTAATAAATTTAAATGAGAGAAAACTTTAAATTCAAAGAGCTTCAGTAAAAAAAAAAAGAAAATGTTAGCAATGTTATCAAATGTGGACGAAAAGCTAATATATGTCACTATGTAATCCAAGACATATTCATTAGTGGAGCCTTTTTTCTAGGCTATTAATATATTAGATGCCATCCAAAAACAAATATCTAGTAAATATTAAGTTTAACAACTTCTTAAAAACCTGTAGGTTCCCAAAGACATATACATGTATGTGCAGTGAGGCCACTGCTAAGCCTCTAATAATATTCTTGTAGACTACTAAAGTTCTCTATGATGATAAAAAGGGTAATAAAAAAAAAATCTAGTGTCTCCCCTTAATAAACAAAGAATGAGCATAACTTAGGAAGTTCGGTAACAAAAACAATCTATAATTCTGGTACCAGAAATCCCTCTGAGGCTGGGCGAGGTGGTTTACGCCTGTAATCCCAGCACTTCGGGAAGCCAAGGCAGGGGGCATCACCTGAGGTCGGGAGATGAAGAACATCCTGGCTAACACAGTGAAACCCTGTCTCTACTAAAAATACAAAAAATTAGCCAGGCGAGTGGCACATGTCTGTAATCCCAGCTACTCAGGAGGCCGAGGCAGGAGAATCACTTGAACCCAGGAGGTAGAGGTTGCGTGAGCCTAGATCGTGCCCTTGCACTCCAGCCTGGGCAACAAGAGCAAAACTCCATCTCAAAAAAAAAAAAGCAACAAGTCCCTCTGAAAAAAGTTTTAAATAATAAACAAAAAAAGTCTATAATAGGTTTTTAAATAACCATAAAGTCCTACACATATTATATGAAAACCAACATAATAATAACATGAATATGAATATCAACAGGATATCCAATTCCTTTTTTGAAAAGGTCCGAAAATTAATATGAAAGAAGTAATTCAGTATGTTTAGAAATCTGTTGATTCTAGGCCAGGTGTGGTGGCTCACGCCTGTAATCCCAGGACTTTGGGATTTACAAAATGGGATTTCCTCCTCACCTAAGGTCAGGAGTTCAAGACCAGCCTGGCCAAGACGGTGAAACCCCATCTCTACTAAAAACTACAAAAATTAGCCAGGCGTGGTGGCAATCGCCTGTAATCCCAGCTACTCAGGAGGCTGAGGTAGGAGAATCACTTGAACCCAGGCGGCAGAGTTTGCAGTGAGCCAAGATCTCACCACTGCACTCCAGCCTGGATGACAAATAAAATAAAATAAAGAAATCTGTTGATTCTGGAATATTTGTGTTTCATTCCCCAATCAGCAGGCACGCAACTGACAAGAAGTGTGTTTCCCCAGGCATTCTAATGGGATGCCAGAAGGCTCAACCCAGTGCTTAAATTTTTAGTGATTACATTGCTTAAATAATGTAGACAGATACAATAGACCCAAGATAAGTCAATGTGTAAAAAGACTTTAAATATGTGCACAAGGTATTTTTCAAGATGGATAAAACATATGAATCTTAAATTACCATATTTTTTTTTTTTTTTTTCTGAGACGGAGTTTTTTTTCCTCTTGTTGCCCAGGCTGGAGTGCAATGGCATCATCTCCACTCACTGCAACGGCATCATCTCCACTCACTGCAACCTCCGCCTCCCAAGTTCAAGCAATTCTCCTGCCTCAGCCTCCTGAATAGCTGGGACTACAGGTGTGTGCCACCATGCCCAGCTAATTTTTGTATATTTTTTAGTCGAGATGGGGTTTCACCATGTTGGCCAGGATGGTCTTGATCCCTTGACCTCATGATCCGCCCACCTCGGCCTCCCAAATTGCTGAGATTACAGGTGTGAGCCACTGCACGTGGCCAAATTACCGTATTCTTTCTTCTGTAAAAAGATCTGGCCACTCCAGTCCATTACAATACTGTCCTTTTGAGCCTGCTCAGTTTGTTTAAGCCCTGCCTCAGGCTAACAGGGCTGCCATAAGAGGAACGCTTTCCCCAAAAACACATCCTACAAGAACAGTGTTGTAATCTCTGGAGTTAACACTAACTATAAAAACACAAACTTGCAGGATCTCATTTTCATGTATTTACTTGAGGAAGACACAAATATAGAGTGGATGCTATTTATTGATGCACTTAGTAGGAAAGAAGGGGATAGCAAAAGTAACAATTTTACCAGATCCATGCACATATGCAGGTTGTATTTTACTGGAGATGGCACACATAAAAATTCCAGATAGTGGTAAGGATATGAAAAAAACGTGGCAGGAATGGGTGTCATAGTGAAAAAGTCACTGCATATCTGTACCTTGACTGAGGTCATGGTTACACAGGTGTATAGATTTGTCAAAATTTACTGAATTTAAGACCTATACAGGCCAGGCGTGGTGGCTCACGCCTGTAATCCCAGCACTTTGGGAGGCCGAGGCAGGTGGATCACCTGAGGTCAGGAGTTCAAGACCAGCCTGGCCAACATGGTGAAACCCCATCTCTACTAAAAGTACAAAAACCAGCCAGGCGTGGTGGCAGGCATCTGTAATCCCAGCTACTCAGGTGGCTGAGGCAGAAGAATCACTTGAACCCGGGAGGCAGAGGTTGCAGTGAGCCGTGATCACACCATTGCACTCCAGCCTGGGGGATAAGAGCGACACTTCGTCTCAAAAAAAAAAAAAAAAAAAACCAGAAAAAAAAAAAAAACCACCACCACTTATACATACATAAATTTTATCTCAAAGAAGCACCACAATAGAATTCAAAAGAGAATTCAATCTAAAAAGGAAAAGTACACTTGATTAATACAAGATGGAAAAGAATAACATTATAGGCCAGGCACGGTGGCTCACGCCTGTAATCCCAGCACTTTGGGAGGCCAAGGTGGGCGGATCACGAGGTCAGGAGATCGAGACCATCCTGGCTAACATAGTGAAACCCCGTCTCTACCAAAAATACAAAAAATTAGCTGGGCGAGGTGGCGGGCGCCTGTAGTCCCAGCTACTCGGGAGGCTGAGGCAGGAGAATGGCGTGAACCCCGGGGGGTGGAGCCTGCAGTGAGCCGAGATCCTGCCACTGCACTCCAGCGTGGGCGACGGTGAGACTCCATCTCAAAAAAAAAAAAAAAAAAAAAAAGAATAACGTTATAAAACCAAGTATCTCTGCATGAGCAAACTCCACAAGAATTTAGTAAGTTATACTCTACATTAAAAAACACACACAAAAAAAAACACAGAATAAGGGAGCATTTCCCATACATATGAAACCACAAATTTCTGTACTCTTTACTGTTAGGCCTCTATACAAGGGGAAGTATGTTTCATTTTATAGTTCCAAAAATAAAATGGGCTCTGAAAAACTTCAAGATAGTCAAAGACAGGTAACCAAAATAATGACAACATGAAAAGATAACAAACAGCTCCTCTGAATCATCAAGGGTGGTCCAATGAAAGGAGCCTCAGGGATTTGTTTTAGGCGATTAGGATAAGGAACAAGAGTCAGGTAACAAAGGCAGAAAATCCTAAAGAATTGTAACAATTCAATGTTCCCAAAAGACACCATGGACCACACTCCATTTTATATGACACTTATATGACATTCCATACATGTGTCTAACATGAAGATTGAGCAGATAAAAAGTATCACTTTAGTAATCATCCTCAATCAACACCAGATAACAAATGAGGGGCTTTTGCTTATGGAAATTCTCACATATTGAGCTGAACACTTTTACCTTAATTAATTAATTTATTTATTTATTTATTTTTTGAGACAGAGTTTCGCTCCTGTTGCCCAGGCTGGAGTACAATGGCCCGATCTCGGCTCACCACAACCTCCATCTCCCAGGTTCAAGTGATTCTCCTGCCTCAGCCTCCCAAGTAGCTGGGATTACAGGCATATGCCACCATGCCCGGCTAATTATTGTATTTTTAGTAGACATGGGGTTTCTCCATGCTGGTCAGGCTGGTCTCTCCCGACCTCAGATGATCCACCCACCTTGCCCTCCCAAAGTGCTGGGATTACAGGTATGAGCCACCATACATACACAGCCTTATCTTAAATTGTTAAATATAAACATAATACTCAGGTCCTTAGCAGCCCCTTCTCTATATTGTTCCAATTAACTGCCTCCCACTGCGATTTCTCTTGCACATGCATGCACGCACTCTAACACACACACTCCATTTTTTTTTCAGATGGAGTCTTGCTCTTGTTGCCCAAGCTGGAGTGCAACGGCGCAATTTCAGTTCACCACAACCTTGGCCTCCTAGGTTCCAGCAATTCTCCTGCCTCAGCCTCCCGAGTAGCTGGGAATACAGGCATGCACCACCACACTCGACTAATTTTGTATTTTTAGTAGAGACGGGGTTTCTCCATGTTGGTCAGGCTAGTCTCGAACTCCCCACCTCAGGAGATCCACCCACTTCAGCCTCCCAAACTGCTGGGATTACAGGCATGAGCCACCACGCCCAGCCCACACACTTTTTCAAGAAGCAACTAGATTTAATCTTCCTAAATTGTGCCACTCTCCCGCAGCTAATATGATTCCCTAAAGTCACTCCAAATACACTTGAACTGGGCCAGGGTGGTGGCTCACGCCTGTAATCCCAGCACTTTGGGAGGCTGGGATGGGTGGATCACCTGAGGTCATGAGTTCAAGACAAGCCTGACCAACATGGTGAAACCCCGTCTCTAGTAAATACAAAAGATTAGCCGGGTGTGGTGGTGCGTGCCTGTAATCCCTAGAGCTACTTGGGAGGCTGAGGAAGGAGAACTGCTTGAACCCGGGAGGCGGAGGTTGCAGTGAGCCAAAATGGCACCATTGTGCTCCAGCCTGGGCAACAAGAGCAAAAACTCCGTCTCCAAAAACAAACAAACAAACAAACAAAGAAAAAAACACTTGAACTATGATTCAAGGCCTACAATAGGGTTCCCAACCCAGTGCTTCAGCTTCACCTCTTATTTGTATTACTCCTCAGAAGTACCCAATTTCTCTACACACTGACAATTTGCACCTGGTCTTATCCTAATTTTCTTCTATTTTGGGGGGGATTCTCCCCCAAATTCACAGTGAAAATTGTACAGACCAATTCCATCACCCTACCGCTCCATACTTAACTGTATAGCTTTCCCTCCTCTGACCCTCCAGGTTTTTGTTTTTGTTTTTGAGACAGTCTCACTCTGTCACCCAGACTGGAGTGCAATGGCATGATCTTGGCTCACTGCAACCTTCACCTCCTGGGTTCAAGCGATTCTCCTGCCTCAGCCTCCCAAGTAGCTGGGATTACAGGCACCCACCACTGCATCCAGCTAATTTTTGTATTTTTAGTAGAGACGGGGTTTCACCATGTTGGCCTGTAACCCCAGCACTTTGGGAGGTCAAGGCGGGCAGATCACCTGAGGTCAGGAGTTCAAGACCAGCCTGGCCAACCTGGCGAAACCCTGTCAATCATGCCACTGCACTCCAGCCTAAGTGACAGAGCAAGACTGTCTCAAAAAAAAAGAAAGGAAGGAAGGTATACTGAGAATTGTATCACAAAATCCACATGCTCTCCCCTTTACAAAGCCCTTTACTTTTCTCCCATAATAACTTATAGCCTCCTTGAAGACAGTGGTTTTACAAGTCATAAAAATCCTGGCCGTGGCCCAGTGCAGTAGCTTATGCCTGTAATCCCAGCACTTTGGGAGGCCAAGACAGGCATATCACTTGAGGTCAGAAGTTCGAGACCAGCCTGGTCGACATGGTGAAACCCCATCTCTACTAAAAATACAAAAATTAGCCAGGGGTAGTGGCACATGCCTGTAATCCCAGCTACTCGGGAGGCTGAGGTAGGAGAATCGCTTGAACCCAGGAGGCCGAGGTTGCAGTGAGCCAAGACTGCACCAGTGCATTTCAGCCTGGGCAACACAGTGAGACCCCATCTCTAAAAAAAAAATTTATGACCGGGCACGGTGGCTCATGCCTGTAATCCCAGCACTTTGGGAGGCTGAGGCGGGCGGATCATGACATCAGAAGATCAAGACCATCCTGGCTAACACGGTGAAACCCCATCTCTACTAAAAATACAAAAAATTAGCCAGGCATCATAGCGGGCACCTGCAATCCCAGCTACTCAGGAGGATGAGGCAGGAGAATGGCGTGAACCCGGGAAGCAGAGCTGGCAGTGAGCCGAGATTGCGCCACTGCACTCTAGCCTGGGCAACAGAGCAACACTCCGTCTCAAAAAAAAAAATGTGTGTGTGTGTGTGTATATATACACACACACACACACACACACACACACACACACACACACACAATCTCCCTAGAAGCATCAATATTTACTGAATTAGAGTATTTCATTACCTGTTATAAAAAACAAACAAACCTTCCATTATACTAATTTGTAAAGGAATCAAAACAAAAGGGGTTGGGGGGGTCCAGGCACGGTGTCTCACTCCTGTAATCCCAGCACTCTGAGAAGCCGAGGTGGGAACCTGAGGTCAGGAGTTCGGGACCAGCCTGGCCAACATGGCGAAACCCTGTCTCTAATACAAAAATTAGCCGGGCCTGGTGACATGCACCTGTAGTCCCAGCTACTCGGGAGGCTGAGGCACGTGAATCACTTAAACCCAGGAGGTGGAGGTTGTACTGAGCCAAGATCGTGCCACTGCACTCCAGCCTGGGAGACAGAGTAAAACTATGTCTTAAAAAAAAAGGCCGGGTGCAGTGGCACACACCTGTAATCCCAGCACTTTGGGAGGCCGAGGCAGGTGGATCACCTGAGGTCAGGAGTTCACGACCAGCCTGACTAACATGGTGAAACCCCGTCTCTACTAAATATAAAAAAGTTAGCCGGGTGTGGTGGCACATGCCGGTAATCTGATCTACTTAGGAGGCTGAGACAGGAAAATCGCTTGTACCTGGGAGGTGGAGGTTGCAGTGAGCCGAGATTGCACCATTGCACTCCAGCCTGGACAACAAGAGCAAAACTCCGTCTCAAAAAAAAAAAAAAAAAAGTTGGGGTGAGGTGAAGGTTCAACTTAAAGATACAATTACTAAGTGTTTCATAAGGAATGACTTATTTCATAATGGAGTAGGAGTTTGACACCAGCATGGGCAACATGGGGAGGCCCCATCTCTACAAAAAAATAAAAATAAAAAATTAGCGTGCCAAGCATGGTGGGTCACACCTGTAATCCCAGCACTTTGGGAGGCCAAGGAGGAAGGATCACTTGAGCCTAGGTATTCAAGACCAGCCCAGGCAGCATGGCAAAACCCCATCTCTACAAAAAACAAAAAAAAATAAAGTAGCTGGGGGTGGTGACATGCACGTGTGGTCCCAGCTATTGGGAGGGTGAGGTAGGAGGACTTACTGAGCCTGGGAGGTGGAGGCTGCAGTGAGCTGAGATGGTTCCACTGCACTCCAACCTGAGCAATGGAGTAAGACTCTGTTTCAGAAAAAGAGAGAGGAAGCCAGGCATGGTGGCTCACGTCTGTAATCCCAGCACTTTGGGAGGCCGAAGCCGGTGGATCACCTGAGGTCAGCAGTTCAAGACCAGCCTGGCCAACATGGTGAAATCCCATCTCCACTAAAAACACAAAAATTAGCCGGGCATAGTGGCATGTACCTGTATTCCCAGCTACTTGGGAGGCTGAGACAGGAGAATCACTTGAACCAGGAGGTGGAGGTTACAAGTGAGCTGAGATTGTGCCACTATACTCCAGCCTGGGCGACAAAGTAAAACTCTGTCTCAAAAAAAAAAAAAAAAAAGAGAGAGAGAGAGAGGAAAAATAAATAAATTAGCCTGGGACTAATTTATTAGTGGTGTGGTGGTATGCACCTGTGGTCCCAGCTACTCAGGAGGCTAAGGCGGGAGGATTCCCAGAGGAAGTCAAGGCTGCAGTGAGCAGTGATTGCACCACTGCACTCCAGCCTGGACAACAGAGCAAGAGCATATCTCAAAACAGAGGAAAGAAAAGAAAAGAAAAACATAAAAACAAACGTTCCTTTAGTTTTATTTTTCATTTTTATTTTTTAGTTTATTATGGCTGTTTTACTCTCCCCTCAAGTAAAATAGCCATACACAATTTGCTGAAATTTTCCTTAGTGTACTTTGAAATCCGTGGAACAGAACTGGAAATCACTGAATTCTATTTGACTCTAGTTCCATTTAATATTAGACTGGTGTGAAAGTAATTGCGGTTTTTGCCAAAACCGCAATTACTTTTGCACCCACCTAATAGGTATAAAATATGTAACTTCACTTAATTTTATCCTTTATGTATTTCCCCGTATTATGTACCTATGGACATCAAACTTAGTACAGACTGATAAAAGGCTGAATAGACAACTCTGGTTTCAAAAATCCAGCTTCTCACAACATCAGACATACTAGTATACAGCTTTTCTAATTTCACAACACATTTCCATTTCTTGGTCTTTCACAACAGAGAAGATGTGTGTACTTTTGAATACTTTAATCTGTCTACAATCTACCAAAATTGGAAGGTCTTTTTATTATACAGTTTCATCCTTTTAGAAGTATAGAAAGATCCTAAGTTTGGGCACAGTAAGACACTCAATATAGATCTACTACTAAACAAGTAAGACCAATTACACAATTAATGTCCTAAAACCCCGAGTGGAGAAGTAAAATCTACTTGTTTTCTGTTGACTTGAATGCCTTCTCTTCTTTGTTGAATTAATCAATCTATTTGACTCCAATGTCAAATTAATCAGTCACTTTAGAATATTAAAATGTACAATTATGAATTACACATTTAATTTTAAAACACATCATTCTGATCTCTGTCTTGATTGATACTAGAAGATTATCTTCCAAACTAAGGTGGAAAAAATGACAGACTTTAGCTATTGGCAATGATAGGTCATTTTTTTAGGGAAGAGGAGTAAAGAGGGCAACCTCCATAGGTCAGATATCCCTTTGTTCTAAGAAGCCACCACCCCTGTTTCTTCATATGAAAAAAACCAGAGGCATCCAGTGGTTCCCAAAACCTTCTCAACTTTACGCTTGAGGAACCCATAGATTTCAAATAATACAACTGACCTAAGACCACTCATTTGTTTAACCATTCTTTGAGAAGGAGTCTTGCTCTGTTGCCCAGGCTGGAGTGCAGTGGTGTGATGTCGCTCAGGACAACCTCCGCCTCTCAGGTTCAAGTGATTCTCCTGCCTCAGCCTCCCGAGTAACTGGGATTACAGGCATGCACCACCATATCCCGCTAATTTATTTATTTATTTATTTATTTTAGTAGAGACGGGGTTTCACCATGTCAGTTGGCCAGGCTGGTCTCGAATTCCTGACCTCGGGTGATCCACCCACCTCAGCCTCCCAAAGTGCTGGGATTACAGGTGTGAGCCACTGCCCCCGGCCTGCTTAACCATTCTTAAATGTCGGGTGCGGTGGCTCACACCTGTAATCTCAACACTTTGGGAGACTGAAGGTGGGCAGACTGTTTGAGTTCAGGGGTTCAAGACCAGCCTGGGCAACGTGGTGAAAACCCCATCTCTACAAAAAATACAAAAATGAGCCGGGCTGTTGGCAAGCGCCTGTAGCCCCAGCTACTTGTGGATGCTGAGGCAGGAGGCTTGAGCCTGGGAGGTCGAGACTGCAGTAAGCCAAGTATCTGTGCCACTGCACTCCAGCCTGGGTGACACAGCAAGACCCTGTTCTCAAAAAAATTTACAGAAGAGTTGACTGGGAGCACAGTGAATGAAAAGGAAGACTATAAGCCAGTGCCATATAAATGCTTACTGTTGGAGGTATGCTTCTATGGAACACGGGTTTGCTCTCTTGCCATAAGACATTCACGTATACAGCCACCTGCAACACTTCCTGTCAGTATGTGTGAAGTATCATGTGTGGTCAAAATGGACTCAACAGTCATTTTCCACACCAACTGGCAAACTAACACTAAAAGAAATCAACAAGTGTTGCTTTTTCAAAAGCCTAAATCGGCTGAGTGCGGTGACTTACACCTGTAATCCCAGCACTTCGGGAGGCCAAAGCAGGCGGATCACCTGAGTCAGGAGTCCAAGAACAGGCTGGCCAACATGGTGGAATCCCGTCTCTACTAAAAATACAAAAATTAGCTGGACGCCTGTAATCCCAGCTACTCAGGAGGCTGAGGCAGGAGAATTTTTCCTTGTAACCGGGAGGCAGAGGCTGCAGTGAGTCGAGATGACACCACTGCACTCCAGCCTGGGAGACAGAGCAAGACTCCATCTCAGGAAGGAAAAAAAAAAGGCCTACATCAAGGAAAACAGAACCAAAACACCAGGGACAAAATGGTACATAAGAGGCAAAAAAAAATTAATCAAAATTATTCAGATGAACCATAATAAATGTGCCTGCATCTGAAGATGTTCTAAACCTTCATTTAAGCAAGAAGCAAGATCAAGATCCGTTCTGTCAGTTACCTGGAGTCTGTCGTCTTTCTGAATAGGGGACAGAATCACCTCAAATTTAACTAATAAAAATTTATGACTTGGCAAACACCCCAGGTATTTTTATTGACTAACAAATCAGCTATGACAATCTTAGCAACAAATCAAGTTATGCTATGGGGTATGTCCACACTTCCCTGTTCCCTCTACAACAGGAGAAAATCAAATCTTTCCAACATCCTAACAAACTGTTACTCCCTATAACCAAATGTATATCACAGTATCGTCTACCAAGGCGTTACATCCTGAAACTTTCTTACAAAAAGCACAGCTTCAAAGAAACCTTGTAAGCTTTCTTGTAAGCTCCTCCCTTCCCCCATCGCCCCTCCCCAGAGCCAAGAAATAAAGCACTTGAAAGAAACAACATGGATAATATTTATTAATAGCTCATGTACATATTCCATAACTACATAAGCCATTTGGCTTCATACCTGTCAGCAATGAAGTCAGCTGGCCCTAGCACGTGGCTGCGACTCTTCTCTATTTATTTAGAACTACCAACTACAATTTACACTTTTCCAAAAGCTGTAGGACTATTTGGGAAGGGCACTTTATTCTTCTAAAAGGTTACTAAATTCTCTTATATACTTATACTGATCACAATACTGAAAAATAATAGAAAATCCATTGTCATTTATTTACCACCTAATTTGTTAGATGCCAGAAAATCAAATTTCACACATTTCAATAAAAAGGCAAAACTAAGCATGTCAATCATAGAAAAAAATACTTAATCAACTAATTTTATTTAAAGCACTCACAAACTCTTAAGTGGTACAAGACAAGTCAACGCTGTTTATCGAACAATATTTTTTTTTTTACGACTAAACATCTCAATTCTAGACTCAGGCACTAATTATTAAAGTCATCTAGTTATATACACCAATTCTCAACAGACACAGTATTTGGAAAGGCATATTAAATAGACTAAGATGTGTACCACCTATTAGCCAAAGATAATTTTATTGATTTTTCTAACGAGTCTTCAAATGTTACATTCTAACATCTTAGCAAATTATTTCCAAATACTGCTGGAATTACATGTAACTATCAGGAAACAAAAGGGCTTCCCAACAACTTGCGCGTTCTACATTATTTGGCCAGTTTCTGGACAATTATAACAATTGTGCTCCAAAGTAGGAGAGTTCCATGAATCAATTACCCCTAAAATATATTTCTGTATATTTAAGGAGTTCTAAGCATTGGGTTAAATTCCAAACAGACTCTGAATACAAGCATTTATTAAGAGAGATTAGAATAAATCAGTCCTAAATTAGGCACAGCTGCCCTCCCATTGATCAAAAAGACAGGAAACTACATTTATTTAAAAAGTTAATGTTCCTAATATATTCAAATCTCACTAAGCCCCAAAACGGTCTGAGATCAAATCCTCCATAAATGAGGAAATTCTCTAGACTTCTAAGTGGGTGCCCAAAGAGTTCACTCAAGTGTCCAGGTATGAATTACGATTCACCAGAGTAACCGGCCTTGCACTTAGGGAAAACTTCCATCGCCCAAGACCAGCGTGGGTCGATCCCATCAACAGTCACACAATCTCATCTCATGCTCCACTAATGAATGTTCTGCCTAGAGTCAGAGCAATGCCTTAGCTGGAGTTTTGTTTTGTTTTTTTCAATATTAACACGTGGGGGTCACAGAAAGGAACAGAGGTTAGAAGAGCTCTCACGTGGCGGCTGAAAGAGTGGGGAACCGAGAAAGTGAATGAGTAACAGGGAGGGTCCTGGACTCTCAGCATCTCCCAACTCGGGGTCAGGGGGAGGCTGTAACTGGAATGCCCCCCACCCCCACCCCCGCCTCTTTCTCACCTCCTGGTCCCGACCCCAGGCCAGTGCCACCGCCGGGAGCCCCGGGTCTCGGCTCCAGCCCCGGGCTGAACAAGCAGGGAGGGGAGGCACTTAGGCCTCGCCTCCCCGCGGCCTTCCTCCCCCAGCCGGGGCGGAGGAGACCCAGGAAGCCGCGCCCGGCTCCGAGGGGTGGAGGGCCTAGGCCGCGCCTCCCAGCCCCGCGGCCCTAGGCCTCGGCCCGCCCGAGGCGGAGCCCGGGAGGTCGGGGCGGGGTCCCGGGCCGGTCACCCACCTGGGTTGCCAGTCATTCCAGCTCCGCGGATACTTGGTGCCGCCGCCGCCGCCGCCGCTGCTCAGCCGAGACCCCGGGGCTCTGCGGCTCATTACCTTCCCCGACACGACATGGCCAAGCGCCGCCGCCCAAAGAAGCGCGAGTCGCCGCCCGAACCGGCCGCCGCCGACACCCCGCTCCGGCCCGGGGCTGAGGAGGAAGCCGAGAAGGAGGAGGAGGAGGAGGAGGAGGAGAAGGAGGAGGCGGCGGAGGGCGGGGGAAGAGGACGGCCGTTCCGGGTTCCGCCTGAGCCCGCAGCGCAGGACGAGGAGGCGGGAGCGGCGCGGTGAGAGAGAGGCGGATGAAGGGGAGGCGACGTCTTTTCCAGGGCCGTGCGCGGCCCACGTCGCCGGGGCCCCGGAGGACGAGGACGACGAGGAGCAGGCGGTGGCGGCAGCTCCTCACGCTCACACGGCCACTGCTTCCCCGCCTCCCGGCTCCGCCCGCCGCGCCGCCGCTGTCGCACGGCATGCTGGGAGCGAGGGGCGGGGTTGGCGCCCGCCGGGCCTGGGGAGAGAGGCGGGTCCTGTCGGCGGGGCGGAGCCGAGAGAGGCGGGGTCGATAGCAGGCCGCCCCGCCCCCCACGTCCCCAGGCCCTTGGGCGGCGAAGAGGTCTGGGCGTAGCGGTGACGAATCCTAAGACAGGGGATCTCCACTACTGCGGCCACACACTTTTCTCCCAAACGCTTCCCGGAAAGCACCGGAGGGCCGGGCAGTCAGGTGTAAACAGGCGTCCAATCAAGGACCTGCGGTGTGGGTGGGGGCTGGTGCCCTGCGGTGCGCGCGCACACAGGCGTGCCCTTGGATTCACGTGCGCCAGTTTTCCCACTTTCTACGGGGTGGGGTGGAAAGTGAAAATAGTAAGATCGAGAGGTGGATATCCACCTTCCCAACCTCCACCTGAAATGTGCCCATCGAGTCCTGGCACCTTTTACCATTTCTTCACAATGAAAAAAACTAAACGATGGAAGGGAAGGGAGTACCCACGATCACCAAACCCTGTCCTCTGCAATGTGAAATGTGCTTTGAAGTCCTTTCACCCTGAGGCTTGCCCGCCTTCTGCTGGTGAAAGAAGCTGGGGGCTAGGCGCGGTGGATCACGCCTGTAATCCCAGCACTTTCGGAGGCCGAGGTGGGCGGATCGTCTGAGGTGAGGAGTTCCCGACCAGCCTAGCCAACATGGAGAAACCCCGCCTCTACTAAAAATACAAAAATTAGCCGGGCATGGTGGAGGGCGCCTGTAATCCCAGCTACTTGGGAGGCTGAGGCAGGGGAATCGCTTGAACCCAGCAGGCCGAGGTTGCAGTGAGCCGAGATCAGACCATTGCAGTCCAGCCTGGACAACAAGAGTGAAACTCTGTCTCAAAAAAATAAAAGAGAGAGAGAAAGGAGGGAGGGAAGAAAAAGGAAGGAAGGAAGGGAGGAAGGAAGGAAAGGAAAGGAAAGGAAAGGAAAAAAGAAAAGAAAGAGAGAAGGCCGGGCGTGGTGGATCACGTCTGTAATCCCAGCACTTTGGGAGGCCGAGGCGGGCGGATCACGAGGTCAGGAGATCGAGACCATCCTGGCTAACACGGTGAAACCCCGTCTCTACTAAAAATACAAAAAATTAGCCGGGCGTGGTGGCGGGTGCCTGTAGTCCCAGCTACTCCTGAGGCTGAGGCAGGAGAATGGCGTGAACCCGGGAAGCGGAGCTCACAGTGAGCAGAGATGGCTCCACTGCACTCCAGCGTGGGCGACAGAGCAAGACTCTGTCTCAAAAAGAAAAAAAAAACAAAGCAGCAGCTGGGTAGAGGAGACGTACCCGACCGTCTACCCCATGACGTGTCCCATGCCCCAGGGAAAAAAGTTCCCTAAAGCATCTGATGCATAACGTGAATGCACACACGTTTTTTAAAAGTTGGGCCAGGATGCTCCTTAAACGAGTGTCTAAACCGTATCTGCATAAGGAGTCATAACCTATCATTTTATGTTGCAAAGAAAACGTCTTTATATATCGCTTGTGCAAATAAATATTGTTACCAAAAGTACTTGAAGATTACGAGGAGTTGACCCCTTCACACACATGCATATCCCCTCCACCTTGGGCTCCTTGCTTATGGCCACCAATCCCTCACTAAGGGAGGATCCTGCCAGTTCTAAATGATGGGGACTACAAAAATTACAAAAATTAGCTGGCGTGGTAGCGCGTGCCTGTGGTCCCAGGAACTCAGGAGGGTGAGGCAGGAGGATGACTTGAGTCCAGCGGGTGGAGGCTGCAGTGACCTATGATCCCGCCACTGCACTCCAGCCTGGGCTGCGGAGGGTAGGGAGGGAGGGAGGGAGGAGAAGAAAAAGAAAAGGAGGGGCACCATGGATGGCTGACTCCTGTAATCCCAGCACTTTGGGAGGCCGAGGTGGGTGGATCATTTGAGGTCAGGAGACCAGCCTGACAAACATGGTGAAACCCCATCTCTACAAAAAAATACAAAAATTAGCCAGGCATGGTGGCGCACGCCTGTAGTCCCAGCTATTCGGGGAAGCTGAGGCATGAGGATTGCTTGAACCCGGGAGCCAGAGGTTGCAGTGAGCCGAGATCATGCCACTGAACTCCAGCCTGGGTGACAGAGCAAGACTGTCTCCAAAAAAAAAAAAATCATTTAGGTGAAGTGATTCATGCCTGTAATTCCAGTGATGGGAGGCTGAGACTGGAAGATCCTTGAGCCTGGGAGTTATAGGCCAGCCTGAGCAACATAGTGAGACCCCCATCTCTACAAAAATTATTAAAATTTTTTTTCAGACACAGTTTCACTCTTGTGGCCCAGGCTGGAGTGCAATGGTGCGATCTCAGCTCACTGCAACCTCTGCCTTCCAGGTTCAAGCGAGTCTCCTGCCTTAGCCTCCCAAGTAGCTAAGATTACAGGCACATGCCACCATGCCCGGCTAATTTTGTGTAAAAATTTAAAATTTTTTTACATTAGACAAGTTAGAAATTGCTTGAGCAACTGGACACAATCTCTGGTACTACCTTTCTTTTTCTTTTTAATTTTTTTATTTTATTTTTATTATTTTTTGAGATGGAGTCTCATTCTGTTGCCCAGGCTAGAGTGCAGTGGCACAGTCTCGGCTCACTGCAAGCTCTGCCTCCCGGGTTCAAGCCATTCTCCCGCCTCAGCCTCCCGAGTAGCTGGGATTACAGGCGCCCGCCACCAAGCCCGGCTAATTTTGTTTTTTATATTTTTAGTGGAGACGGGGTTTCACCGTGTTAGGCAGGATGGTCTCAATCTCCTGACCTCGTGATCCGCCCGCCTCGGCCTCCCAAAGTGATGGGATTACAGGCGTGAGCCACCGCGCCTGGCCCTCTTTTTCTTTATTGGTCAAAATATTATCCATCTAGGCATATGGATATGGAGGCATGCCTGTGATCCCAATTACTTGGGAGGCTGAGGTGGGAGAATCGCTTGAGCCCACGAGTTTCAGGCTGTGGTGAGCCATAATGGTGCCGCTGCACTCCAGCCTGGGCAACAGGATGAGACCATTTCTTAAGGGGACGGAAAAAATCACTCTGGCTGTGGCAGATTTCCTTAGGATAGATTCCGAGAAGTGGAGTTATTGGGGAAAAGGCTGTTAATGATTTTAAGTCTTTGGATACAGACTGTTAAGTTGCTTTCCAGAAGTTTCTGCCAATGATAGTCTGATACTTTCTGTGTCCTCACACCACCCTTTGTCAACACTGAGTGTTTTTGAGGGTTAATTATTTCTATGAGAGAAGTTAAAAAAAAAAAGACAACAGAGAAATTGCTTCAGGTGGGGCATGGTGGCTCACGCCTGTAATCCCAGCACTTTGGGAGGCTGAGATGAGAGAATCACTTAAGCCTAGGAGGTGGAGGTTGCAGTGAGCCTAGATCGTGCCACTACACTCCAGCCTGGGCAACAGAGTGAGACTCCATTTCAATAAAATTAATCAAATGAATCAAACGTGAGCAACTCTCATAACTTCCAACATTTTTTTCTTCTTCCTGTTGGTGGTTCTGCCTCTCTGGTTCCATTAGGATTTCCCTACTCCATTTCAGTCATGGGAGCCGAGTTTCTGTTCCTGAAACACACCAAGCCTTTCTGGCCTCTGGATTTTTGTACTTGCTGTTCCCGCCATCTGGAATGCCTTCCCTGCATTTGTTCCCATCAGGGTTGGGACTAGCAACGTGACAGGTGATGGAGTTGCTGAGGGTGCAAAATTTAAGGAGGCACCTACTCCCAGGGTCATGCAAAAGCCAACTTTGCATTTGCACAATCCTGTGAGTAAGTCCCTCCTTAAATTTGAGGCTCTGCCGTAATCCCAGCTACTCAGGAGGCTGGGGCAGGAGAATTGCTTGAACCTGGGAGGCAGAGGTTGCAGTAGGCTGAGATCCTGCCATTGCACTCCAGCCTGGGCAACAGGGCGAGAATCCATCTAAAAAAAAAAATGAGGCTCTAGGCACCACATTTGCCCTACTCTGGCCCCTGCCCTGATTTTCCTGGCCTGTCTCATCTCCAGACAGGTTTCTTTGACGTCCCTTGCCCATAAAAGCTGGCCAGTGCCCTTTCCAGGTACTCTGTCACATACCCTATTTCTTTCCTTGGTAGTACCCAGCACCATCTGCAAGTATTGGGTTTCTTTGCATATTTAGCATCGGTCCAACCCTTAGGATATCAGCTTTGCAAGAGCAAAGGTCACATCTATCTCAGCCTACCTCCTCCATACTCAGCACACAGCACAGCACCTGACCATAGGAAGCACTCAAGAAATGGGAGGAATGAAATGGAAATTATCTAAAATAAGGATCAAGATTGATACAGAAGTATTCATCTCAGTTTTACTTATTAATAGCAAAACAAAAACAAAACACCTGGAAATTATACTAATGCTCAACAATAGGAAACTGATTAGGATGCAGTACATTCAGAGCTGAAATTTTCTGCAGCCATTACAAATTACATTTGTGAAGTTTTGTTTTTTTTTTTTTTTTTTTTGAGACAGAGTTTTGCTCTTGTTGCCCAGGCTGGAGGGCAATGTCTCGATCTCGGCTCACTGCAACCTCCACCTCCCGGGTTCAAGCGATTCTCCTGCCTCAGCTTCCCGAGTAGCTGGTATTACAGGCGTCTGCCACCATGCCCAGCTAATTTTTGTATTTTTAGTAGAGACAGGGTTTCACCATGCTGGGCAGGTTGGTCTCAAACTCCCGACCTCAGGTGATCCGCCCGCCTCCGCCTCCCAAAGTGCTGGGATTACAGGTGTAAGCCACTGTGCCCGGCCTAAAACAAAAATTTACAAAGCTAAAAGTAAGCATTCAATAAATAGGTGTTGAATGAATGAACAGAGAATGAATACTCTTAGAGTGTGGCAGTGACTCAGACAGACCAACTGAGTAAACTTTAGCCAAGACATCAAGTCTTAGCTCTAAAAATAGTGACCAACTCTACCTAATGTTTATTGAGCATTTATTTTTTATTTTATTTTATTTTATTTTATTTTGAGATGGAGTCTTGCTCTGTCGCCCAAGCTGGAGTGTAGTAGCAACATCTCGGCTCACTGCAACCTCCGCCTCCCAGGTTCAAGCAATTCTCCTGCCTCAGCCTCCCGAGCAGCTGGGACTACAGGCATGTGCCACCATGCCCAGCTAATTTTTGTGTTTTTAGTAAAGACAGGATTTCGCCATGTTGGCCAGGCTGGTCTCGAACTCCTGACCTCAGGTCATCTGCCCACCTCAGCCTCCCAAAGTGCTGGGATTACAGGCATGAGCCACGGCACTCGGCCTTTATTGAGCATTTACTAATGCAAAACCACTCAGTCAAATGATCAATATGAGTTGTTACTTCAAGGAATTCCCCCAAACCAAGCTAAGGTAGGTTTCAATGTGGCATTTTACACTTTGGGGCTGTGATACCAAGAGAAGCTAGCTCCCTGCACAAGGTCACCCAGCTGGTAGCAGGCAGGGCCAGGAAGGGAATGTCACAGGCAGAGACAGAAGGGACATTTGGCCCCAACTCCACATTCGTCAAAGGCGTCAGATTTAGACCTTTGACGTGATCGCCTAGTGAAGTTAGACCCAGAGTCCCAGAGACACTCGAACAGGAAGGAAGTCTGAAGTTAACAAACTATGTCCATTACCAGCTCACACACCTGTAGAGGCTGTGCATGGCATTCATACTTCCTAATAAATTATATTATTACCTGGTGAACATGTAATTACATCGCTTCATAGTTTGTTTCCCCTTGTGTTAAAAGTGTTCAAAACATAAAAAGGAAACAAAATATAGTACAAATTGTGAATGCTCTTTGTTATTTCTTAAATTTTTGATACACTCAGAACCTCAAAAACTGTGAGTAACGTGATCCTGTCTTAACTCCTAAAAGATCTTCCAGTAAGGATTCGAACACAAACCAACCCCAGGGTCTTTCATCACCAGGATTTTCCTAGAAATCTTCCAAACTTCCTAGAGAGACACTGTACTGACATTTATTCTCTAAGTAAACAAAAGAGAATTCTCTCTTTTGTTTTCTTTTGACCCTATGTCTGGCCCAGGATTAACCCCTATTAGGCACCAAGAATTGAGGAACTTTATTCTCAACCAGGAGACTCAACTTACATGGGTGATTTTTAAAATGCAATCTTAAAAGCAAATCCACATCATAAAGACATTAAAGCAGATTTTTCAAAAAGAAAAACAGCAGCCTTCTTGTTCCTGCTCCCAGCTAGGAAATCTTTGTCACAGGTCAGGCTCCCTCAGTAAGGGCTATTTTTATAGCGATTTTTCAAGCTGGTGCAGGAGGAATTTGGCTGAGAAACCTCATGACACATTTGAAATCTCCACTTGGGCAGTCTCAGCTTGAGGCAGGGGCCAAAATTCTATGAATCAGGGCACAAGAAGTGCTGCCCAGTGGCTCGTGCATTCTTTCAACAATAAAATAGGAAGCCGGTGATGCTCATCTTAAGCTATTTGTAACTTTTAAATTGGAGAAAACAAGAAAGTGAAATTCCCTTATGTTTGGTCCTGAGCTGCCCAAGGACTGGCATGGTGATTTTAATGGAGCTAACTCCTTTGCTTTCCCTGATTAATCCATTATTAGGAATATATGTAAATAAAATGCAAACTTATGTAAATAAAATCTCCCAACAGCAAGTTACTGCCCTCTATTGTTTATACAGTTATCATTTAACATGCTGGACGCAGTGGCTCATGCCTGTAATCCCAGCACTTTGGGAGGCTGAGGTGGGTGGCTCACCTGAGGTCAGGAGTTCAAGACCAGCCTGGCCAATATGGTGAAACCCAATCTCTACTAAAAATACAGTCTTGGCTCACTGCAACCTCTGCCTCCTGGGTTCAAGCGATTCTCCTGCCTCAGCCTCCCGAGTAGCTGGGACTACAGGCGTGATCCACTGCGCCCAGCAAGTTTAACTCTAAAGAGTTAAAGAGACTACCAAATAAGGGAAGGATAAATATTTCACTTCAGAACTTCTAGTTGAAATAGGATCATTTAGCTTCTTTGGGACACTGCTATCTATGTCTTAGCTGAAATGATTTCTTCATCCCATACCAGGGAAGCAAATGGAGGCTTATTCCATAAAGTGTTTTGTGCTGTATAATTTGAAGGTCACACTGCTTGGCATAGTGTTTTCACCATCCCCCAGGCATACCACGTCTCAGAGGACCCTCCCTGCTGGTCCCTGGAAGAGGCTTCTCAGATAAAGCAGGACTTAAGGTAGTTTTTAGATGAAGGGGAGCAGATGGCTGAGTATTACATCACCTCAGGTAAAGGAAACAGGGATATGAAAATAATAGGATTGTAGAAAAATAATAGTCTAATCTCCAAATTATCAACAAGTATTGGGGAAGTGTTTACTCCCAGCAAACATCAGGGATGGAAGGGGACTAATAAAAGCCTGGCCCTGTACTACTCAATTTAAAAGCAGATACCATCTTTTTTACCTTTGTGTCAAACTAATAACAGCCACTTACTAAGAATTTTATTTTTATTTCTTTTCTTTCCTTTCTTTCTTTTCTTTCTTTCTTTCTTTTCTCTTTTTCTCTTTCTTCTTTTTTTGATGGAGTCTAGTCCGTCACCCAGACTGGAGTGCAGTGGCACGATCTCGGCTCATTGCAACCTCCACTTCCCGGGTTCAAGCAATTCTCCTGCCTCAGCCTCCCGAGTAGCTGGGGTTACAGGTGCCTGCCGCCATACCCGGCTAATTTTGCATTTTTAGTAGAGATGGGGTTTCACTATGTTGGTCAGGTTGGTCTCGCACTCCTGACCTCAGGTGATCCACCCACCTCAGCCTCCCAAAGTGCTGGGATTACAGGCATGAGCCACTGTGCCCAGTCTCTCTCTTTTTCTTTCTTTCTTTTCTTTACTTTTTTATTTTATTTTTATTTTTTTTGAGACAGGGTCTTGCTCTATTACCCAGATTGAGTTGCAGTGCTGCAAACACAGCTCACTGCAGCTCAACCTCTTGGGCACAAGTGATTTTCTCACCTTAGCCTCCCAAGTAGCTGGGACTACAGGTGTATTCCACAACATACACTGGGCTAGTTGGATTTTTTTTTTTTTTGACGGAGTTTCACTCTTGTTACCCAGGAATGGAGTGAAATGGCGTGATCATGGCTCACTGCAACCTCTGCATCCAAGATTCAAGCAATTCTCCTGCCTCAGCCTTCCAAGTAGCTGGGATTACAGGCATGTGCCACCACACTGGCTACTTTGTATTTTAGTAGAGACAGGGTTTCTCCATGTTGGCCAGGCTAGTCTCGAACTCCTGACCTCAGGTGATCCAGTCACCTCGGTCTCCCAAAGTGCTGGGATTACAGGTGTGAGCCACCATGTCCAGCCTTTTTATTTTATTTATTAATTTTTTTTTTGAGACAGAGTCTCACTCTGTCGCCCAGGCTGGAGTGCAGTGGCACGATTTCAGCTCACTACAACCTCCACCTCCCGGGTTCAAGCGATTCTTCTGCCACAGCCTCCTGAGTAGCTGAGATTACAGGCACTTGCCACCATGCCCGGCTAATTTTTTGTATTTTTAGAAGAGAAAGGGTTTCACCATGTTGGCCAGGCTGGTCTCCATCTTCTGACCTCGTGATCTGCCCGCCTCGGCCTCCCAAAGTGCTGGGATTACAGGCGTGAGCCACCCTGCCCGCCCAGAGATGGGGTCTTTCTATGTTGCCCAGACTGATCTTGAGCTCCATGCCTTAAGCAATCCCCCCACCTCCCACAGAGGAGCTGGAGACCAGCCTGACCAACATGGTGAAACCCCGTCTCTACAAAAATGCAAAAATTAGCCAGGCATGATGGCAGGTGCCTGTAATCCCAGCTACTTGGAAGGCTGAGGTGGGAGAATCGCCTGAACCCGGAAGGTGGAGGTTATTATGAGCTGAGATCATGCCACTGCAGTCCAGCCTGGATGACAGAGCAAGACTCCATCTCACACACACAAAAAAAAAAAAAAAAAAAGAAGAAGAAGAAAAAGAAGAGAAATACACCAGCTGGGCCTGGTAACACATGCCTGTAATCCCAGGACTCTGGGAGGCCAAGGTGAGTGATCACTTGAGTCCAGAATTTCAAGACCAACCTGGGCAACATGGAGAAACCCTGTCTCTACAAAAAAAAAAAAAAAAAAAAAAAAAAATTTAGCCATGCATGGTGGTACACACCTGTAGTCCCAGCTACTCAGGATGCTGAGGTGAGAGAATTGCTTGAGCCTAGGAGGTGGAGGTTGCAGTGAGCCAAAATTGCACCACTACACTCCAGCATGAGTGATAGAGTAAGACCCTATCTTAAAAATAATAATAATAAAGAAAAGAAATAGACTTATAGCTATCTATATATATGTTATGTAATGTTATATAGATATAGGAAAAGGCTGGAAGGATATTGTGACAGTTAATTTTAATGTGTCAAATTGACTGGGGCACAGGGTGCCCAGATATTTGGTTGAACAGTATTCTGGGTGTGTCTGTGAGGATATTTTTTTTTTCATTACTTTTTGAGACGGGGTCTTGCTTTGTCAGCCAGGCTGGAGTGCAGTGGTGCAATCATGGCTCACTGCAGCCTTGACCTCTCAGGCTCCAGTGAGCTTCCTCCCTCAGCCTCAGGTGTAGCTAGGACCACAGGTGTGTGCCACCATGCCCAGCTAATTTTTTAATTTTTTGTAGAGACAAGGTCTCACTATGTTGCCCAGGCTGGTCTCAAACTCCTGGGCTCAAGCGAGTCTACTCCTTCAGATTCACAAAGTGTTGGGATTACAAGGCATGAGCCACCACACCCAGTCTGTGAGGGTATTTTTGGATGAGATTAACTTTTATTTATTTATTTGTTTGTTTTTTAAACAGAGTCTCCCTCTGTTGCCCAGGCTGGAGTGCAGTGGCATGATCTCGGCTCACTGCAACCTCCGCCTCCCGGGTTCAAATAATTCTCCTGCCTCAGCCTCCAGAGTAGCTGGGATTACAGGTGCACACCACCATGCCTGGCTAATTTTTGTATTTTCAATAGAGATGGGGTTTCACCATATTGGCCAGGCTGGTCTGAAACTCATCTCACGTGATCTGCCCACCTCAGCCTCCCAAATTGCTGGGATTACAGGCGTGAGCCACCGCACCTGGCCAATTTTTGTGTTTTTTATAGAGATGGGGTTTTGCTATATTGGCTAGGTTAGTCTCAAACTCCTGACCTCAAGTGATCCTCCTGCCTTGGCCTCCCAAAGCACCCATGTGTGCCACCACACCCGGCCCATAGTAATTCTTCAAACATCGACCAACTGGTGGTTCTTGGCTGCTGAGAAGCCAGACCGGACAATGTGTGTGCACCTGCTATTCTCCATTGGTCCCTGCAAATCTATTCTCCATCTTTCTCCATTCAGCTCTGCAACCCAGAGAGTGACCTGCATGGAGCGTGCCAGCTGAATCCCTTGTCCTGTGTCTTCTGGCTGAGTTCTACCATAGGAAACACCGCCACGTGGGAGAACAGGAAGACATTGATGTCTGGGTGCTTATTCCTAAAGCTTCCTCCCTGAGGTCACCTGGAGGTTGCTGCATCTCTCTACTGAAGGCCACAGTTCCTGTCATATGACTGTCTCCATCCAGCTGCCTTCTCTAAGTTCCAGCAACCACTGTCTCTCTCCCTTGATCTTTGAGCCTAAAGGTAATGCAGGCTCCCTGATGTTGCTAGCCCTAGGATACTGCAGCATTCTTTGTTAGTTTACTAAAACCCTCTGTAAATAACCCTTTGCTACACTTTCATCATCTTTCTTTCTTTCTTTTTTAGAGACAAGGTCTCCCTCTGTCACCCAGGCTAGGGTGCAGTGGCACAATCACGGCTCAGGACCGGTGCAAGAAGGGAAGGTTGCATTCATAAGTTAGCAAACTTCAGAAAGCTCTTTGAAAAAAAAAAAAAAAAAAGAATCTTATTACCATTTTGTTTTTGTAGAAAGCCCACTTGATAAAAGTATTAATAACACACATGAGAAAGAGCTCACAGTGTTTTCCAGAAAAAAACACTTTGATTCTATAAAAGAGGTCAGTAGACTACAATATGAAGAATCCTTCTGTTGGCTTAACTTTTAGACTATATGACAAGTTCTCTGACTATAAAGACACTGATCAAAAGAACTCAGTTTAGCACAATATCCAAAGTCCAAAGTACAAGCAATAAAAGAAGAATCAGGTAAATTAGACTACATCAAAATGTTAAACTTTTTGCCTCAAAGGACACCATCAACAGGGTGAAAAGACAAAGCATGGAATGGGAGAAAATATTTGCAAATCATATATTTGATAAAGGGTTAATATCTAGAATATATAAAGAGCTCCTACAACTCAACAACAACAACAAAAAAAAACCCAAAAATACAAACAAACAAAACCAACTCTTTTTACTTAAAAAAAGGGGCGGAAGTTTTTTGTTTGTTTTGTTTTTGTTTTGTTTTGAGACAGGGTTTCACTCTGTCGCCAAGGAGTGCAGTGGCACCATCTCAGCTCACTGAAACCTCCACCTCCTGGGTTCAAACGAAAATATTTCTTTTCGTTTCTGTTTTTGTTGTTGTTGTTGTTGTTGTTGTTATTGTTGTTGTTTTTGAGGCAGAGTTTCAGTCTTTTGCCCAGACTGGAGTGAAGTGGCGGGCGCAATCTCGGCTCACTGCAACCTCCACCCCCCTGGGTTCAAGCGATTCTCCTGCCTCAGCCTCCCGAGTAGCTGGGATTACAGGCACCCGCCACCACGCCCAGCTAATTTTTGTTATTTTTAGTAGAGACAGGGTTTTGCCATGTTGGCCAGGCTGGTCTCAAACTACTGACTTCAGGTGGTCCACTCGCCTCACCCTCCCAAAGTGCTGGGATTACAGGCGTGAGCCACGGCGCCCGGGCAACTTTGTCCATTTTCGCCAGGAAGGCTGAAAGAGTTCTGAGGTGCTGCTTGATGCTGTAGTAAATCTCTTCTCTGTTTCTGTTTGGATGAAAGGAGTATATCTATATTCATGGCGCACTTAGAAAATGTAATTTTCTCTTACAGGTAAACAAATGATGGAGGAGGGAAGCTTAAGGGACAGGAGATTATGTAGGTGATAGTTTCTGGGCCACTTCCTGTTTTAAGTACCTTTTTTATTCCCCGCTTTCCAATTTGTAAAACATTGATGTGCTCACTGACATTGGACAGGGCACTTAATCTCCCAAAACCTTCATTTGCTCATCTGCAAACTCAAGGGTTTGAGTTAGACCGTGGCTTAGTGGTTTTCCAACTTCATTTTATTTTATTGAGACAGGGTCTCACTCCATCGGCCAGGCTGGAGTGCAATGGTGCGATCTCGTCTCGCTGCAACCTCTGCCCTCTGGGTTCAAGTGATTCTCCTGCTTCAGCCTCCTGAGTAGCTGGGATTACAGCACCCGCCACCACGCCCAGCTAATTTTTTTTGTTGTTGTTTTTTGAGATGGAGTTTTGCTCTTGTTGCCCAGGCTGTAGTGCAATGGCGCGATCTCAGCTCACCGCAACCTCCACCTCCTGCCTCAAGCAATTCTCCTGCCTCAGCCTCCGGAGTAGTTGGGATTACAGGCATGTGCCACCACATCCAGCTAGTTTTGTGTTTTTAGTAGACACGGGGTTTCTCCATGTTGGTCAGGCTGGTCTCCAACTCCCGACCTCGGGTGATCCCCTCGCCTTGGCCTCCCAAAGTGCTGGAATTACAAGACTGAGCCACCGCCCAGGGCCAAACCCAGGCATTTCTGACTCCAGTTGTGCCCTCATGTCTTAAGATGTAAAATCTTCCCGGAGGTAGCACCAGAAAGTTCAGGATGCAGAGATAGCGTGGGGCCTCATGATCTTTTAAAAAATATATTGAGCATTTATTACATGCTGCACCCCGCACTTTAAATGACCTGCAAGTTTATTATTATTATTTATTTATTTATTTACTTTTTTGAGACAGAGTCTCGTTCTGTCGCCCAGGCTGGAGTGCAATGGCGCGATCTTGGCTCACTGCAAGCTCCGCCTCCCGGGTTCATGCCATTATCCTGCCTCAGCCTCCCAAGTAGTCGGGACTACAGGTGCCCGCCACCACGCCAGGCTAATTTTTTGTAGTTTTCAGTAGAGACGGGGTTTCACCGTGTTAGCCAGGTTGGTCTTAATCTCCTGACCTCGTGATCCGCCTGCCTCAGCCTCCCGAAGTGCTGGGATTACAGGCGTGAGTCACCGTGCCCGGCCCTCCTGCAACTTTAAATGACCATAAGGATGATTCATCTATCACCTGCTACCATCAGATAACTGATGGCAATAAATACCTGAGTTTGAAGATATAAATTTGAAAAGAGAGGAAATACTACTTGATTCCTAGGATCAATACTACCCTCCCCACCATTTTCAAAAATAATCTCATTCTGTGGTCTAAGAAAAATAAATAAATTATAAAATAAATCATTAACACTAATCTTTGAAACAGTATTTCCCAAATTATGTTTCTTAGAACATAGCCCCTCGAGGTATGAAAATGGGACTGGGTGTGGTGGTGCATGCCTGTAATCCCAGCACTTTGGGAGCCCAAGGTGGGAGGATAGCTTGAGCCCAGGAGTTTCAGACTAGCCTGAGCAACACAGCAAGACCTCCATAACTCCCCGCCCCTCCCCCTCAAAAGAATTAGCTGGGTGTGGTGATGAACATCTGTAGTCCCAGCTACTTGGGAGGCTGAGGTGGGAGGATCACTTGAGCCCAGGGAGTCAAGGCTGCAGTGGGCTGTGATTGCGCCACTGCACTCCAGCCTGGACAGCAGAGGGAGACTCTCTCTCAAAAAAAAAGAAAAAGAAAAAAATATATAATTTGAGCCACATATGTAATTCTAAACTTTCTAGTAGTCATATTTGAGGAAATTAAAAACAGGTGAAATTCATTTTAACAATATATTTTATCCAAAATATTATCACTTCATGTAATCAATATACAATTATTAATGAGATATTTTGCATTCTGTTTTTGATAAGCCTTGAAAGCCAGTGTGTATTTTACTTACAGCATATTTCAATACAAAGTAGCCACATTTTAAGTGCTCAGTAGCTATAAGTGCTTAGTGGCTACCATATTGGTTTCTGTTAGTCTAAAACTACCACTCTTGTTTATATGTTCTTTCTTCTAAAGAGTTTATTTTTATTTATTTATTTATTTAATTTGTGAGATGGAGTTTTGCTCTTGTGACCCAGGCTGGAGTGCAATGGCACAATCTCAGCTCACTGCAAGCTCTGCCTCCCAGGTTCAAGCAGTTCTCCTCCCTCAGCCTCCCCATTAGCTAGGATTACAGGCACCCACCACCATGCCCAGCTAATTTTTGTATTTTTAGTAGATACGGGATTTCCTCACGTTGGCCAGGCTGGTCTCAAACTCCTGACCTCAGGTGATCCACTCACCTTGGCCTCCCAAAGGAATGGGATTACAGGCATGAGCCACCGCTCCCAGCTGCTTCTAAAGAAGACCTCCCCTGAGGTCAGGAATTCGAGACCAGCCTGGCCAACATGGCGAAACCCCATCTCTACTAAAAAAATACAAAAATTGGCCGGGCGCGGGTGCTCACACCTGTAATCCTATCACTTTGGGAGGCCGAGGCGGGCAGATCACAAGGTCAGGAGATCGAGACCATTCTGGCTAACATGGTGAAACCCCATCTCTAAAAAAAAAACAAATATAGCCGGGCATGGTGGTGGGCGCCTGTAGTCCCAGCTACTTGGGAGGCTGAGGCAGGAGAATGACGTAAACCCGGGAGGCAGAGCTTGCAGTGAGCCGAGATCGCGCCACTGCACTCCAGCCTGGGTGACAGAGCAAGACTCCGTCTCAAAAAAAAAAAAAAAATTCAAAAATTAGCTGGGTGTGGTGGCAGGCACCAGTAATCCCAGCTACTTGGGAGGCTGAGGCAGGAGAATCGCTTGAGCTCGGGAGGCGGAGGTTGCAGTGAGTCGAGATTGTGCCACTGCACCCCAGCCCGGGCAACAGAGCTAGACTCCATCTCAAAAAAAAAAAAAAAAGAAAAGAAAAGAAAAGAAAGCTATTTCCCAAGTTTTGATGTGAGTAACCAGTGTGTTGGTGCCATTTACTGAGATAAGAAAGGCCTGGACAGAGGCAAATTGGAGTCAAGAGTTCTGTTTTGACCATGTTAAATCTGAGATGTGCATGAGATTGCCAAGTGCACATGTCAAGCCAGGAGTAGGGTCTATAAACATGTGGCCTAAATAGGCAAATTTGAGAATCATTGGCCTGAAGATGATACTTTAAGGATATGTGTGGAAACAATGTTACAGAAAATTGGCTCAAGGAAAAGGAAAGTTATACATTTTTAAGTGCAATTAAACAAATTTAAAAACCTAGACTCATCCCTCTTAAAGGCCCTTAAACATCCCTAGAAGCCTCCTTCAGAATCTTGAAGTGTGAACTCTTGTTCTTGGTCTTCTAATTAATCCTGCCTTAGAGTCTCAAGGGCCATTCACAAGCAAGAAGCCTTTTATCATCTCTTGTAAAAAAGAACCTGCAAGAGCTGCTTCTCCTGCTGTATTTCCATTATATCAGTGCTGTTTTCTGAGTTTTTTTTTAATTGCAGTTGTGCAATATTTAAGTCACCTTATAGTTTAAATAAGTGTTTCCAGATTTGCCTTGGGAAATAAGCAGTTGATGCTGTCTCTGTGGGAAAAAAGCTCTGAGGTATACACTTTTGGAACACAACCTGCTGCCTACAAGTTAGGAATTGCCACGTTTGGTTTTAATAAGACCCCACCCTTAACTCCAAGGAGTTTATAATGTAATAATAAACATAGTAACACCAGGGCTGGGTGTGGTGGCTCATGCCTGTAATCCCCACACTTTGGGAGGGTGAAGCAAGAGGATCACTTAAAGCCAGGAGTTCAATACCACCCTGGGCAACATAGTGAGACCCTATGTCTGCAAAACAATAAAAACAATAAATTAATTGAGCATGGTGGCACTCACCTATAGTCCCAGCTACTTGGGAGACTGAGGCAAAAGAATCATTTGAGCCCAAGAGTTCAAGGCTGCAGTAAGCTGTGATTGTGCCACTGCACTCCAGCCTGGGCAACAGAGCAAAGGCAGAAACACTAAATATTATAGCATCGATTGAGCATTGCTATGGTCTGAAAGTGTTCCCCACAGATTTCTTTCTTTCTTTCTTTCTTTCTTTCTTTCTTTCTTTCTTTCTTTCTTTCTTTCTTTCTTTCTTTCTCTTTCCTTTTTCTTCTTTCTTTCTTTCTTTCTTTCTTTCTTTCTTTCTTTCTTTCTTTCTTTCTTTCTTTCTTTCTCTCTGTGTCCCTCTTTCTTTCTTTCTCCCTCTCTCTTTCTTTCTTTCTCCCTTCCTTCCTTCCTTCCTTCCTTCCTTTTTTTTTTTTTTTTGAGACAGAGGCTCGCTCTGTCGCCCAGGCTGGAGTGCAGTGATGCGATCTCGGCTCACTGTGAGCTCCACCTCTCAGGTTCATGCCATTCTCCTGCCTCAGCCTCCCAAGTAGCTGGGACTACAGGTGTCCGCTGCCAAGCCCGGCTAATTTTTTTGTATTTTTAGTAGAGACGGGGTTTCACCGTGTTAGCCGGGATGGTCTCAGTCTCCCGTCCTCGTGATCCTCCCGCCTCGGCCTCCCAAAGTGTTGGGATTACAGGCGTGAGCCACCACACCTGGCCTTCTTTTATTTATTTATTTTTTTTGAGACAGAGTCTTGTCCTGTCGCTCAGGCTGGAGTGCAGTGGCGCAGTCTTGGCTCACTGCAGCCTCCACCTCCTGGGTTCAAGCAATTCTCCTGCTTAGCCTCCCGAGTAGCTGGGACTACAGGCACACACCACCATGCGCAGCTAATTTTTGTATTTTTAGTAGAGATGGGGTTTCACCACGTTGGCCAGGCTGGTCTCGAACTACTGACCTCAAGTGATCTGCCCGCCTTGGCCTCCCAAAGTGCTGGGATTACAAACAAGAGCCACCATGCCCTGCTTCCCACAAGTTTCTGTGTTAAAATCCTGACACTCAAGATGATGGTTTTAGGAAGCTAGGTGTTTGGGAGGTGATATGGTTTGGCTGTGTCCCCACCCAAATCTCATCTTGAATTGTAGCTCCCATAGTTCCCACGTGTTGTAGGAGAGACCCCTGGTGGGAGATAATTGAATCATGGGGGTGGTTTCCCCCATACTGCTCTTGCGATAGTGAGTAAGTCTCGAGATTTGACGATTTTATAACGGGTTGCCCCTTTTGCTTGGCTCTCATTCTCTCTTGTCTGCCGCCATATAAGACAAGCTTTTGGCCTTCCGCCATGGTTGTGAGACCTCCCCAGCCAGGTGGAACTGTGAGTCCATTAAACCTCTTTTTCTTCATAAATTACCCAGTCTAAGGTATATCTTTATCAGCAGTGTGAAAATGGACTAATACAGGAGGTGATTAGGTCACGAAGGCAGAGCCCTCATGAACAAGACTAGTGTCCTTATAAAAGAGGCACCAAGAAGCTGCCTTGTGCCTTCCACTATGTAAGGACACAACAAGAAGGTGTCGTGTTATCTGTGAACTAGGAAGTGAGCCCTCCCCAGATACCGAATCTACTGGTGCCTTGATTTTGGACTTATTCTCTAGAACTATGAGAAATAAATTCCTGTTGTTATATGCCGCCAGTTTATCCGTTTTTTTTTGTTTGTTTTTTTTTTTTGAGATGGAGTCTCACTCTGTCGCCCAGGCTGGAGTACAATGGCACAATCTCAGCTTACTGCAATCTTTGCCTCCCATGTTCAAGAGATTCTCCTGCCTCAGCCTCCTGAGTAGCTGGGACTACAGGTGTGCACCACCACACCTGGCTAATTTTTGTATTTTTAGTAGAGATAGGGTTTCACTATGTTGGCCAGGCTGGTCTCAAACTCCTGACCTCAGGTGATCTGCCCGCCTCCCAAAGTGTTGGGATTACGGGTGTGAGCCACCGCACTTGGCCACTATTTTTTTACAGCAGCATCCATGGACTGAAACAAGCATGTACCCCATGCCAGGTAGTATACATCTCAGCACTTCACAGGCAGAGCTCTAATCTTCACACATGCTTGATGGGGAGGTATTATTATTCCCATTTTACAGATTAAAATGCCAAGCTTCAGAATGATTGTGTGTATTGCTAAAGACCTGGACCCGCCTTATCTTAGACTTTTCAGCAAATGTAGTTGTTCACTAAGCCTTATTATTTATTGTGGCATGTGACTTAGCTGTCTCATTTGCTAACTCAAAGGTACAAACCCCTTCTCATTTTTTTTTCTGTCAACAACAGTTTCCAGCTTATAATGGGTACTCAAATATTTAGTGAAGGAATAAATGAGAGACACAGATATGACTACACACACACACACACAAAAATAACAGGCAACAAAGTGAGACTCCATCCTTCCAAAAAAATGTAAAAATAGCCAGGCATAGTGGCGTATGCCTGTAGTCTCAGCTACTCAGGAGGCTGAGGTGGGAGGACCACTTGAGCCCCAGAGACTGAAGCTATAGTGAGCTGTGATTGCACCACTGCGCTCCAGCCTGGGTGACAGAGAAAAGAGAGAGAGAGAGAGAAAAGCCAAAAGCCCCCAAGTGCATTGGAGGGGAAGAATTGGATCCTAAAAAAGTCCTGGGATATCATTTAATCTAGAAGTCATTACCTCGCTGGCTCTAGGGAAAACGATGGCCTCAGGAGTATTTTGTGTAATTTCCAAATTCTGCAAAATAAAGTTGTGTTAGTTCCTGGCATTTATAAATTGAGAAATTGCAAATGGAAATCCAGATTTTATTTTATTTATTTATTTATTTGCTTTACTTGAAATCTGGCAATTCTGGACCCACATTCCCAGAAGTTAACAAAGAAAGAGGGGCTGAGTAGGGGCCACGCTTAGTCCCGTTTAGGCTATTCCTTAGCTCCTGTAGGCATTGGAATTTGCGCCCTCGGGCATCAAATTTCCTTATTTTGGAAGTGAGAAAACAGAGACCCAGCATAGCAGAGTGACTTCCTCTAAGGGATCCAGGTATCCCAGCCCTAACCTCTTTCCATACCGCACTGCCCAGGATACAAAAGCATCCTAAAACTCCTGATTTGTCATGACTGCACATATGCGCACATATGTCAAAGCGAGTGTGGGTTTGGAGACTCTAGAGAAATGAACCAGCCATAAATCATTTTCAAGCTAAGGAAAAAAGACTTAAATATATGAATGGGATTAGTACAAAAGGATCTTGTCAATTAAAAAATTCCAGGACAGGCTGGGCACGGTGGTTCGCGCCTGTAATCCCAGCACTTTGGGAGGCCAAGGCGGGCGGATCACAAGGTCAGGAGTTTGAGACCAGCCTGGCCGATATGGAGAAACCCTGTCTCTACTAAAAATACAAAAATTAGCTGGGCGTGGTGGTGGGCACCTGTAGTCCCAGCTACTTGGGAGCTGAGGCAGGAGAATCCATCATGCCACTGCACTCCAGTCTGGGCAAAAGAGGGAGACTCCGTCTCACGAAAAACAAACAAACAAACAACAAACAAACAAAAAAAACCCAAGGAAAATGACATTTCTGTTGCGTTTGGTCAGAAGGCCCATTGCAATCTGGGGTTCTTATTCTACCTGTTCAGGGAAATACGAAGTCCAGATGAATGTGTATTCCAATTCTGACTCAGGCTTGGTTTCACTTTCTAAATTGCTCAGCAGGAATCTGATAAGATGCTGAGAAAAGAGTAAAAAGAAAAAATTGGAGGGTGGGGCGGGGAGAGCCAGAAATAGCTGGTTTAGGGGAGGCCTCCTGGGATTACCATGAACCAATGCAGTAATTAATAATATGAGGAACAGAATCTATCCGAATGTTAATTAAAGTGTTTCCTCCTCCCTTACTCACTCTCTCTAGGGCCCCCTGGAGGTGCTCATTGAATTTACTTTTCCCAGGCCATTCTCCGCTCCCCTAGACAGATCATCTGAGGTGGGGTGCGGGGGTTGGGCGGGAAAACAGTCTCTGTTACCAGAGAATCAGAAAAACAAAAGCTGGCCGGGCTCGGTGGCTCACGCCTGTAATCCCAGCACTTTGGGAGGCCAAGGTGGGTGGATGACCTGAGGTCAGGAGTTTGAGACTAGCTTGGCCAACATGGTGAAACCCTGTCTCTACCAAAAAATACAAAAATTAGCCAGGTGTGGTGGTGGGCACCTGTAATCCCAGCTATTCAGGAGGCAGGAGAATCACCTGAACCCAGGAGGTGGAGATTGCAGTGAGCCAAGATCGTGCCACTGCACTCCAGCCTGGGTGACAGAGCACGACTTCATCTCAAAAAAAGAAAAAGAAAAAAGAAAATAAAGCAACAACCTCTGGATCATTGATCTGTAAGTCAGACAGTTTCAGACACACATCTCAGATTGAGTTTTTGTATTCCAGGACAGGGCACCTCACATTTTAATGTGCTTAGGAGAGTCACAGGGCCAGCCAGGGTGGCTCATGCCTGTAATCTGAGCACTCTAGGAGGCTGAGGCGGGAGAATCACTTGAGCTCAGGAGTTAGAGACCAGCCTGGGTAACATATCAATACCTTGTCTCTATTAAAAATAATAATAAGGCCGGGCACAGTGGCTCACGCCTGTAATCCCAGCACTTTGAGAGGCTGAGGTGGGTGGATCACAAGGTCAGGAGTTCAAGACCAGCCTGGCCAAGATGGTGAAACCCCATCTCTACTAAAAATACAAAAAAATTAGCTGGTTATGGTGGTGGACACCTGTAATCCCAGCTACTCGGGAGGCTGAGGCAGAGAATTGCTTGAACCAGGAGGCGGAGGTTGCGGTGAGCCGAGATCATGCCATTGCACTCCAGCCTGGGTGACAGAGCAAGACTTTGTCTCAAAAAAAAAAAAAAAGGAGAGCTATTCTGCCCCCGCCGCCACCCCAACTTGTTAAAGTACAGCCTCAGATTCAGCAGCTCTGGGGCAGGGCCTGAGATTTCTTTTTGTTTTTTAAGAGTTTTTTTTTGGAGACAGTCTTGCTGTCTGTCGCCCAGCCAGGAGTGCAGTGGCATGATCTTGGCTCACACCATGCCTGGCTAATTTTTGAATTTTTGGCTGGGCGCAGTGGCTCACGCCTGTAATCTCAGCACTTTAGGAGGCTGAGGCGAGCGGATCACCTGAGGTCAGGAGTTCGAGACCAACCTGGCCAACATGGTGAAACCTTGTCTCTACTAAAAATACAAAAATTAGCCTGGCGTGATGGCAGGCGCCTGTAATCCCAGCTACTTGGGAGGCTGAGGCAAGAGAATCGCTTGAACCTGGGAGATGGAGGTTGCAGTGAGCCAAGATCGCACCATCGCCCTCCAGCCTGGGTGACAAGAGTGATGACTTTGTCTCGAAAAAAAAATGTATTTTTAGTAGAGATGGAGTTTCACCATGTTTACCAGGCTGGTCTAAAACTCCTGACCTCAAGTCATCTGCCCACCTCGGCCTCCCAAAGTGCTAGGATTACAGGCATGAGCCCCCCCACCTGGCCTGTTTTTGTGTTTTTTGAGACAAGGTCTCATTCTGTGGTTCAGTCTGGAATGCAGTGACACGATCACGGCTCACTGTAGCCACAGGCGCGCACCACCACTCCCAGCTAATTTTTTGTATTTAGAGACAGGGGTTTCACCATGTTGCCCAGGCTAGTCTCCAACTCCTGGGCTCAAGTGATCCACCTGCATAGGCCTCCCAAAGTGCTGGGATTACAGGCGTGAGCCACTGTGCCAGGCCTGAGGTTCTGCATTTCTACCGGGCACCCAGGGGATGGTGACGCTGCGCGTACTAGACCACACTGGTTCTCAAACTCTCCTGCCCACTTGAATCACCTGCGGGATGTGTAAAAACTACTGATGCCTGAGTCCTATCACCAGATTCTGATTTAATTAAGTGTGATTGAAGCCTGAGCATTAGAATTTCTCAAAGCTGCCAAAGAAATCCTAGTGTGAGGTAAAGTTTGAGATACACTGCCTTAGACTAGAGCAGTCACTCTCAAACTTTTGTGTACACAAAGTTACCTGGAGAGTTTGTTACAAAAAAACCCAAAAACCCACAAAGCAAAACAAACAAACAAAAAAACCACACAGATCGCTGGGATCCACCCTCCTGAGTTTCCGACTCATCAGGTCTGGGTAGGGCTTGAGAATCTGGCTTAGGCTATAATGCAGTGGTGCCATTATAGCTCACTGTAGCCTTGAACTCCTGGGTTCCAGTGATCCTCCTGCCTCAGCCTCCCAAAGTAGCTGAGACCACGGGCACATGCCACCATGCTAAGTTTTTATTTTTATATTTTTATTTTTTAGAAACCAGGTTTTGCTGTGTTGCCCGGGCTGGTCTCCAACTCTTGGCTTCAAGCGATCCTCCTGCCTCCCAAACTGCTGGGATTACAGGCATGAGCCAATTTTTTTTTTTTTTTTTTAGTAGAGACAGGATTTTACCTTGTTGGCAAGGGTGGTCTCACCCACCCAAGAATTTGTATTTTTAACAAAGTGTGGCTGGGCGCGGTGGCTCACGCCTGTAATCCTACCACTTTGGGAGGCCGAGGCAGGTGGATCACCTCCCCTGAGGTCGGGAGTTCGCGACCAGCCTGAGCAACATGGAGAAACCCCGTCTCTACTAAAACTACAAAATTAGCCAGACGTGGTGGTGCATGCCTGTAATCCCAGCTACTCAGGAGGCTGAGGCAGGAGAATCGCTTGAACCCGGGAGGGGGAGGTTGTGGTGAGCCGAGATCATGCCATTGCACTCCAGCCTGGGCAACAAGATCGCAACTCCGTCCCAAAAAAAAAGAAGTGTGGCTGAATCTGCCAGTTCTGGTGATCACACTTTCAGAAATACTTCCTTGGGCAGGTAAAATTATGTAATGCAGTGTTCAAAATGGGAGAACAATTATTATTATTATTATTATTATTTTGGCAGGGAGGACAGGTTCTCACTCTGTTGCCCAGGTTGAGAGTATTATAGTTCACTGCAACCTGGAACTCCTAGGCTCAAGGGATCCTCCTCCCACCTCAGCCTGCTGAGTATCTGGGACTACAGTTGCACACAACCTCACCCTGCTCTTTTGTTTTTCTCATTCCTTCTTTCTTTCTTCCTTTTTTTTTTTTTTTTTGTGACAGGGTCTTTCTCTGTCACCTAGGCTGGAGTGCAGTGGCGTGATCTCGGCTCACGCAACCTCTGCCTCCCAGATTCAAGCGATTCTCCTGCCTCCACCTCCCGAGTAGCTGGGACCACAGGTGTACATCACCATGCCCGGATAATTTTTTTGTGTGTATTTTTAGTAGAGACAGGATTTCACCTTGTTGGCAAGGCTGGTCTCAAATTCCTGAACTCAGGTGATTTGCCCACCTTGGTTTCCCAAAGTACTGGGATTACAGGCATGAACCACCACACCCAGTTTTGCCCTGCTAATTTAAAAAATGTTTTTGTAGAGATGGGGCCTCACTATGTTGCTCAGGCTGGTCTTGAACACATAGGCCTCAAGCAATCCTTCCACCTCAGCCTCCCAAAGTGTTGGGATTACAGGCATGAGCACACAGTGCCTAGCCTATTATTATTATTTTTATTGAGCAGACTCCTGAACCAGAATAGGTTCAGAGAGACTTTTTAATTTTTTTAACTGTATGATATCTCTCAGTTATGGCAGTGTAACTTGTGTCACTGAATTTCCAAAGTATACCTTTTTTTTTTAACTGTGCTTCAAATAAATAGAAAAATAGTTATAGGCTGGGTGCAGTGGCTCATACCTGTAATCCCAACACTTTGGGAGACTGAGGCAGGAGGGTCACTTGGGGCCAGGAGTTCAAGACCAACCTGGGCAACATAGCAATAACCCATCTCCAAAAAAAAAAACCAAACAAACAAACAAACAAAAAAACAAACACTAGCCAGGTGGGATGGTGTGTGCCTATAGTCCCAGCTACTGGAGAGGCTGAGACAGGAGGATCACTTGAGCCCAGGGGGTTGAGGCTGCAATGAGCCATGATCACACCACTGCACTCCAGCCTGGGTAACAGAATGAGACCCTGTCTTGTGGCTGGGTGCAGTGGCTCACGCTTGTAATCTCAGCACTTTGGGAGGCCGAGGCAGGTGGATTACAAGGTCAAGAGATCGAGACCATCCTGGCCAACATGGTGAAACCTTCTCTCTACTAAAAAAATACAAAAAATTAGCTGAGTGTGGTGGTGCGTGCCTTGTAGTCCTAGCTACTCGGGAAGCTGATGCAGCAGAATCGCCTGGACCCAGGAGGCAGAGATTACATTGAGCTGAGATTGCACCACTGCATTCCAGCCTGGCGACAGAGCGAGACTCTGTCTCAAAAATAAATAAGTAAATAAAATACAAATAAAAAAATAAAAAAAGAGACCTTGTCTCAAAAAAAGAAAAAGAGAAAGAAAAAGAAAAACTTAAAAAAGAAACACAATTATATAGATGAAAAAAAAGAACCACTTCCTGTGGGCTGATGAAGAGGTGAGGGACCTCATAGACAGCAGCTGTGTTACCAAAGGGAAGACCAAGGGGAGGCCACTGATCTTCACTTAAGAAAGTATAAATTGTCAGTGTCCAGACGCTGCATTGGCCATCCTTCTCTTGCCACCTGGGGAGAAGTGTCTACCAACTGTAGCCAGCCTGTGGTCCTCTATTTATGCCACAGGACTTGCCAGCTCTCCAATCTATCCACTCCACGTGGACAACTGCCTCCGCCATAGTTCAGGACAACTGCCACCTCTCTAGAGCAGAGGGTGATGGGGCTTGTCCTCAGAGGGTGGTGCTGATGGGAGGGTAAACTCCTGTGCCTGGGCATGCTGCAGATTTCCTAAGTTAGAACAGTGGTAGAACATCACCTTTATGTCAGTAAAATCCCATGACTCCTTTACAGTATCATGGCTTAACCACCTTAGTTTTTATCCCAAGGGTAGAAGAACTGAGCTATAGCTATAGAGACACCAAGATATGGTCCAAGGAGTAAGAATTTTCTTATGAGGGCATGGTGGCTCACACCTATAATCCTAGCATTTTGCGGCCGGGCACGGTGGCTCATGCCTGTAATCCCAGCACTTTGGGAGGCCGAGGCGGGTGGATCACGAGGTCAGAAGATCGAGACCATCCTGGCTAACACGGTGAAACCCCATCTCTACTAAAAAAATACAAAAAATTAGCCGGGCTTGGTGGCGGGTGCCAGTATTCCCAGCTACTTGGGAGGCTGAGGCAGGAGAATGGTGTGAACCCGGGAGGTGGAGCTTGCAGTGAGCCGAGATTTCACCACTGCACTCCAGCCTGGGTGACAGAGCGAGACTCCGTCTCAAAGCAAACAAACAACAAAAAAAAAAACCTAGCATTTTGGTAGGCCAAGGAGGGAGGATGGTTTGAGCCTAGGATTTTGAGACCAACCTGGGCAACATAGCAAGACCTCATCTCTACAAAAAAAAATTTTAAAAATTAGACGGGCATGGTGGTATGCACCTGCAGTCCCAGCTACTCAGGAGGCTGAGGCAGGAGGATTGCTTGAGCCCAAGAGTTCAAGGCTGCAATGAGCTATGATTGGGCCACTGTACTCCAGTCTCTACAACAGACTGAGACCTTGTTTTGTTTTGTTTTTTTTTAAGTGCCACTTAACTCAGGCTACTGGTTATGAAAATGCCCCTGAAAGAAATTAAATAGGTAAGTAAAGGAAATTTCCTGGGGGAAGATATTTATTTATTTATTTAGAGACAGGTTCTTTCTCTGTCACCCAGGCTGGAGTGCAGTGGCACAATCTCAGCTCATTGCAACCTCTGCCTCCCAGGTTCAAGCGATTCTCCTGCCTCAGCCTCCTGAATAGCTGGGATGACAGGCGTGCACCACCATGCCTGGTTAATTTTTGTATTTTTAGTAGAGCTGGGCTTTTACCATGTTGGCCAGGCTAGAAAATAAATATTTAAAAACAGCTTCTGGGCCTTACCTCTGCTTCATCTTGAAGCTTATTTGTAAATCAGCATGCTTTTTTCTTTTCTCCTTTTAAATTAACTAATTAATTAATTAATTGTTTTGAAACAGAGTTTTGCTCTTGTCTCCCAGGCTGGAGTGCAATGGTGCAATCTTGGCTGACTGCAATCTCCACCTCCTGAGTTTTAAGTGATTCTCCCGCCTCAGCCTCCCGAGTAGCTGCGATTACAGGCACCCACCACCACGCCCAGCTAATTTTTATATTTTCAGTAGAGATGGGGTTTTCTCCATTTTGGCCAGGCTGGTCTCGAACTCCTGACCTCAGGTGATCCACCTGCCTCGGCCTCCCAAAGTGCTGGATCACAGGCATGAGCCACTGTGCCTGGCCATCTTTTCTCCCTTTCTAAATGCAAAATGTGAAGTAAAAACTGGAGAAAACATTACGCTGATTCAGAAATAACTTTTTGGAGCAACAAGCTTGGTCTCTTTAGGGACATTCCTGACATTGAACATTCTCCCATCTGGCTCCCATAAGAATATATATATATATATATTTTTAAGAGACAGAGTCTTGCTCTGTCACCCAGCCTGAGTGCAGTGGCACAATCATAGCTCACTGCAGCCTCGAACTCCTGGGCTCAGGCGATCCTACCACCTTAGTCTCCCAAGTAGCTGGGACTACAGGTAAATGCCACCCTGCCCGGCTAATAGGTAGGATTTTTAAATAGCCCTTGAGATGTGGGAAGGCAACTACCATTTATTTATTTATTTATTTAGAGACACAGTTTTCACTCTGTCGCCCAGGCTGCAGTGCAGTGGCGTGATATCGGCTCACTGCAACCTCCACCTCCCAGGTTCAAGCGATTCTCCTGCCTCAGCCTCCTGAGTAGCTGGGATTACAAGCGTGCGCCACCATGCCCAGCTAATTTTTGTATTTTTAGTAGAGACCGGGTTTCACCACGTTGTCCAGACTGGTCTTGAGCTCCTGACCTTGGGTGATCCCAAGGTCCCGCCTTGGCCTCCCAAAGTGCTGGGATTACAGGCCTGAGGCACTGCGCCCCCGCAACTACCATTTATTAAGCACCTGCTATAGGTCAGGCATTCCACAAACCTCTTTGTGTTCATTAACTCATGTATTGCAGTAGGAAGCTCTGTTATCATTGGGATTATGGCTTGTCTGGAATATTTTCTTAGAGTTTGCAAAAATATTTTCTAAAGCAAAACAGTCTATTCAGATAAAGCATTCCCACAGAGAAAATTATGCAGATATTAAAGAATCCTGTAGGGCTGAGAGTGTATGCAGGTCATTAAGCCTTAAAAACTTTCTGGACCTCTTAGGCTGGCCATTAAAACTCCTGGTGAGAGCTGGTTATTTAATTAGGCTACAAACAAAATTTCAGCAATTGCTTCTAAATGGTTTTTCCAGCCCTGGAGGGAACCCAGGCAGGATTGGTGTGTGGTAAGGCTAATTTTTGCCTCCTGGCAGTTTTTAAATATTGCTTTCTTTTGTTTTGTTACATGTAGACCATAAATTATATAGCAAAACACCACCATATATTAGGCAAGGGACCAATTTTGTTTTCTCTCTAAAATACATGTCAAACATTGGCCTTCAAAATGACTAGGTTTGCTCATTTTCTTTTTTTTTTCTTTTTTTTGAGACAGGGTCTTGCTCTGTCATTCAGCCTGGAGTGCAGTGGTACGATATAGGCTCACTGCAGTCTCAACCTCCTGGGCTCAAGCAATCCTCCCACTTCAGCCTCCCAAGTAGCTGGGACTACAGGCACATGCCACCACACCTGGCTAATTTTTTTTTTTTCCCCCGAGAGAGTCTGGCTCTGTTGCCCAGGCTGGAATGCACTGCAACTTCCGCCTCTCAGGTTCAAATGATTCTCCTGCCTCAGCCTCCTGAGTACCTGGGACTATAGGTGCGTGCCACCATGTCTGGCTAATTTTTGTATTTTTAGTAGAGATGGGGTTTCACCATGTCGGCCAGGCTGGTCTCAAACTCCTGACCTCAGGTGATCCACCTGCCTCGGCCTCCCAAAATGTTGGGATTACAGGAATGAGCCACCATGGCCGATCCTAGCTAATTTTTTAGGAAACTTTTTTGTAGAGATGGGGTTTCGCCATGTTGCCCAGGCTGGTCTCAAACTCCTGAGATCAAGTGATACCATTTGCCTTGGCCTCTAAAAGTGATGGGATTACAGGCGTGAGCCACTGCGTCAGGCTGCTTTGCTCATTTAATAAATATGTTTTAAGGTACCTACTATATGCAATGGTGAATAAAATAGACATACTCCTTACCCTCAAGGAGCTTCAGAGCTGGCACAAGAAAGAGATAACTGCAAGTAAGTCAATGTATAACCCAAAGCTGTGTTATGAACTTGTCTCTGTGTTGCATATGTACAATCCCAATTGTGTATGTGAGAGAAAATATCTAGGGTATCATTTATAGTGGAAGTCCAAGGAAAATGACATTAGCTGGGTCTTAGGGGATGAGGAAGAAGGGGCTAGATGGAGATTTGGTGAGGGGGAAAAGATTATCAGCTATTATAGAAGCAAAGGTCCCTCAGCCAGGTGTGGTGGCTCACACCTGTAATCCCAGCACTTTGGGAGGCTGAGGTGGGTGGATCACGAGGTCAGGAGTTCAAGACCAGCCTGGCCAACATGGTGAAACACCATCTCTACTAAAAATACAAAAATTAGCTGGGCGTGGTGGTGCATTCCTGTACTCCCAGCTACTAGGGAGGCTGAGCCAGGAGAATTGCTTGAATCAGGACCCTGGAGGCAGAGGTTGCAGTGAGCTGAGATCATGCCACTGCACCCCAGCCTGGGTTACAGAGTGAGACTCCATCTCAAAAAAAAGGGTCCCTGAAGTGTGAAAGAATGTGGCAACATCTGAGAGCAGAAAGAAGAGTGAGGTGGCTCACGCCTGTAATCCCAGCACTTTGGGAGGCCGAGGCGGGCAGATCACTTGAGGTTAGGAGTTCGAGACCAGCCCGGCCAGTGTGGTGAAACCCCGTCTCTACTAAAAATATAAAAATTAGCCAGGTGTGGTGGTGGGCACCTGTAATCCCAGCTACTTGGGAGGCTGAGGCAGGAGAATCACTTGAACCCAGGAGGTGGAGTTTGCTGTGAGCCGAGATTGCACCACTGCACTCCAGCCTGGGCAACAGAGTGAGACTCTGTAACAAAATAAAATAAAATAAAGTGAGGCAGGAGAGAGGGAGTAATAGGGTTCTACAAATAAATGGAACCAATAGTTACACACAGCGGACCCTTGAACAACACGGCTTTGAACTGAGCAGGTGTCCACTTCTATGTGGATTTGCTTCCACCTCTGCTACCCCTAATGAAGCAGCCTTAATGTCTGGGGTGACACCCAAGGTTCTTGGTCTCATGGCCATAGAGATCAAGGACTTGAACACATACAAAAGGTGAGGTTTAGAGTAGAAATTTAATAGGTGAAAGAAAGAGAATAGCTCCCTGCTACAGAGAGGGGTCCTGGAAAAATGGGTTGCTGAAGCTCAGTGAATCGCAAGGGTTTTTACAGATGAGCTAGTGGGAGGCGGTATTTGATCTACACAGGGCACGGAAAACTGGTTAGGACCAGGTGTGCCGTATGCATAGGGCTTGAATCTCTGGCAGCCCCCACTTCAATTGTTTATTATGCAGGTGTATCCTCTGCCTGAGCTACTCCATGTTGCTTATTTCTTTCACACTGCGCATGTGCTAACAAAAAAGGGAAGGTGGAGCCTCCATGGTGGACCTGCCTGGCCCCAGGTCGTCTTTTCTATCCATGCAGCTGCCCCCACGGTGGACCTGCCTGGCCCCGGGTCGTCCTTTCTATCCATGCAGCTGCCCCCACGGTGGACCTGCCTGGCCCCGGGTCGTCCTTTCTATCCATGCAGCTGCCCCCACGGTGGACCTGCCTGGCCCCGGGTCGTCCTTTCTATCCATGCAGCTGCCCCCACGGTGGACCTGCCTGGCCCCGGGTCGTCCTTTCTATTCATGCAGCTGCCGGCATTCCCCCGTGCAAGCTTCCAGTTTCCCTATCTATGTTTGCAGCCTGATCTTTCAGGCTGCTCCTTTTTAGAAAGTGATTTCTTGGGCTTTTTTTTTTTGTTAGAAGGGAAGTTCTACTGAGGACTCTCTTGCCGTCATTGTCTGCCTAAATAATTTCTTTCTATCTCCTGTATCACTAAGACAGCGAGACCATCCCCTCCTCTTCCACCTCCTCTCAGCCTCCTCAATGTGAAGACAAGGAGGTGAAGACTTTTGTTGTTTTGAGACGGAGTCTTGCTCTGTAGCCCAGGCTGGAGTACAGTGGCACAATTTTGGCTCACTGCAAGCTCCACCTCCTGGGTTCAAGCAATTCTCCTGTCTCAGCCTCCCACTTGAACCCAGGACGTGGAGATTGTAGTGAGCTGAGATCACACCACTGCACTCCAGCCTGGGCAATAGAGTGAGACTCAGTCTCAAAAACAAACAAACAAAACAAAACAAAGCATGCATTAATTGGCTTTAGGTTATCAGTAAGGCTTCTGGTCAATAGTAGTCTATTAGTAGTTAAGTTATGGGGGAGTCAAAAGTTATATGGGAGGCTGGGCATGGTGGCTCACCCCTGCAATCACAGATTTTGGGAGGCTGAGGTGGGAGGATTACTTGAGCCCAAGAGGTTGAGGCCATGGTGTGCTGTGATTGTGCCAATGCACTCTAGCCTTGTTGACAGAGTAAAATTCTCTCTTTCTCTCTCTCAAAAAATAAAAAAGTTTTGGCCAGGCACGGTGGCTCACGCCTGTAATCCCAACAGTTTGGGAGCCGAGGCGGGCAGATCACCTGAGGTCAGGAGTTCAAGACCAACCTGACCAACCCAGAGAAACCCCATCTCTACTAAAAATACAAAAATTAGCTGGGCATGGTGGTGTGTGCCTGTAATCTCAACTGCTTGGGAGGCTGAGGCAGGAGAATCGCTTGAACTCGGGTGACAGAGGTTGCAGTGAGCCGAGATCGCGCCATTGTACTCCAGCCTGGGCAACAGAGCAACACTCCATCTCAAAAAAACAAACAAACAAAAAACATGGGCATGGTGGCCAGCACTTGTGAGGCTGAGGCACAAAGATCACTTGAACGTGGGAGGCAGAGGTTGCAGTGTGCCGAGATCATGCCACTGCACTCCAGCCTGGGTGACAGAGGGAGACTCTAGCTTGAAATTATGTCTTCAGGGATTCTAGCCACAGTTAGACTTGGCTGAAAGAGGCAGGTGCAAGTGAGCAGCAGCCATCCCCCAAGGCCACTGTGGTTAGATGTGGCAATAGACACAGATACCTGTGGGCTCCAGTTTGTCCTTGCTGTCCTCTGCATCTAGCTCTTCTCCTGACTTCTGACCCTGATGACCAACACAGCCCCAGGCCCACCACCAGGTGCTTGGTGGTAGTAGCTACATACAGGCACAGGTTACCATAGAGCGTTCCCTTGGCCATCCTCTTTCAGTGACTAAATGTGCCTGGCTACTCAGATGGACTGGCCAGTACCTCCTCTGAGCCTCCAACTTTCCTCCTAGTCTGTCCCTTCCCCAGCTTCTCCTATGATTCTGTAAGGTCTAATTCCTAGAGTAACTCTCTTATCCCATAGCTCATAGTATTTCTGCATTGAGCCCTGACTGCTGCAATGAACCAGGCTACGCAGACCATGGTGAAGGCCAAGAGAAGCTACTGAAGATCTCTGAGTTAGGTAGTTGGCTTATATCTGTGGGTGCGGCTCCCTTAACTATAGCCAGGTTCAAGATTCTGAACAGAATAGTGTGCTGTGTGGAAAAAATTGCTGTTGGACTGTTTTCCAAATCCCCACAGCTGGTTCCTGCTGTGTTCCCATCTTGTGGGCAAGTAGTTATTAGGATCTTGTCTCAGTCCAGACAAGAGGAAGTGTTTGTGTTGTCATCTGAGAGCCCAAAACAGACTCCTCTTGATTAAGATGGACCCTGCCGGGTGCAGTGGCTCACGCCTGTAATCCCAGCACTTTAGGAGGCGAGGCGGGCAGATCCCGAGGTCAGGAGTTTGAGACCAGCCTGACCAACATGGGGAAAACCCGTCCCTACTAAAAATACAAAAATTAGCTGGGCATGGTGGGGCGTGCCTGTAATCCCAGCTACAGGAGGCTGAAGCAGGAGAATGGCATGTGGCGTGAATTCAGGAGGTGGAGGTTGCAGTGAGCTGAGATTGTGCCACTGCACTCCAGCCTGGGTGACAGAGCAAGACTCCATCTAAGAAAAAAAAAAAAAAAGATGGACTTTAAGGTTAAGGAAACAAAAATTACCTACAGGTCACGGGTTTAGGTATTGGCTGGCATGAATTCCTTCCTAAATTCCTAAATTCCTATGGCTGCAAGAATAACTACACTCTTGCTAAGCTCCCTCACAATAGGAGATGTCAAGGCAAATTATCATACCCCTCCTAACTTTGATTTATACCCAGACTGCTACAACTCTGATTGGACAGAGGACTGACCTTATAGACATTGTCTTCTGATGAGCAACTGCAGACCTTAAGCAGTTTCAGCCGGCTTATAGAGACTGCACACAAACTGTCTTTGTGTCCTATAGCTCACCTTTTGACACAGAGAGCCAAATTCCACCTCATTTTATTGCTAAAACCCCACCCCAATGTGAACATGGGATGTATGTTACACATATGTTTACCCATTGTGCATGTACTTAATTCCCCTCATAAATATGCGTAGTCTTTTCCCCAAACCTGCTGAATATGTATGATTCCATTGTGTAATACAGGCCCTGTAAGGCATAAAACCCAGCCTGCCCTTTCTCCCGTCAAAGAGAGAGCAGCTTCCACACATTCAGGAGACTGTCTCTTCCTGGTTTGTGAACTGATGTCACCAAATACAACTCTCCTGTTACTTAGTCATCTTGGTGGTCTTTGGATGACAGTATCTAACACTTAGAAGGGTTCATGAACAAGAGAACAAACTCCAGTCTTTTGTGGCTATTTATAGTCAACAGCTCAGCTTTGTGGCAGGCACAGGAACAGATTAAGTGAGTTGACTTTCAGACTGAGAGCAGCTCAAAATCTACCATCCATCAGGAAGTGTGTGCAGTAATCCAGGGATAAATACATGTAATTTGCCAAAAGAGGCAGTGGGTGCTATACTTGGAATCAATGTGAAGGTTTTAGAAATATACAGATGCTTGAATTCTGCTGCAACTCATTTAAATCTGGATTTCTGAGGGTGAGGCCTAGACATCTCTACTTTTTTTTTTTTTTTTGAGAAGGAGTCTTGCTTTGTTGACCAGGCTTGAGTGCAGTGGCGCAATCTTGGCTTCCTGTAACCTCTGCCTCCCGGGTTCAAGCGATTCTCCTGCTTCAGCCTCCCGAATAGCTAAGACTACAGGTGCCCGCCACCACGCCCGGCTAATTTTTTGTATTTTTAGTAGAGACAGGGTTTCACCATGTTAGCCAGGATGGTCTCTATCTGCTGACCTCGTGATCCGCTCGCCTTGGCCTCCCAAAGTGCTGGGATTACATGTGTGAGCCACCATGCCCAGCATCACTACTTTTTTTAGTCCAATTTATCAATTTTTTTTTCTTATCTTTTCTGGGACAGGGTCCTGCTCTGTTACCCAGGCTGTAGTGCAGTGGTGCAATCACGGCTCACTGTATCTCAACCTCCTTGGCTAAAGTGATCCTTCTCACTCAGCCTTCCTAGTAGCTGGGACTACAGGTGCATGCCACCGTGCTTGGCTAATTTTTGTATTTTTTGTAGAGATTTGTTTTGCCATGTTGCCCAGGCTGGTCTCAAACTCCTTGGGCTCAAGCAAGACTCCCAAAGTGCTGGAATTACAGGCACGAGCCACTTGCACCCAGCCCTATTTTTTTCTTTTGTCATTTGTGTTTTGGTGTCATATCTAAGACGGCTTTGCTTCACCCAAAGTTACAAAGATTTACTCCTATATTGTCTTCTATGCATCACATTTTAGCTGTTACATTACTGTTTAGTTCTTGAGACAAATGTTCATTAATAAAATCCAAATATATTACTATAAAAACTGTACCTAAGGCTGGGTGCGGTGGCTCACGCCTGTAATCCCAGCACTTTGGGAAGCCGAGGCGGTGGATCACGAGGTCAGGAGATCAAGACCATCATGACTAACATGGGGAAACCCCATCTCTACTAAAAATACCAAAAATTAGCCAGGCATGGTGGCACGTGCCTGTAGTCCCAGCTACTTGGGAGGCTGAGGCAGGAGAATCACTTGAACCCGGGAGGCAGAGATAGCAGTGAGCTGAGATTTGCCACGGCACTCCAGCCTGGGCGACAGAGCGAGACTCCATCTAAAAAAAAAAAAATTAGCCAGGCATGGTGGCGCATGCCTGTAATCCCAGCTACTCAGGAGGCTAAGGCAGGAGAATTGCTTGAACCCAGGAAGCAGAGGTTGTGGTGAACTGAGATTGTGTCATTGCACTCCAGCCTGGGCAACAAGAGCAAAACTCCATCTCAAAACAAACAAACAAACAAAAAACAAAAACAAAAAAAACTGTACCTAAGAAGGGTCATGTCCCTTCTCTCCAAAGGATGCATCTTGTTGGAGGGTCAAAACACACCAGCATTTATCATCACTGCTAGCTGAGGGCCCCAGAGGCAGTCTAGGGCAGTGGTTAAGGGAGCAGATGCCACAGTCAGTTTTCCTAGATCAGCAGTTGGCAGACTTTCTGTACAGGAATGTCTTAGTCTGTTTGTGTTGCTATAAAGGAATACCTGAGACTGGTAATTTGTAAAGAAAAGAGCGTATTTGGCTCATGATTGTGCTGGCTGGAAGACTAGCCATTTGGTGAGAGCCTCAGGCTTCTTCTACTCATGGTGGAAGGGAAAGGGGAGCTCCTGTGTGCAGAGATTACATGGAGAGAGAGAAAGCAAGAGAGAGATGGAGGGTGCAGGCTCTTTTTATTTTTTATTTTTACTTTTATTCTTTTTTTTTGAGACAGGGTCTCAGTCTGTCACCCAGGATGGAGTGCAGTGGTGTGATCACAGTTCACTGCATCCTTGAACTCCTAGGTAGCTGGGACTATTGGTGTGCCACCATGTCCAGTTAATTAAAAAAAAAAATTGTATACAAAAAAAAGGAGCAAGATGGAATCAACTATATCAGATTTTTCTCCCTGTCATAATTTTTGCAAAGGTGATCTCACTGCTGCAGTCCTTCCATTGTCTCCTGCCTGGACACTCAAACCCACAGCACAGTCCCTGCTTTTATTCTCACCCATCCTCTCTCTAGAACTCCAGTTCTGCCCACACAGTGGCTGACTCGCCATCTCTACCTGGACATCCACAGGCCCTGGGACTCAGTGGGTCCCAGACCTAATGGTCATCTCCTTCTTCCCTCCTGCAGCTCCTTGCCTGGTTTCCTGACCCAGGATCCTCCCAGTGACCATCTAGAACCTGGGAATCAGCCTGCCTCCTCCTTCTCATGCTCCCGGACCTATGATCAATCAGTAAGTCCTGTCGGTTCCACCTCCATGTTCTGGCAAATCCATGCCTTCCTCTGCTCCTTTTCTGGGTCACGCCTTCCTTGCAGCAATAGCCCTGGATCTGGTCCAGTTGCCTTCAGTCCGGCCTCCTCCAAAGCTGCCAGGGGACATTTCGTGTTCCCAAACAACTTATTTCTGACCAGGAGCCTCCCTTGCCTAAGAGCATCTCGGTTACCTTCACGTAGAGTAAACTTATGAGAAGAGGCTTTCGTTTTTTTTGAGACAGAGTCTCAGTCTGTCACCCAGTCTGGAGTGTGGTGGCATGATCTCGCCTCACTGCTACCTCCCTTTCCCAGGTTCAAGAGATTCTCATGCCTCAGTCTCCTGAGTAGCTGTGATTACAGGTGCCCGTCACCAAGCCTGAGCAATTTTTGTTTTTTTAGTAGAGACAGGGTTTCACCATGTTGGTCAGGCTGGTCTCCAACTCCTGACCTCAAGTGATCTGCCTGCCTCGGCCTCCCAAAGTGCTGGGATTACAGGCGTCAGCCACTGCACCCGGCTAAGAAGGAGCTTTTTGGAAGCCCCCAGATCTGGTCTCTGCCCACTTTTCCACCTCTAACTACAGATCCAGCCTGCCCAAGCAGGGTGACACCTAGCTCCCAGAACTCGAGGGCACACCCCGCTCACCCAGCTGTACTCTGCCAGGCATTCCTTTCCTCTTTCCCTCACCTACTTGGCAGACGAGCTTCTCTTCAAGTCCCAGCAAGTCTGTGTCTTTGTGGTGAAGCCACTTAATCCCCCACGTACTGATGGCTCTGGGCTCGTTTTTACAAGAATGAAATTTGCTTGTCATTTCCCTGACCCCTCGTGTAAATTCTTTGAAGGCATATATATATATATATATATATATATATATATATATATATATATAAAATTATTTTTTTTTAGGTAACTTTTGTCTTCTTAGAATGCTTGGCACTTGGCAAATATCAACATGTAAATATTCGTTGAGCAAATAAATGTTTGCTAAGGAAATGAGCTGTATCAGGGCTGGATTACCCAATAGAGTTTAGGGCCAGTAGCAAAACAGGGGAGACCCCCAAATTATTTAGAAATAATTTGATATTTAATAGTTGGATAAAAGCATTGAAGCATCATAATGAGAAAATGAGAATTTTGGAGGATGTCTTTACATTCCTTTCACTGCTTTGTTTGTTTGAGGCAGGGTCCCACTCTGTCACCCAGGATGGAGTACAGTGGTGTGATCGTGGTTCACTGCAGCCTCAACCTCCGAGGCTCAAGTGATCCTCCCGTCTCAGACTCCCAAGTAGCTGTGCACCACCATGCCAAACTGGTTTTTTATATTTTCTAGAGATGGGGTCTCACTATGTTGCTGGTCTCAAATCCCTGAGCTCCAGTGATCCTCTTGCTTCAGCCTCCCAAAGTGCTGGGATTACAGGAGTGAGACCCTGGGCGCAGCCAATTTTATATATATATGTATATATATACATATATATACACGTATTTATATATGTATATATACACATATATATACATATATACATATATACATGTATATATACATATATACACGTATATGTACATATATACGTATATATACACATATATACGTATATATATATGTTTGTTTGTTTTGTTTTGTTTTGTTTTGTTTTGTTTTGTTTTGTAGAGACGGCATTCACTATGTTGTCCAGGGTGGTAACTCCTGGACTCAAGTATTCTGCCGGCCTCGGGCTTCCAAAGTGCTGAGATTACAGGCATGAGCCACTGCACCTGGCCTCTTCTTGATTTATTTACCTTTATTTATTTGTATTTATTTATTTATTTTTAGATGGAGTTTTGCTCTTGTTGCCCAGGCTGAAGTGCCATGGTGTGATCTCGGCTCACTGCAACCTCTGCCTCCTGGGTTCAAGCGATTCTCCTGCCTCAGCCTCCCAAATAGCTGGGATTACAGGCATGCGCCACAAGGCCCAGCTAATTTTGTATTTTTAGTAGAGATGGGGATTCCCTATGTTGGTCAGGTTGGTCTGGAACTCCTGACCTCAGGTAATCCGCCCGCCTCTGCCTCCCAAATTGCTGGGATTACAGGCGTGATCACCGTGCCCAGCCTTTACCTTTATTTTTCAAGCTGAATTATACTATTGTTTTTTAAATAGCAGACTTTAAAAAGAGCAATTTTACAGAAACAGCAGGTTTACAGACAATTGAGCAGAAAGTCCAGGAAGTTCCCAGATATTACTTTCACCCCCCTTCCTTTAGTTTCCCCATTATTGACATCTTGCATTGGTGTGGCACACCTGTTAAAATTGATGAACCAAATTGATACATTATTATTAATTATAGGTAATCGTTTACATTAGGGTTCACTCTTGGTGTTGTACATTCTATGTTTTTCTTTTCTTCTTTTTTTTTTTTTTTTGAGATGGAGCGTCACTCTTGTTGCCCAGCCTGGAGTGCAATGGCGTGATCTCGCCTCACCGTAACCTCCACCTCCTGGGTTCAAGCTATTCTCCAGCCTCAGCCTCCCAAGTAGCTGGGATTACAGGCATGTGCCACCACGCCTGGCTAATCTTGTATTTTTAGTAGAGACGGGGTTTCACCATGTTGGCCAGGCTGGTCTCGAACTCCTGACCTCGGGTGATCCACCTGCCTCGTCCTCTGAAAGTGCTGGGATTACAGGCGTGAGCCACCATGCCCAGCTGATCCCTATTTTTCTAGGGGTGAACATCTGTGGGTAGGGTTTGGCTGACACATCTGCAGTGCCACTAAGAATGGCAAGTTTCTTTATTAGCTTCTCAGTATCAGCTCTGGCCTGAGATTCATGGTCTGGTCATTCAGACCAATGCTCCGAAGTCCCATAAAGAAGCAAAAACCAGGTTAGGTGTATTGGCTCTTGCCTGTAATCCCAGCACATTGGGAGGCTGAGGCAGGAAGCTCTCTTGAGCCCAGGAGTTGGAGACCAGCCTGGGCAACATAGTAAGACTCTGTCTCAATAAAAAAAAAAAGAAAAAATTAAAAAATTAGCTGGGTGTGGGCCGGGCACGGTGGCTCACGCCTGTAATCCTAGCACTTTGAGAGGCCGAGGTGGGTGGATCATCTGAGGTCAGGAGTTCGAGACCAGCCTGACCAACATGGAGAAACTCCATCTCTACTAAAAATACAAAAAAAAAAAAAAATTGCCAGGCCTTGGAGGGGCACCTGTAATCCCAGCTACTTGGAAGGCTGAAGCAGGAGAATCACTTGAACCCAGGAGACGGAGGTTGCGGTGAGCTGAGATTGCGCCATTGCACTCCAGCCTGGGCAACAAGAGCGAAACACCGTCTCAAAAAAAAAAAAAAATTAGCTGGGTGTGGTGGCACGTGCCTGTCATTTCAGCTACTCAGGAGGATGAGGCAGAAGGGTCTCTTGAACCTGGGAAACTGAGGCTGCAGTGAGCCAAGATTGCGCCACTGGACTCCAGTCTGGACAACAACAGAGACCCTGTCTCAAAAAGCAAAACAAAACAAACACAAAGCAGGCCGGGTGCGGTGGCTCACGCCTGTAATCCCAGCTACTCAGGAGGCTGAGGCAAGAGAATCACTTGAACCCGGGAGATGGAGGTTGCAGTGAGCCGAGATTGCGCCATTGCACTCCAGCCTGGGGAAAAAGAGTGAAACTCCGTCTCAAAACAAACAGACAAACAAACAAACAAACAAACAAACAAACAGCAAAAACAAGGCAGATGAGAACTGTTATGTAAAAGCCAAGGGCTCTGGTCTGTGAGCATCCCGTTTCCTGTCTTTGCATCCTGCAGATTAAAAAGGCCCTTCTGCTTCTCGTAAATCCCAAAGTCACATCACTCAACACAGTTGTCAGGTTGCGACTGGTTGAAATGCGGACAGGATTTAAGACTTTGAAAATAGACAGAGATGGACACATCAGAAAGAACAGAAAGACCCGGGGACATCCTGCATCTCTGCAGATTGAAGGTATCTCATGTGTATAAATTAATACAAATATATGACTTGCTCACACAGCCAGGGCTGGGACTCAACCCCTGGGACTGCTGGGAAACTTCTTTTTATTTTTTCTTTTTTTTTTGAGATGGAGTCTCGCTCTGTCGTCCAGGCTGGAGTGCAGTGATGCGATCTCGGCTCACTGCAAGCTCCGCCTCCCGGGTTCATGCCATTCTCCTGCCTCAGCCTCCTGAGTAGCTGGGACTACAGGCACCCGCCACCACGCCTGGCTAATTTTTTGTATTTTTAGTAGAGACAGGGTTTCACTGTGTTAGCCAGGATAGTCTCGAACTCCTGACCTCGTGATCCGCCCAACTTGGCCTCCCAAAGTGCTGGGATTACAGACGTGAGCCACTGTGCCTGGCCACTTTTTCTTTTTTTTGAGACAGAGTCTCGCCCTGTCGCCCAGGCTGGAGTGTAGTGGTGCAATCTTGGCTCACTGCAACCTCCACCTCCCAGGTTCAAGCAATTCTCCTGCCTCAGCCTCCTGTGTAGCTGGGATTAGAGGCCACCACACCTGGCTAATTTTTGTATTTTTAGTAGAGACAGGGTTTCACCATGTTGGACAGGCTGGTCTCGAACTCCTGACCTTAAGTGATCGGCCCACCTTAGCCCCGCAAAGTGCTGGGATTACAGACGTAAGCTACCGTGCTCTGCCAATTTCTGGGAAACTTCTGCAGTACAATATTGCCACCTGGAATTTAGTCCCTTAGTATGTGTCTCCCTTAGTATGTGTCTGCCAGGGCAGTTTCCACACTAGAGCGAAACAATTTATTTGTCCGTCTCCCCATTCCCACCCCCACCCCCAACTCCCACTTTAGGATACAAACTCTAGGGGCCAGGCATGGTGGCTTATTCCTGTAATCCCAGCACCTTGGCAGAATCACTCGAGCCCAGGAGTTTGAGACCATCCTGGACAATACAGCGAGACCCCATCTCTATAAAACATTTAAAAATTGGCCAGACATGGTGACACGCACTTGTAGTCGCAGCTACTTGGGAGGCTGAGATGGGACGAGGCTGCACTGAGTCAAGATTGCATTACTGCACTCCAGCCTAGGTGACAGAGCCAGCCCCCATCTTAAAAAAATTAACCAGGTGTTACGGTGTGTACCTGCAATCCCAGCTACTCAGGAGCCTGAGGCCAGAGGATTGCTTGAGTCCAGCAGTTGGAGGCTGCATTGAGCTGTGATCATGCTACTGCACCCATAAGGGCAGGAATTTTTTCTTTTCTTTTTAACTGAGGTGAAATTCACATTACATAAACTGTACAATTCAGGACATTCACAATGTCAAACAGTCATCACCTCTATCTAGCTCCAAAATGTTTTCATCACCCCAAAGAAGACCTCATACCCATTAAGCAGCCATTCTCCATTCTCCCCTCCACCTCCACTGGCAACCACCAATCTATTCTCTGTCTGTGGATTTGCCTATTCTGGACATTTCATATAAATGAAATCACCCAATTTGCGACTTTTTGTGTCTACCTTCTTTCACTTAGCATTAAAGCTTTTGTGGTTCATCTACATTATAGCATGTAGCAGCACTTTATTTATTTATTTATTTATTTTTGAGATGAAGTTTTGCTCTTGTTGCCCAGGCTAGAGTGCAATGGTGCGATCTCGGCTCACCACAACCTCTGCCTCCCGGGTTCAAGCAATTCTCCTGCCTCAGCCACCCAAGTAGCTGGGATTACAGGTGCACACCACCACATCTGGCTAATTTTTGTATTTTTAGTAGAGATGGAGTTTCTCCATGCTGGTCAGGCTGATCTCCAACTCCCTACCTCAGGTGATCTGCCTGCCTTGGCCTCCCAAAGTGCTGAGATTACAGGCATGAGCCATCATGCCTGGCCTCTTTTTTATGGCTGAATAATGTTCCGTTGCACAAATAACCCACATTTTGTTCATTTACTTATTTATTTTTTGAGACAGAGTCTTGCTCTGTTGCTAGGCTGGAGTGCAATGGTGCAATCTCGGCTCACTGAAACCTCTGCCTCACCAGTTCAAGTGATTCTCTTGCCTCAGCCTCCCAAGTAGCTGGGATTACAGGTGTGAGCCACCACACCTGGCTAATTTTTGTATTTTTAAAATTTATTTTATCTTTTTTCTTTTGAGACGGAGTTTCACTCTTGTTGCCCAGGCTGGAGTGCAATGGTGTGATCTCAGCTCACCGCAATCTCCGCCTCCTGGGTTCAGGTGATTCTCCTGCCTCAGCCTCCCAAGTAGCTGGGATTACAGACATGCACCACTACGCCTGGCTAATTTTGTATTTTTAGTAGAGACAGGGTTTCTCCATGTTGGTCAGGTTGGTTTTGAACTCCCGACCTCAGGCGATCCGCCTGTCTCAGCCTCCCAAAGTGCTGGGATTACAAGCGTGAGCCACTGCGCCCGGCCTAATTTTTGTATTTTTATTAGAGATGTGGTTTCGCCATGTTGGCCAGGCTGGTCTCCAACTCCTGATCTCAAATGGTCCTCCTGCCTTGGCCTCCCAAATTGCTGGGATTACAGGCGTGAGCCACTGCACCAGGCTCATTTTTCCATTCTCTTTTTTTTTGAGACAGAGTCTTGTTGCTCTGTCACCCAGGCTGGAGTGCAGTGGCATGATCTCGGCTCACTGCAACCTCCGCCTCCCGGGTTCAAGCAATTCTCCTGCCTCAGCCTCCCAAATAGCTGGAATTACAGGTGCATGCCACCATGCCTGACTAATTTATGTATTTTTTTAAGTAAAGGCGGAGTTTCACCATATTGGCCAGGTTGGTCTCGAACTCCTGACCTTGCGATCCACCCACCTTGATTCCCAAAGTGTTGGGATTACAGGCGTGAGCTACCGTGCCCGGCCATTCATTCATTCTTTGATGAACATTTGGATTGATGCTACCTCTTGGTGATTGTGAATATGATAGGGATTCTTGTTCACTCCTTTTCCAGTGCCTAGAACTATGCTAACCTGAAGAATGAAAGGGGGGCCAGGTGTTATTCATTTCTGTCTTCCCCAGAACACAATGAGACCAAAGGATGAAGTGGGCAGAAAGTCAACAGTCAACAGTAAAACCCAATGTGAGGGATGAAGGGAGGAAGGACCTGAATGGGAGAAAAGCTATTTTCTATCTTTTGTACATGAAAAAGTGAATCGCAATGGCTACAGAGACATATTTATATACCCAGATCTGAAAATGTTATTTGTCATCAGACCACAAAGGCAAAATGATGCATTGATATGTTGAGAGATTCACGGCAAATCACAACTGGGCAGAAATGACAGGGCGAGCACCAGGGAGAGAGGCATTGAAATCCAATTGCTTCCCTGCAAACGACTTCATTAAATTGTCCAGATTACTAGGAGCCTACTGCAAAAAAATGCAAAGGGCAAGTGGAGTAATTTCTTTTTGACTGTTGATGCAATTTGGAAGAAATTAAATAGCAATTAAGTTTGTTTACTTAGGAGGAGATAGAGTGTGAACACCCCGCGGGGGCCCCCCCTGTCAGCCTTTGGAAAATAAAACGGCTTTTGGTTCGGGATGGTTCCCTGGGGACCGCCCTGTTCCTTAGCGAGTTTGGCTACTTCGGCGCGCCCTCTGGTGGCCACGTGTGGAAGGTCTGGCAATTGTGCTTTGTTCCCCATCAGAGAAGGGGGTGGCTTCAGCCACAACAGTGTGGATCTGCAAATTAATTCACATTTAAACTGCAAAGCCTGACTCAGCATGTGCTACTTAGGGGTGCAGGAAGAGCTATATAGATGAAGTGATTTTTTAAATTAAAATTATAACATTAATTATGATTATGATTATGATTTTATTTTATTTTTTTGAGAAAGCGTTTCACTCTGTTGCCTAGGCTGGAATGCAGTGGCATGATCTCGGCTCACTGCAACATCCGCCTCTGGAGTACAAGCGATTCTCCTGTCTCAGCCTCCTGAGTAGCTGGGATTACAAGAACCCGCCACCACACCAGCTAATTTTTGTATTTTTGGTAGAGACAGGGTTTCGCCATGTTTGCCAGGCTGGTCTCGAACTCCTGGCCTCAAGTGATTCATCTGCCTTGGCCTCCCAATGTGTTGGGATTAGAGGCATGAGCCACAGCACCCGGCTACTCCAAAATATCTTTAAGACCCCACAGGAAGAAATAGAAGATAACCATCTTCTATTCATAAGAGTAGAATAGCCTCTATTCATGTTCATAAGAAACCTGATCCCATGAGCCAGTTGCCTCCCACCAGGTCCCACCTCCAACAGTGGGGATTACATTTCAACATGAGATTTGGGCAGGGCGTCCAAACCCTGTCAAGCAGCTTTATTCATAATTGCCAAAACTTGATATCAACCAACATGTCCTTTAGTAGGTGAAGGAGGTTTTACTTCTCATACCACGCCTGACACCAAATGAGAGGTTTTTTTTCCCTTTTGACATCAAATATGTGGTGTCTGTTTTTTTGAAACAGGGTCTTGCTCTGTCAACCAGGCTGGAGTGCAGTGACATAAATGCGGCCCACTGAAGCCTTGACCTCCCAGACTCAAATGATCCTCCCACCTCAGCCTCCTAAGTAGGTGGGACTACAGGTGTGCGTCACCATGTTTGGCTATTTTTGTTGTTGTTGTTGTTGTTGAGACAGAGTCTCGCTCTATTTCCCAGGCTAGTGTGCAATGATGTGATCTTGGCTCACTGCAACCTCTGCCCCCCAGGTTCAAGTGATTCTCCTGCCTCAGCCTCCTGAGCACCTGGGACTACAGGCATGCGCCACCATGCCTGGCTAATTTTTGTATTTTTAGTAGAGACAGGGTTTTACCATGTTGGCCAGGCTGGTCTCGAACTCCTGACTTCAGGTGATCTGCCCACCTCAGCCTCCTGAAGTGCTGGGATTACAGGCGTAAGCCACCGCTCCCAGTTGCTATTTTTTTTTTTGAGATGTAATCTTGCTCTGTCACCATGCTGGAGTACAGTGGCGTGATCTCAGCTCACTGCAACCTCCGTCTCCCGGGTTCAAGTGATTCTCCTGCCACAGCCTCCTGAGTAACTGGGACTAAAGGCGTGCACCACCCACACCCAGCTAATTTTTGTATTTTTAGTAGAGAGGGGGTTTCACCGTGTTGGCCAGGATGGTCTTCATCTCTTGACCTTGTGATCTGCCCGCCTTGGCCTCCCGAAGTGCTGGGATTACAGGTGTGAGCCACCTTGCCCGGCCTCCGGCCCTAATTTTAAAAAAATTCTTAGTAGAGATGAGATCTGGCCATGTTGCCCAGGTTGGTCTTGAACTCCTGAGCTCAGCCAATCCATCCATCTCAGCATCTCAAAGGGCTGGGATTATGGGCGTGAGCCACCGCATGCTGCCATTATGTGATGTTTTTTCTAACACCACCCCTCCAATGCTGACAACAGCTTCCCAAAACAAGCTTTCTGAGTCAGATAAGGAAGTTTCTGAGAGATCCTCCTAATGCTTCAGAAAAGAGCATCAGAAACACAGGGTTTAATACAATCATTCTTCGTTTATGAACGTTTGTGTTACTTGTTGAAGGAAGAGCCATAGCAGACAATGTTGGTTGGATCACCTGATATTATTCAGAACCTCATTCTAGAGTCTAGAAAACCAGATCTTCACTTTTCCAGACTTTCTTGCATCTCTGGATGGCCATAATGCCAACTTCTGCTGGTTTTGTCCTTAAACCTTTTTTATTGTCTTGAACAGGGATATGATGTTTGGAGATGTGGCAGCCATCTTGTAACCATGAGGACAAAAACTCTATATGCTATGAATGTCATTAGGGCTCAGAAAACAATACCCCAAAAATATGGTGCTTTGTCCTTTTTACTGATCTAAAGAAGCAGCCTCGAGGTCCCTCTGTGACCTTCACTCACCTCCTTGTCTTTCTGATCCTCTTTCCTGAAGCAACAGGAGGGACTCTGTCCTTATCTAAGAACACTTATCTCCAAAGAAATGCAATTGTCTAAGACACCTTCCCTAGGAATCTCATCAAGTAACCAGAAGAGACTGGGAGTCGTCACCACATCCAGACTTTTCATCTGTTCTTCTGAGGGCAGCTCTAAGGGATTACCTGGAGGACTTTTACCTGCATAATAAGCCAATATTTGTTCCTGTGCAGTTCCACCCCTCACCTGGTACATCAAACCTGTCTGTCTCATCCAGCTTGCAAAGAGAATCACTTTCAAAATAATATCTGTCTCCAGGTCCATACATCTCTCCTATGAAGAGAGTTTTTTTTTTTTTTTTTTTTGAGACAGAGTCTTGCTTTGTCATCCAGGCTGGAGTGCAGTGGCACAAACTCGGCTCACTGCAACCTCTGCCTCCTGGGTTCAAGTGAATCTCCTGCCTCCGCCTCCCGAGTAGCTGAGATTACAGGCATGCGCCACCATGACTGGCTAATTTTTGTATTTTTAGTAAAGACGGGGTTTTGCCATGTTGGCCAGGCTGATCTTGAACTCCTGATCTGCCCGCCTCAGCCTCCCAAAGTGCTGGGATTGCGGGCATGAGCCACCGTGCCCGGCCATGAAGAGAATATTTAATTTTCAACCACCTGGTCTCTCTTCGAGTCTCATGCTTTGTGTATGGCTCATGTGTTCATAGGCACATGAATAAATTGTGGATCCTTTTTTCTTCATTGATCTGCTTTTGTCAATTTATTATGGAGCAAATGGGCTCGCTTCCTGATGTGCACAGAAGCCAATAACTACAGCACTGGCTTTTGAAAAAATGAAAAAGGTTTTATTGCAAAATCAGCCAGCAAGGAGACAGGAGTCAGGCTCAAATCTGTCTCCTCTATTTGGGGCCTGGGGCAAGTTTTAATGGACCAGAGGGCAAAGGAAAGGATTTGAAAATGTCGGCTTGGCAGAGTCTGATTGGAGGACTTCAAATTTGACCATTTACGAGGCCGGGCGCGGTGGCTCACGCCTGTAATCCCAGCACTTTGGGAGGCCGAGACGGGTGGATCACGAGGTCAGGAGATCGAGACCATCCTGGCTAACGTGGTGAAGCCCTGTCTCTACTAAAAATACAAAAAATTAGCCAGGCGTGGTGGCGGGCACCTGTAGTCCCAGCTACTCGGGAGGCTGAGGCAGGAGAATGGCATGAACCCGGGAGGCGGAGCTTTCAGTGAGCCGAGATTGCGCCTCTGCACTCCAGCCTGGGCGACAGAGCAAGACCCCGTTTCCAAAAAAAAAAAATTTGACCATTTACAATAAGGTATGTTGAGGCAGATCCTAGCCCTGGATCTTTCAGGCCAAGGGACCCCTCACTTCTGAAATAGTCCAGCATTCAGGTTTTGATCATGTCTTCATCTTCTTGGATCTGAGGGGAAGAATGTTTTTTTCTGGATGTTATCAGAGGTCAAAGCTTTTGAGATGGAGTCTGACTCTGTCACCCAGACTGGAGTACAGTGGTGAGATCTCGGCTCACTGCAACCTCTGCCTCCCGGGTTCCAGCGATTCTCCTGCCTCAGCCTCCTGAGCAGCTGGGATTACAGGTGCCTGCCACCACGCCCGGCTAATTTTTGTATTTTTAGTAGAGATGGGGTTTCATCGTGTTAGCTAGGATGGTCTCGATCTCCTGACCTCATGTTCCGCCCACCTCTGCCTCCCAAAGTGCTGGGATTACAGACGTGAGCCACCGTGCCTGGCCTGGATATTCTCTTAATTGCAAACGAAAACATTCCTAATACAAGCTTCTTATAAGAATTTATTTATTTTATTTTTTTGAGATGAAGTCTTGCTCTTGTTGCCCAGGCTGGAGTGCAGTGGCATGATCTTAGCTTACTGCAACCTCTGCCTTGCAGGTTCAAGCAATTCTCCTGCCTCAGCCTCCTGAGTAGCTGGGACTACAGGCAGGCGCCACCACACCCGGCTAATTTTTGTATTTTTAGTAGAGACAGGGTTTCACCATACTGGCCAGGCAAGTCTTGAACTTCTGACTTTGTGATCCCCTCCGGCCTCCCAAAGTGCCAGGATTACAGGTGTGAGCCATCACACCCAGCCCTCTTAGAAGAATTTATACACATTATTATAATTACTTTTTTTTTTTTTTTTGCAATCACTGAACACTTTTTCCTAATGAGGAAGAAGAAAGAAACCTTTACTCAGAATCTATGCCACAGAACTTAGTACTTTGTTAGTTAGGGATTCTCTTGGGAGAAGATATCCCGGTAGGAGCAAGGCTTAGCACTCTACAGCAACTGCTTATTTATTTATTTATTTATTTATTTATTTATGGAGACAGGGTCTCATTCTGTCACCCAGGCTGGAGTGCAGTGACATGATCTCAGCTCACTGTAGCCTTCACCTCCCGGGTGCAAGCGATTCTCCTGCCTCAGCCTCTGGAGTAGCTGGAACTACAGGCACACACCACCATGCCCAGCTAATTTTCGTATGTTTAGTAGAGACGGGGTTTCTCTATGTTGGCAAGGCTGGTCTGGAACTCCTGACCTCAAGTGATCTGCCTGCCTTGGCCTCCCAAAGTGCTGGAATTTACAGGTGTGAGCCACCGCACCCGGTCTGAATGCTTTATTTTATTCTTTTATTTATTTATTTATTTATTTATTTATTTATTTATTTATTTATTTTTCCTTTGAGACGGAGTCTTGCTCTGTTGCCCAGGCTGGAGTGCAGTGGTGCGATCTTGGCTTACTGCAAGCTCTGCCTCCCAGGTTCACACCATTCTCCTGCCTCAGCCTCCCGAGTAAGCTGGGACTACAGGCACCCACCATCATGCCCAGCTAATTTTTTTGTATTTTTATTAGAGACAGGGTTTCACTGTGTTAGCCAGGATGGTCTCGATCTCCTGAGTTGGTGATCTGTCCTCCATGGCCTCCCAAAGTGCTGGGATTACAAGCGTGAGCCACCACGCCCAGCCACTTTATTCTTATAGACGTACTAGCACCCACACAGATGTCTTCTACTCATGCGGTAACATATATGGGAAAATTCTAGAATCCTCCACGAAAATGTCTCCCAAACATGATTAAAAATATGAACACTGGATGGTTGTGGTGGCTCATGCTTGTAATACAAGCATTTTGGGAGGTGGAGGCAGAAGGATTGATTGAACCCAGAAGCTTGAGACCAGCCTGGGCAACAAATTAAGACCCTGTGTATATAGAGTTTTTTATTTTTTATTTTTTTATTAGCCAAGTGTTGTGGTATGTACCTGTAGTCCCAGCTACTCAAGAGGCTGAGGTGGGAGGATCACTGGAATCCAGAAGGTTGAGGCTGCAGTGAGCTATGATCAGCACTGTACTCCAGCCTGGGTGACAGAGTGAGACCTTGTCTGAAAAAAACAATTTTGCAAAAATGTGGATGGTGCTACAGTTCATAACTAATTTAGGAATTGCTCCAAAAAGCACAGGAAGACAGAGAAAGAGACTGAACAACAATGAAATCTGTTAGCTTTGTCGCCTACTGCTGTTGCCAGTCATTTTCTGCTGCCTGTACTGGAAAGTAGAAAGCCAGGACACAGAGAAGGAATAAGAAGCCTCAGAGAGAGGCTGAAAAGAGATAAAAGGAGAGAGCCACCGTCCTCGGTTCCCTCTGGTCCTCAGCTCCCATCTCCTTCTAAACTCAGCTGCATCTCACCCAGTGTCTTTCCAGTGAATGCCCACTATCTCTTAAGCAAATCAGACTGGGTTATCATTACTGGCAAATAAAAGAGCTGTGGTCTTTACAGCAACATTTTAGCAATCAGCAGGTACCAGGACTTTAAGATAAGTAAGGGGATGTGTTGGTGTGGTCTTTACAGCAATCTTTTATCAATCAGCAGGTACCAGGACTTTAAGATGAGTAAGGGAATGTGTTGGAAGAGGAAGAAAACATTTTGCCAAAGGTTTTGTTTAGGCAAACCAGCCAAATGGGTTTAAAAAAAAAGAAAAGCAAACAAATTAATAGCAAACTTCAATGATCTGTGAAAATTCAGAGAAGCAAAAACATCGGCTAATTCTTTTACTATAAATGAACTAAAATGACGTGTATGCATCTGTTGATGCATGTGACATAATTTAAAAAATATATATTTGGTCTCTGTCCTTGGTTGCTGGCAGACAGCTCCTAAAACCCTTGTAATTTCCTGAGTGATGGGGTGATAAGAGCATCTTTTGCTATGTTTAGTCTTTTTTTTTTTTTTTTTTTTTTGTGATGGAGTCTCACTCTGTCGCCCAGGCTGGAGTGCAGTGGCACAATCTTGGCTTACTGCAACCTCCGCCTCCCAGGTTCAAGCGATTCTCCTGCCTTAGCCTCCTGAGTAGCTGGGATCACAGGCACCCACCGCCACGCCTGGCTAATTTTGGAATTAGTAGAGACAGGGTTTCACCATGTTGGCCAGGCTGGTCTTGAACTCCTGATGTCAGGTGATCCACCTGCCGGGCCTCCCAAAGTGCTGGGATTACAGGCATGAGCCACCATGCCCAGCCATGTTTAGTCTTAATCCCTGGTTCCTGACACAAGAACTTTTAAGACCCTTGGAATTTCCAGACTGATAAGTCTCTTTTTGTAAGTTTATGAGCTGACTGGTGGCTGTGGTCCTAGACAGTTTCAGGATGGTGGCTGGTTGTCAGAGAAACCCACAACATGATTAGAGGGTTGGAATTTTTAGCCTCACCCCGATCCCTGGAGAGGGGAGACAGGCTGGAAGTTGAGTTCAATTACCAATGGCCAGTGAATTTAACCAATCGTGCCTGCATAATGGAACCTCCATAAAAATCCTAAACAATTTGAAGAGCTCCTGGATTAGCGAGCACGCGGAGGTGCTGCGGAATGCCTAGAGAGGGCATGGAAGGTCCAAGCCCCTTCCCCATACCTTGGCCTATGCCTCTCTTCCTCCCGCTGTTCATTTGTACCTTTCATAACAAACCAGTAAATGTAATTCAAGTGCTTCCCTGAGTTCTGTGAGCTGTTTAAGGAAATTATCAAACCTGAAGAGAGGGTCATGGGAACCCCCAATTTGTAGCCGTGTCGGTCAGAAGCACTGGAGGTGTAGGCTTTGCAACTGGCATCTGAAATGAGGGCAGTCTTGTGGGACTGAGCCCTTTATCTGTGAAGTTTGACTCTACTCCAGGTAGATAGTGTCAGAATTGAATTGAATCGTAGGTCGCCCAGCTGGTGTCAGGAGAGTTGAAAGACTGGTTGGTGATATGGTTTGGATCTATGTCCCCACCCAAATCTCATGTCAAATTGCAATTCCCGGTGTTGGAGGTGGGGCCTGGTGGGAGGTGATTGGTTCATGGAGGTGGAGGCGGATTTCCCCCTTTGGTGCTGTTCTCATGATAGAGTTCTCAGGAGCTTGCTCTCTCTCTCTCTCTCTCTTTTTTTTCTTTAAGATGGAGTCTCACTCTGTCGCCCAGGCTGGAGTGCAGTGGCGTGATCTAGGCTCACTGCAACCTCTGCCTCCCAGGTTCAAGTGAGTCTCATGCCTCAGCCTCCTGAGTAGCTGGGATGGCAGACTTGCTAATTTTTGTATTTTTAATAGAGATGGGATTTCACCATGTTGACCAGGCTGGTCTTGAACTCCTGACCTCAGGCGATCTGCCCACCTTGGCCTCCCAAAGTGCTGGGATTACAGGCAGGAGCCACTGTGCTCATCCTGAGATCTGGTTGTTTAAAAGTGGGTGGTACCTCCACATTCTCTGCCTCTTCCTCCTGCTCCTGCCACGTGAGACATCTCATTCCCCTCTTGCCTTCTGCCTTGATTGTAAGTTTCCTGAGGCCTCCCCAGCCATGCTTCCTGTGCAATGTGCAGAATCATGAGCCAATGAAACCTCTTTTCTTTATTACCCAGTCTCAGGTATTTCTTTATAGCAAGGTGAGAATGGACTAATACAGTTGGTGTGAGGAAAAAACCCACACACACATTTGGTGTCAGAAGTGTTGTGAGAGGAACTGATCGTTTCCTTTGGTGTGTCCAGTGCCCTCTCCTTTGGTCCATTTTGCAATCCCACAATTTCTTTTCTTTTCTTTTTTTTTTTGGGCGGGGGGGAACAGAGTTTTGCTCTTGTCACCCAGGCTGGAGTGCAATGGCGTGATCTCGGCTCACTGCAACCTCTGCCTCCTGGGTTCAAGTGATTCTCCTGCCTCAGCCTCTCGAGTAGCTGGGACTATAGGCATGTGCCATCACGCCTGGCTAATTTTTTGTATTTTTCGTAGAGATAGGGTTTCACCGTGTTAGCCAGGATGGTCTCCATCTCCTGACCTCATCATCTGCCCACCTCGGCCTCCCAAAGTGCTGGGATTACAGGTGAGCCACCGAGCCTGGCAACAATCCCACAATTCTAAGTCTTACATAGCCACGGCTATGGCATTAACATTTATTTAGAAGTTTACATTTTGCAAAGCATTTCTGTTGTAGACAATGTGTGGAATGACAGTAGGTGGGGGTGGGAGGAAGGGAAAAAGATGCGGGGTGTCCGGGGTCCCAGTTTGTATCAGGACAACCTGCATTAAGGCCAAAGATGATGGGGCCAGGAATTTACTTTTTTTTTTTGAGACGGAGTCTTGCTCTGTCACCCAGGCTGGAGTGCAGTAGCATGATCTCGGCTCACTGCAACCTCTGCCTCCTGGGTTCCAGTGATTCTCCTGCCTCAGCCTCCCTGGTAGCTGGGATTACAGGCATGAACCACCATGCCAGGCTAATTTTCGTATTTTTAGTAGAGACAGGGTTTCGCCATGTTGGCCAGGCTGGTCTCAAGCTCCTGACCTCAAGTGATCCACCCACCTCAGCCTCCCAAAGTGCTGGGATTACAGGCATGAGCCACTGCGCCCGGCCCATTAATATAATTTCTTAAAAAAAAATATGAGTGAGAGTGGCCCATGACAAAGCCCTCAGGAGGTCTTGAGAACATGTGCCTAGACCTCCTTTTCTGAGAGGTTTGCTCTGAGTGCTGATGCACAAGACTTGGACGAGGCAGGGAAGTGGTCAGGAGGCTGACCTTGCCTTGGCAGGGGTGGTGGTGCTGGGTAAGATGAGCCGCTGGAGGGAATTAGCAAAGAGGAGAGATTCCACTTTCCCTCTGAGCCATGGTCCTTTTCTCTATAACATGGAGTTGAAGGTTCCTACTGATGTCTTAGAGAGGATGAAGGTAAATGAAGGGGCACGTGGTAAGCGTTTGGCTCAGAGTAAGTTCTCAGTAAGTGACAGTTGTTGTTGTTTTTCCCCCTAATAGTAAAAGGGAGCCCTCACCAAGCTTATAGTCTACTGTGAGAAACAGATAGAACAATTGGCCGGGCGCGGTGGCTCACAACTGTAATCCTAGCACTTTGGGAGGCTGAGGCGGGTGGATCACAAGGTCAGGAGTTCGAGACAAGCCTGGCCAATATGGTGGAACCCCCATCTCTACTAAAAAACATAAAAATTAGCCGGGCATGGTGGTGTGTGCCTGTAGTCCCAGCTACTCAGGAGGCTGAGGCAGGAGAATCGCTGGAACCCGGGAGGGAGAGGTTGCAGTGAGTTGAGATTGGTGCCACTGCACTCCAGCCTGGGTGACACAGCAAGACTCCGTCTCAAAAAAAAAAAAAAAGAAAAAAGAAAGAAAAAAAGAAACAGAACAAATGGTAAAAATAAAGTGCTAGGATTGAGAAAGGCCATAGGGGGTGCTGTGGCGACATTTCTGTCTCTCCTTGAAATAAAGCCACACATGCCGGGTGCGGTGGCTCACGCCTGTAATCCCAGCACTTTGGGAGGCCAAGGCGGGCGGATCACCAGGTCAGGAGATGGAGACCAACCTGGCTAACACATTGAAACCCCATCTCTACTAAAAATACAAAAAATTAGCCGGGTGTGGTGGTACACGCCTGTAGTCCCAGCTACTTGGGAGGCTGATGCAAGAGAATCGCTTGAACCCAGGAGACAGGGGTTGCAGTGAGCTGAGATCGCACCACTGCACTCCAGCCTGGGCGACAGAGCAAGACTCCGTCTCAAAAAATAAAATAAAATAAAATAAAATAAAAAAGAAAGCAACACGTGAATTGATAATTCTGCCCGTCTTTCTGTCCTACTCACCATCCTTCTGTCTGAATTTCTTTGTATCCATCTATCTGCCTTCTTCCTCTTCTATTCCTTCTAACAGGAGATTTTAGTGACTGTTGCTTCCTGAAGAACTATCCTAACTATCCTATTTCTATTCCTGTAAAATTGTCTCCTGGGAGCAGGGAGTCTCCTTTGGGAGGCTGGCTCATTCTTCTGCTCCTAGAAAAATAACCGAGGTCTCTCTGGCTCAGGATGCAGAGCCAAGCCAGGGCCAGGTGCCAGGTGCCAGGTGCAGCCAGCAGGAAGTGCTGGATCTTCTCTCTAGGGTCACTGCACAGTCACCACTCACCTCCATCCCATTCCATCTTCCATATGCAGAAAAACTGGGTTCCTTTCCAGATCTGCAGGCTGGGACTGCGGGCTGGGAGGTGGCCTCCAGTAAGGAAGGGAAGAGGGAGGAATTGTCTCTCAGTAGAAATAGTCATCATTTCCTGACACTTCCCCTGTGCCACAGGTTTAAAGATCATTTTTTAACATTTGAGTATGTATCAGTAATATGTCTATGGAGTAAAAAAAGGGGTAATTAGTAAAAATTCCCCTGCCCTTGTCCTGAGATGTATGCTGCATTTAGAAACAGATACATATATATTCTTGCTTTTTTAACCCAAATGGTGGCTTACCTGATACACTTGTTCATCTTGTTTTTTTTGTTTGTTTTGTTTTTGAGATGGTGTCTCGCTGTTGTTGGAGGGCAGTGTCATGAGCATAGCTCACTGAACCTTGAACTCCTGGGCTCAAGCAATCCTCCTGCCTTAGCCTCCTAAGTAGCCAGGACTACAGATGTGTGCCACCACACCTGGATAATTTTTATTTTTGTAGAGATAGGGATCTCACTACGTTGCCCAGGCTGGTCTTAAACTCCTAGACTCAAGTGACCCTCCTGCCTCAGCCTCCCAAAATGCTGGGGTTATAAGCATGAGCTACCATGCCCAGCCTCCACCTTGCTTTTTCACTTAATAATATACCTTCTATAAATATAATTTTTGATACATCTCCATGTAGAGCTATGTAATTGCTGGACGGATGTGTCAAAATTTATTTAACCCCTCTCCGATCAATAGAAATTTAGGCTGCCCCTAGGCAGTTGTTGTTGCCACAGCCCTGGGACCTAAGCTCTAGTCTTATATCCCCATTTTACAGATGAGAAAACAGGCTCAGAAAGTTTGTGGCACATGGTCCAGCTCACATAGGAAATAATCAGAAACCAGGTTCCCATCCAGTGACCTTACCCTTAACCACAATAAAAACAGCTTTTATCAGCTGGGCACGGTGGCTCATGCCTGTCATCCCAGCACTTTGGGAGGCCAAGATGGGCGAATCACTTGAGGTCGGTGGTTTGAGACCAGCCTGGCCAACATGGCGAAACACCATCTCTACTAAAAATACAAAAATTAGCCGGTATGGTGGCAGGTGCCTGTAATCCCAGCTACTCGGGAGGCTGAGGCAGGAGAATTGCTTGAACCTGGGAGGCAGAGGTTGCAGTGAGCCAAGACTGTGCCACTGCCGCCAGCCTGGGCAACAGAGTGAGACTCTGTCTCAAAATAAATAAATAAATAAAAAATAGCTTTTATTTTGAGCCAGGAAATTACTTACCCACACACATAATTTTCTGTTTTGGAATAGTTTTGGATCTACAGAAAACCTTTGAGGATAAGATAGTGAGTTTTCACATGGCCCACGCCCAGTTTCCCCTACTATTAACATCCTACATCAATATGGTACATTTCTCACAATTAATGAACCAAGAGTGATACATGACTATTAACTGAAGTCCCTACTTTATTAAGATTTCCATAGTTTTTAATGTGTTTTAACTTGTGTTCCAGGAACTGAGTAGCTCAGATTATAGGCGTGCACCACCACATTCAGATAATTTTTAAAATTTTTTGGAGAGATGGGGTCTCACTGTGTTGCTCAGGCTAGTCTCCAACTCCTGGGCTCAAGCCATCCTCCTACCTCAGCCTTCTAAAGTGCTGGGATTATAGGCATGAGCCACTGCGTCCAGCCTTTTTTTTTTTTGAGACGGAGTCTCACTCTGTTGCTCAGGCTGGAGTGCAGTGGCACAATCTCGGCTCACTGCAAGCTCCGCTTCCTGGGTTCAAGCAATTCTCTGCCTCAGCCTCCTGAGTAGCTGGGGTTACAGGTGCCCACCACCATACACAGCTAATTTTTTGTATTTTTTTTAGTAGAGACAGGGTTTCACCATCTTGGCCAGGCTGGTCTCGAACTCCTGACCTTGCGATCCACCTGCCTTGGCCTCCCAAAGTGCTGGGATTACAGGCATGAGCCACCACACCCAGTCTCCAGCCTCCTTTTTTTTTTTTTTTAAATGACCTTGACAGTTTTGAGGAATACTAATCAGGTATTCTGTAGAATGCCCCTCAGTTGAATTTGTCTGATATTTTTCTTATGACCACAGAGGTAAAGTGCCCTTCTCATCCCATCGTAGGAAGGGTGCACACCATCCTCATGGCTTAATGTTGATGTTAACTTATTTACTTATTTACTTTTTTTTTTTGAGATGGAGTCTTACTCTGTTGCCCAGGCTGGAGTGCAGTAGTGCAATCTCGACTCACTGCAACCTCCGCCTCCTGGGTTCAAGAGATTCTCCTGCCTCAGCCTCCCTAGTAGCTGGGATTACAGGCGCCCGCCACCATGCCCAGCTAATTTTTTTGTATTTTTGGTAGAGACAGGGTTTCGCCATGTTGGCCAGGCTGGTCTCGAACTCCTGACCTCAAGTGATCCACCTGCCTCGGCCTCCCAAAGTGCTGGGATTACAGGTGTGAGCCACTGATCCCGGATGATGTTAACTTTGATCATCTGTCTGAGACAGTGTTTGTCAGGTATTATCTAATATAAAACCCACCCTCACCCTCTTCCACCACCACTTCCATACTGCACTCTTTTGGAAGGATGTCGCTATGGGCAACTCACACTTAAGGAGTAGGGAGCTAAGCTCCCCATCCTTAAAGTATCTACGTAAATGATTTCAAAATCTGCACAGGAGATTTCTCTCCATTTTCCCCATTTATTTATATTTAGCAATTACTTTTCTTTTTCTTTTTTTTTCTGAGATGGAGTCTCCTTCTGTCGCCCAGGCTGGAGTGCAGTGGCGTGATCTCGGCTCACTGCAACCTCTGCCTCCTGGGTTCCAGCGATTCTCCTGCCTCAGCCTCCCTGGTAGCTGGGACTACAGGCATGCACTACCATGCCAGGCTAATTTTGTATTTTTAGTAGAGACAGGGTTTCACCGTGTTGGCCAGGATAGTCTCGAACTCCTGACCTCAGGTGATCCTCCCGCCTCGGCCTCTCAAAGTGGTGAGATTACAGGTGTGAGCCACTGCGCCTGGCAATTTTATGTTTTTAACCTGCACACGAACAGAGGTAGAGATGAAACGAGGATATAGTGCAAAACGTAAAAGACAAACACTGCACGTGGTTTTCTCTTCACTCGGCCCTCTAGCTCCCCACCCAGAGCTACCACAGGTAGCCAGTTTTTTGCACCCTCTAGGGAGATAGCTTAGGCATTTACAAGCATGTACAAATATATTTTTTGGTTTCCTTTTTGTTCCCAAATGGTAACTTACTAGATGCACTGATTTGGAGTCTTGGGGTTTTTTGCGTGTGGACTTTTTATTTTTTAATTTTAAAGATGGGGGTCTCACTGTGTTGGCCAGGTTGGTCTCAAACTTGTGAGTTCGTGCGGTCCTCCAGCCTCGGACTCCCAAAATGCGAGGATTACAGACGTGAGCCACCACTCCCAACCAGTTATTTTTGTTATTTATTTCTTTATTAGATCAGGTTTGATTTTAGATGCAGGGGGTCCATGTGCATGTTTGTTACATGGGTGTACCGGGTCCTGGTGGAGACTGGGCTCCCAGTGCGCCCAATCTATTGTTATTTTTTAAGCTCAGTGAGACATCAGGGAGGTCGCTGCTTGTCGCCACCGCTGGATGGAGCCTTGCCGGATCTCCCGGGCTCTGCAGCCCCTCTGCGGTCCCTGATGCTCGGCTCCTCGCGGGGGCGCCCCACTCCGGCTTCTGTGATGTCAGCGCCGGAACCTGGAATCCCGGCTCCGCGAGGGAAGGCCGGGGAGGCGGCGGCGGCGGCGGCGGCTGGAGAGGGTCCTCGGCAGCCTCTGAGGAGCGCGGGGCGCGGCCATGAGCGAGTCCAGCGGCAGTGCGCTCCAGCCCGGCAGGCCCAGCCGGCAGCCGGCGGTCCATCCAGGTAGGGCGGCAGGGAGCGCGCGCGGGGACGGTGCCCCTGGGGTCCGAGGGCGCACGGAGGGAGCCGGGTGCTGGAGGCTCGGCCTGGCCGCTGTTCCCTCCCACCCCCGACGCCGGGTGCTCCCGGCTCTGGGGAACAGCAGGTGGGAAGGAGATCTTCCTTATTCCTGCTCCCTCCACAAACGCGTCCTCATCCAATCCAGTGGAACCCAGCCGGGCCAAAAGGACACGAGAACTGCAGTCTGGACCGTGGTGGGTTTGTCTTCCAGCTGTTGACCGAGACAGTCTTTCAATAGCCTCATCTGCTGTTAAATGAAAGGATTTGAGCACCCCCTCCACGCCTAACATTCTGGTATGAGGTGCCTGCCTCCCGGACATTTCAGCCTTCACATACAGTTAGACCAACTTGAAACCGAATTCTGCCTTGTCTGTTTATTGCTGTGGGACCTTTGGTAAGTGGCTTGCCTTCTCTGAGCCTCAGATCCTTCAGCAGTAAAATGGGAATAGAATGGGGCGGGGATTAGCTGAGAATCGTGTGATGTGTCTAGCACAGTGCCTGGCATTGTGGCTAGACAGTCACAATAAATGGTAGCCAGCCAAGTATTATAATCTTTTGTATCGGGTAGAATTACAGTAAAGTATACAGCTCCATGAATTTCTACAGAAATATGTACAACGGCTGCCCAGTCAGGATAAAAAAGTTGCCAGCACTCAGGCAGGGTTCCTTGTAGCATTTGGAGCTTACGAATCTTGTCCTGAACAAAACACAAGACCCTGCTGTAAAGTTTTATCTGCAATGTTTTCTCTTTTTCAGTTTTAGAATAGAGATTTACTGAAACCAAGGATGTAGGGCCGGGCGTGGTGGCTCACGCCTGTAATCCCAGCACTTTGGGAGGCTGAGGCGGGTGGATCACGAGGTCAGGAGTTCAAGACCAGCCTGGCCAAGATGGTGAAACCCCATCTCTACTGAAGATACAAAAATTAGCCAGGAGTGGTGGTGGGTGCTTGTAATCCCAGCTACTTGGGAGGCTGAGGCAGAGAATAGCTTGAACCCGGGAGGCGGAGGTTGCAGTGAGCCGAGATTGCGCCACTGCACTCCAGCCTGGGCGACAGACCAAGACTGTTTCAAAAAAAAAAAAAGAAACCAAGGATATAGAATAAAACATGAGTGTAGATTTGGTCATTGAGGCCTTCAAATTGGATTGTTCCCAATGTCCAGAAGAAAAAAAAAATTTAGAAGAGACCCAAATCAGAAAACAAAAGTTGGGGTGGATTCAATGCGAATTATTTTCTAGCTCAATATTAATACTGCTTATGTCAGCTGAATTTCAGCCTTTCAATAACAGCTAGTCAAGTATTTTTTTAGTTGGTTCCTATTAATAGTCATCTTATTTTAGTGGAATCCATTATATTGAAGATGTCAAGTTCCTCATTTCCCATACAAAGAATGTGAGATTCATCTTTCTTGCATCTTTGCTAAGTGTATGAGGGGACTTTTGGCATCTTTTCAGGAGGACTATAATTGGGCCCTCTAACTAAAAAGTCTTCTATGCCCCTTAGATAGATGAGTTTTTTTTTTTTTTTTTTGATCTTGTACCCACCAACATTGGTGGGAGGCTCAGAAGGGACTGTGTTTGTAACTTTGTAGCACTTTCTAAACAGTGACCTGTTGTATGGGCATTATAGGACAGTCCGTGGGGTGGGGCGGGGGATGGGGGAGGCGACAAATGAGGTCTGGTTTAAAGAATGAGAAGTGTGACCAGGCATGGTGACTCATGCCTGTAATCCAGCACTTTGGGATGCTGAGGCAGGAGGATCACTTGAGCCCAGGAGTTTGAGGTTACAGTAAGCTATGATTATGACACTGGGCTCCAGCCTGGGTGACAGAACTAGACCCTGTCTCTAAAAAAAAAAGAAGAGGTATGTATCCTTCTAAATGATAAAACAGATCACTCCCCTGCTTACATAAAACTTTCCGGTGGCTGGCCAGGCACAGTGGCTCACACCTGTAATCCCAGCACTTTGGGAGGCCGTGGTGGGCAGATCACGAGGTCAGGAAATCGAGACCATCCTGGCTAACGTGGTGAAATCCTGTCTCTACTAAAAACACAAAAAATTAGCCAGGTGTGGTGGCATGCACCTGTAGTCCCAGCTACTCGGGAGGCTGAGGCAGGAGAATCGCTTGAACCCGGGAGGTGGAGGTTGCAGTGAGCCGAGATTGTGCCACTGCACTCCAGCCTGGGTGACAGAGACTCTGTCTGAAAAAAAAAAAAAAAAAAAGATGGGTATGGCGGCATGTGCCTGTAATCCCAGCTACTGGGGAGCCTGAGGCAGGAGAATCGCTTGAACCTGGGAGGCAGAGGTTACAGTGAGCCGAGGTTGCACCACTGCAGTCTGCCTGGGTGACAGAGCTAGACTCTGTCTCAAAAACAGAAAAACAACTTTCCGGTGGCTTCTCACTGCTCTGAGAATAAACTCCAGGCTCTTCCATCGCAACCAACAGGATCTGGTGATTCGACCCCAGCCCCTCTTTCCAGGCCCTCATCACCTTGATCCTCCCTTAACCTATCCTGCTCTAGCTGCACTGGCTGCCTTCCTATTCCTCCAGCATACCAAGATTGTTTCTGCCTCAGGGTCTTTGCATCTGCTGTTCTCTTCGCCTGGACTCCTCTTGGTTCTTTTTTTTTTTCTTTGAGATGGAGTCTTACTCTGTCGCCCAGGCTGAAGTGCAGTGGCGCGATCTCGGCTCACTGCAAGCTCCGTCTCCCGGGTTCATGCCATTCTCCTGCCTCAGCCTCCCGAGTAGCTGGGACTACAGGCATCCGCCACCACGCCTGGCTAATTTTTTTGTATTTTTAGTAGAGACAGGGTTTCACCGTCTTAGCCAGGATGGTCTCGATCTCCTGACCTCGTGATCCGCCCGCCTGGGCCTCCCAAAGTGCTGGGATTACAGGTGTGAGCCACCGTACCCGGCCATAGAGCAGCCTCTTCCTTTTCCTGTTGGGTCTCTACTCAAATGTCATGTCAGAGAGGCAGACCTCTGGGGCGGTCTATCTGAGGCAATGCACCCATCTCACTTCCTCTGACCAGTTAGTTACCTTGCTTATTCTTTCAAAGCTCTTACCACCACCTGAAGTCATCTATCTGGTTTGGTTATTTTCTTGTTTAGTAGCAGTCTTTATTTTATTATTATTATTTTTTGATGGAGTCTCACTCTGTTGCCCAGGCTGGAGTGCAGTAGCGCGATCTCGGCTCACCACAACCTCTGCCTCCCAGGTTCAAGCGATTCTCCTGCCTTAGCCTCCTGAGTAGCTGGGACTACAGGCACGTGCCACCATGCCCAGCTGATTTTTGTACTTTTAGTAGAAACGGGCTTTCACTATGTTGGCTGGTCTCGAACTCCTGACATCAAGTGATCCGCCCACCTCGGCCTCCCAAAGTACTGGGATTACAGGCATGAGCCACCACGCCAGGCTGGTAGCAGTCTTTCCTAGAATGTGGATGCCTTGGAAAACAGGGGCTTTGCCTTGTTTCCCTAGAACCTAGAATGGCATCTGGCACACAGCAGATGCTACATCTATTGTGAATGAATAAATGAATGAATGAAAGAAGTGTCCTTGCAGCCACACTGGCAGCCGTAACATAGTGGTTATAAAGCTAGACTCTGGAGTCTCAAGTGCAAATGTCATTGGCCTCTCCTCCAGCCTCCTCAAGGGACACTCAATGAAAGAACCTGGAAGGGCCTTGATATGACTGTGGTTGGACTGACCTGACTGCCAGATGGTGGGACTTGGTCTGGAGCAGGGACTACTTGGAACGGTAGAGGCAAAACTCAACAGCCCCTGGAGCTGCGCTTGTGGTGGAGCTGGACACTGATTTTAGCTGGACCTTGTTTTTAGAGACAGGGTTTCCTTCTGCAGTCTCAAACTCCTAGCCTTGATTGATCCTCCTGCCTTGGCCTCCCAAAGTGCTGGGACTACAGGTGCATGCAGCCACACCTGGTTAATTTTCTTTTCTTCTCTCTTTCTTTTTTTTTTTTTTTTTTGATGGAGTCTTGTTCTGTTGCCCAGGCTGGAGTGCAATGGTGCGATCTCAGCTCACTGCAACCTCTGCCTCCTGGGTTCAATCCATTCTCCTGCCTCAGCCTCCCAAGTAGCTGGGACTACAGGTGTGTGCCACCAGGCCTGGCTAATTTTTGTATTTTTGGTAGAGATGATACTTCACCATGTTGGCCAGGCTGGTCTCGAACTCCTGACCTCAGGTGATCCACCCACCTTGGCCTCCCAAAGTGCTGGGACTACAGGCGCATGCAACCACGTCTGGCTAATTTTTTTGAGTTTTAGTAGAGACTGGGTCTGGTTATGTTGTCCAGGCTGGTCCCAAACTCCTGAGTTCAATCGATCTTCCTGCCTTGGTCTCCCAAAGTGCTGGGCCTACAGGCGTGAGCCACCATACCCAGCCCAATTTTTGTATATTTTGTAGAGACAGAGTCTTGCTATGTTGCCAGGCTGGTCTCAAACTCCTGGGCTCAAGGGATCTTCTTGCCTTGGCCTCCTGGAGCACTTGATTACGGGCATGACTGCATGTGCCGTTGTGCCTATACTTTCTGGAGATACGTTGTTAGGAATTTATGTAGTTGGCCGGGCACAGTGCCTCACACCTGTAATCCCAGCACTCTGGGATGCCGAGGCTGGTGGATCACCTGAGGTCAGGAGTTCAAGACCAGCCTGGTCAACATGGTGAAACCCCGTCTCTACTAACAATACAAAAATTAGCTGAGTGTGGTGGCACATGCCTGTAGTCCCAGCTACTTGGGAAGCTGAGGCAGGAGAATGGCTTGATCCCGGGAGCAGAGGTTGCTTGCAGTGAGCCAAGATCATACCATTGCACTCCAGCCTGGGCAACAGAGTGAGACTCTGTCTCAAAAAAAAAAAAAAAAGGAATTTACATAGTTGAACAACTATTCTTTGGACGTCTTTCAGTCCAGTAGACGGTGTTAAACTTGAAGACAAATAACCATTTGACCTGTGATATTTGTTTTTCCCTCTTATCTTCTAAGCCCATTCGTCCAGGTCATTCATCACCTTTAAAGGCATCCCCAGAGGGAGGCAGGTCTGGACAGAGCTGAAGATTGCACAGGCCATTTGCAGGCTGGATTCGTTCTCTGGTGACCCACCCGTCTGACTCGAGTTATTTTTTCCCCATGTCTGGACAAGACTGACCTCTGCCCAGCAACTCAGGCCTGGATTTAGTCCAAGGGCCCTCAGTGGCTTTTTTTTGTTTGTTTTTTTCAGGAAGTGAAGAATTTAGAGGGATAAAAGGCGGAAATAACTTTTCGGCCTCTGACCTTTGTAACAATCTGGTTTCCTTTTAAAGGAGCATTGTTTGGGCCTGGGGCCACCTAGACCTTCTGATGCTCTGTCCCCACCCTTGGAGGAGGAGGAAGGGAAGAAAATGGGCCCTGAGCGATCACCACATACCAGGCCCTGGGGGTCTAGTGGCGAAGGAGGCAGGTAGGGTCTCTGCTTTCATGGAGCTTCTAGTCAAGCGAGACGCACTAAACGGTAAAGGGACAAATAGGATTACTGGAGGTAGCCCTAACTACTGGGACAGAAACAAGATGGTAAGATAGAGAAGGAAGAGTGGCCTGCTCAGGTGGGGTGGTCCAGAGGCCTCTCGGGGGGAGGCGACTCCTTTTTTTTATTTTTTTTGAGATGATATCTAGCTCTGTCGCCCAGCCTGAAGTGCAGTCGTGTGTTTCATGCGCGTCCATGTGAAGAGACCACCAAACAGGCTTTGTGTGAGCAACATGGCTGTTTATTTCACCTGGGTGCAGGCGGGCTGAGTCCGAAAAGAGAGTCAGCAAAGGGTGGTGGATTATCATTAGTTCTTATAGGTTTTGGGATAGGCGGTGAAGTTAAGAGCAATGTTTTGCAGGCAGGGGTGGATCTCACAAAGTACATTCTCAAGGGTGGGGAGAATTGCAAAGAACCTTCTTAAGGGTTGGGGAGATTACAAAGTACCTTCTTAAGGGTGGGGGAGATTACAAAGTACATTGATCAGTTAGGATGGGGCAGAAACAAATCACAATGGTGGAATGTCATCAGTTAAGGCTATTTTTACTTCTTTTGTGGATCTTCAGTTACTTCAGGCCATCTGGATATATACGTGCAAGTCACAGGGGATGCAATGGCCTGGCTTGGCTTGGGCTCAGAGGCCTGACAGTGTGATCTTGGCTCACTGCAAACTCTGCCTCCTGCGTTCAAGCAATTTTTGTGCCTCAGCTTCCCGAGTAGCTGGGATTACAGGTGCCCGCCACCATGCCCGGCTAATTTTTGTATTTTTAGTAGAGACAGGGTTTCACCAGATTGGCCAGGCTCGTCTCGAACTCCTGTCTCACGTGTCCGTGTGAAGAGACCACCAAACAGGCTTTGCGTGAGCAGCGTAGCTGTTTATTTCACCTGGGTGCAGGTGGGCTGAGTCCGAAAAAGGAGTCAGCAAAGGGTGGTGGGATTATCGTTGGTTCTTATAGGTTTTGGTATAGGCGGTGGAGTTAAGAGCAATGTTTTCGGGGCAGGAGGTGGATCTCACAAAGTACATTCTTAAGGGTGAGGAGAATTACAAATAAACTTCTTAAGGGTGGGGGAGATTATAAAGAACCTTCTTAAGAGTGGGGCAGATTACAAAGTACATTGATCAGTTAGGGTGGGGTAGAAACAGATCACAATGGTGGAATATCATCAGTTAAGGCTGTTTTCACTTCTGTGGATCTTCAGTTGCTTCAGGCCATCTGGATGTATACGTGCAGGTCACTGGGATATGATGGCTTAGCTTGGACTCAGAGGCCTGACATTCCTGTCTTCTTATGTTAATAAGAAAAATAAAACAAAATAGTGGTAAAGTGTCTGGGCAGTGAAAATTTTTGGGGGTGGTATGGAGAGATAATGGGTGATGTTTCTCAGGGCTGCTTCGAGCGGGACTAGGGGCAGCATGGGAACCTACAGTGGGAGAGATTCAGCTGAAGATTTTGGGGTAAGGGCTGATATTGTGGGGTTGTTAGAAGGAGCATTTGTCATATAGAATTATTGGTGATGGCCTGGATATGGTTTTGTATGAATTGAGAAACTAAACAGAAGACGCAAGGTCTGAATAAGAGAAAGAGAAAAACAGGTATTAAAGGACTAAGAATTGGGAGGACCCAGGACATCCAATTAAGAGAGTGCCCAAGGGGGTTCAGCATAGTTATTTGCTTGGTTGGCAAGTTTTTGGGCTCTATCCTTGAGTTTTTTTATGTTGTCATATACCAGGCCAGATTGATTTAGGTAAAAACAACACTCTGCATTTAAAAATATACAGAGTCCTCCTTTTTCAGCAATGAGTAAATTGAGGCCTCGGCGATTTTGGAGGAAAGAGAATTGCAAAGCCAGCAATTGTTTCTTTTTTATTTATTTATTTACTTATTTTTTTAAATTATACTTTAAGTTATAGGGTACATGTGCACAATGTGCAGGTTTGTTACATATGTATACATGTGCCATGTTGGTATGCTGCACCCATTAACTCATCATTTACATTAGGTGTATCTCCTAATGCTATCCCTCCCCCGTCCCCGCACCGCACAAGAGGCCCCGGTGTGTGATGTTCCCCTTTCTGTGTCCAAGTGTTCTCATTGTTCAATTCCCACCTATGAGTGAGAACATGCGGTGTTTGGTTTTTTGTCCTTGTTTGTTTGCTCAGATAGTTTGCTGAGAATGCTGGTTTCCAGCGTCATCCATGTTGCTACAAAGGACATGAACTCATCCTTTTTTGTGGCTGCATAGTATTCCATGGTGTATATGTGCCACATTTTCTTAATCCAGTCTATCATTGATAGACATTTGGGTTGGTTCTAAGTCTTTGCTATCGTGAATAGTGCCACGATAAACATACGTGTGCATGTGTCTTTATAGCAGCATGATTTATAATCCTTTGGGTATATACCCAGTAATGGGATGGCTGGGTCAAATGGTATTTCTAGTTCTAGATCCCTGAGGAATTGCCACACTGTCTTCCACAATGGTTGAACCAGTTTACAGTCCCACCAACAGTGTAAAAGTGTTCCTATTTCTCCACATCCTCTCCAGCGCCTGTTGTTTCCTGACTTTTTAATGATGGCCATTCTAACTGGTGTGAGATGGTATCTTATTGTGGTTTTGATTTGCATTTCTCTGATGGCCAGTGATGATGAGCATTTTTTCATGTGTCTGTTGGCTTCTTAAATGTCTTCTTTTGAGAAGTGTCTGTTCATATCCTTTGCCCACTTTTTGATGGGGTTGTTTGTTTTTTTCTTGTAAATTTGTTTGAGTTCTTTGTAGATTCCGGATATTAGCCTTTTGTCAGATAAGTAGATTTCAAAAATTTTCTCCCATTCTGTAGGTTGCCTGTTCACTCTGATGGTAGTTTCTTTTGCTGTGCAGAAGCTCTTTAGTTTAATTAGATCCCTTTTGTCAATTTTGGCTTCTGTTGCCATTGCTTTTGGTGTTTTAGACATGAAGTCCTTGCCCATGCCTATGTCCTGAATGGTATTGCCTAGGTTTTCTTCTAGGGTTTTTATGGTTTTAGGTCTAACAGTTAAGTCTTTAATCCATCTTGAATTAATTTTTGTAGAAGGTGTAAGGAAGGGATCCAGTTTCAGCTTTCTACATATGGCTAGCCAGTTTTCCCAGAACTATTTATTAAATAGGGAATCCTTTCCCCATTTCTTGTTATTGTTAGGTTTGTCAAAGATCAGATGGTTGTAGATGTGTGATATTATTTCTGAGGGCTCTGTTCTGTTCTATTGGTCTATATCTCTTTTTTGGTACCAGTACCATGCTGTTTTGGTTACTGTAGCCTTGTAGTATAGTTTGAAGTCAGGTAGCATGATGCCTCCAGCTTTGTTCTTTTGAAAGCCAGCAATTGTTTCTTAAAGAAGGATTAGAGATGGCTAGGAGAGAGTGAGTGAGATTGATAGTGTGGTGGAGATAGCTGGGGAGAGGTAGAGGGTGGCATAAGAATGGGAATGAGAACAAGAGTGAGTATAAAAGTAAAGAATAGGACTTCATCAGGGTGAAAGTGTTGGAGTGTGTCCTGTCAGCAAAGATCATCTATCCACTCCAAGAGGGAGTCAAGAGTGGAGGATTGGGGATAGATATTCACGATGGAAAGGAAATGAGAAGTTTTAAGAGGTGGGCTAACAGCTTGTAACCTACATGGAAGAAGTTATGAAATGATGACAGAATAGAATGGGCCTGTGAGGCTGGAAGGAGATATTTTCCTTGATCCAAGAACCATTTGCCTTGTGTGGGAAGAGATTGATAGGTGGAAACTTCAGTAGAAGAGTAAATAGGAGTGACCAATGAGAAGGAGAAAAACGGGCCATGAGGGACAGAAGTTGAAACGCTAGCTGCTTCTTTAACTACCTTATCAGCATAAGTGTTGCCCTGAGTGATGGGATCTGATGCCTTTTGATGGCCCTTGCAGTGAATGACTCCAGCTTCCTTTGGAAGTAAAGCAGCTTTGAGAAGTTTTTATTAGAGAGGCATTAATGATGGAGGACCCTTGCATAGTGAGGACATTCTTTCTGCCCATATAACAGCATGGTGGTGCAGGATATGGAAGGCATATTTAGAGTCAGTATAAATATTGACGTGTAGTCCCTTTGCAAGAGAGAGGGCCCGAGTTAAGGCAATGAGTTCAGCCTGCTGAGAAGTAGTGGAGGGGGGCAGAGTGGTAGCCTCAATGATAGATGTGGAAGATACTATAGCATAGCCTGCCTTTGCTGGTGAGTGGTGATTAGGCCTGGTGGAGCTGCCATCAATAAACCAAGTGTGATCAGGGTAAGGAACAGGAAAGAAAGAAATATGGGGAAATGAAGTGAATGTCGGGTGGATCAGAGAGATACAGTCATGGGGGTCAGGTGTGGTATCTGGAATAATGTGGGAGGCTGGATTGAAGTCCAGGCCAGGAACAATGGTAAGTGTGGGAGACTCAACAAAGACTGAGTATACCTGAAGGAGCTGGGGGGCAGAAAGTATATACTTCAAGTGTGAGGAGGAAAATAGATTTTGAAAGTTATGAGAACTGTAGAGAGTAAGTGGAGCATAGTTTGTGATTTTGAGGGCCTCTAAAAGTATTAAAGCAGCAGCAGCAGCCGCCACATGCAGACATGAGGGCTATGCGAAAACAGTAAGGTCAAGTTGTTTGGACAGAAAGGCTACAGGGCGCACTCCTGGCTCTTGTGTAAGAATACTGACTATCGTGCCACTGCACTCCAGCCTGGGTGACACGGCGAGACTCTTCTCAAAAAAAAAAAAAAGAATTCTGACCGCACAGCCCTGTACTTTGGCTGTGTGTAATGAAAAGGGTGGGGATGAGTTAGGGAGAGCTAGTGTGGGAACAGCTTTTAGGGCTGCTTCTTAAGGAATGGAAAGGGGAGTGGGGAAAGGAGTTAGGATTTATGGGGTCAGCTAGGTTTATCTAGAACAGAATGGGTTGTGGAGGGAGGTATTGAGGATAGGAGAGTATATGGGTTTGGCACCACGGGGTGGATAGGGAAGATAATTTGGTTGATAAGGCTCAGATCCTGAACTAACCTGTAAGACTTGTCCAGTTTTTGGACAGCTAAAATGGGGGAATTGTAAGGAGAGTTTATAGGCTTTAAAAGGCCATGCTGTAACAGGCAAGTGATAACAGGCTTTAATCCTTTTAAAGCGTGCTGTGAGATGGGATATTGGCATTGAGCGGGGTAAGGGTGATTAGGTTTTAATGGGATGGTAAGGGGTGCATGATCCGTTGCCAAGGCGGGAGTAGAGGTGTCCTATACTTGTGGATTAAGGTGGGGAGATACAAGGAAAGGATGTGAGGGAGGCTTTGAACTGGGGGAAAAGGCGGCAATGAGGTGTGGCTGTAGCCCAGGAATAGTCAGAGAAGCAGATAATTTAGTTAAAATGTCTCATCCTAATAAGAGCTGGGCAGGTGGGGATAAATAAAAGGAGTACATTAAAGAATGTTGTCCAAGTTGGCACCAGAGTTGGGGAGTTTTAAGAGGTTTAGCAGCCTGGCTGTCAATACCTACAACGGTTATGGAGGCAAGGGAAACTGGCCCTTGAAAAGAGGGTAATGTGGAGTGGGTAGCCTCCGTATTGATTAAGAAGGGGACAGACTTACCCTCCACTGTAAGAGTTACCCAAAGCGTCCGTGATGGTCCGGGAGGCTTCTGAGGTGATCAGGCAGCATCAGTCTTCAGCCACTAAGCTGAGAAGATCTGGGAAGGAATCAGTCAGCGAGCCTTGGGCCAGAGTTCCAGGGGCTCTGGGAGTGGCTGCCGGGCGAGTTGGACAGTCCAATTTCCAATGGGGTCCCACACAGATGGGACACGGCTTAGGAGGAATCCTGGGCTGCGGGCATTCCTTGGCCCAGTGGCCAGATTTCCAGCACTTAGAGCAAGATCCTGGGGGAGGCGGTCCTGGAGGAACGCCTGGCCGCTGCGGTTCAGACGTTTTGAAGTTCTTGTGTGCTAGAGATGTGGCTGGGGTTTCTCTCACAGTGGAGGCAAGTAATTGCAACTCAGAAATACGTTGCTACTTGGCTGCATCTACTCTATTATTGTACACCTTGAAAGCGAGGTTAATAAGGTCCTGTTATGGGGTTTGAGGGCCGGAATCTAATTTTTGGAGCTTTTTCCAATGTCAGGAGTGGACTGGGTAATAAAGTGCATATTGAGAATAAGACAGCCTTCCTCCTGGATCTAGGACAGTAAAGTGTCTAAGGGTTGTTGCCAAGCATGCCATGAACTGGGCTGGGTTTTTATATTTGATGAAAAAAAACCTAAATGCTAACTGATTTGGGAGTGGTCAGATAAAGAAACCTTGACTTGCCTTTAGCTCCAGCCACCTTTTTAAGAGGAAATTGTTGGGCAGGTAGGGGAGGGCTAGTTGCAGAACGAATCTGTAAGCCAGACTGGGTGTGAGGAGGGGAGGTGACAGATAGATCCTAGGGTTGGGGAGCAGCGGCTGAGGAAGAATTGGGACCTGGCTTGGCCTGGCGAGGAGCAGCCTGGGGAGAAGGGGAGAGGTCAGATGAGTCTGTAGAAAAGAAGGATTCAAAGGACTCAGAGCTTGGGGTGGTGACTGAGGGAACAGACAGGAGAAAGAAGAAAGATTTGGGACAAGTCGCATTGGGAGCAGAGACTAGGGAGGGAGCAATGTGTAAAAGAATGCCTGGATGTCAGGCACCTCAGACCATTTCCCATTTTTCAACAAAAATTATCTAGATCTTGTAGGAATTTGCCCATTTTTCGACAAAAACTATCTAGATCTTATAGGATAGACAGATCGAAAGTGCCATTCTCTGGCCACTTGGAACTACTGTCGAGTTTGTATTGGGGCCAAGCAGTATTGCAGAAGAAAATAAGGCATTTAAGTTTTAGGTCAGGTGCGAGTTGAAGAGGTTTTAAGTTCTTGAGAACACAGGCTAAGGGAGAAGAAGGGGGAATGGAGGGCGGAAGGTTGCCCATAGTGAAGGACGTTAGTTTAAAGAGAAAGGTGGAGACACAGAGAAGGGGGTGGAGAGCAGCCCTGGGCTGCAATGTGGGTGAGCAGCCAAAGCAGGCGTCTCCGCAATTGACTTGCCACCAAGGGAATGTGGGTGAATGACCAAGGCAGGCATCCCTGCGGTGATCAGACACCAATGAAATGTGGGTGAATAATCAGGCAGGTGTCCCCGCAGTGATTAAACATCAAGGGAAGGCTGTCTTCCCAAGTCCATGACTAGCGCCGGAGTTTTGGGTCCACGAATAAAATGTGTCTCTTTTGTCTCTATTAGAGAGGAAAAAGAACTGGAATTGGAATGACAGGGAGATTGAAGGGTAGCGAGAGAGGCCAGAGAAGAGTGAAAAGACTGCTTACCTGATTTGAAATTGGTGAGATGTTCCTTGGTCTGGTTGGTCTGAGGACCCGAGGTCATAGGTGGATCTCCTCACGGAGTGAGGGCGAGGACAGGGGACCGGTCTCCCGAAGGAGTCCTCCCGTCCTGGGTTTTGGCATCAAATGTCTCACATGTCTATGTGAAGAGAACACCAAACAGGCCATCTGGATGTATATGTGCAGGTCACTGGGGATACGATGGCTTAGCTTGGGCTCAGAGGCCTGACACTGACCTCAAGTGATCAGCCTGCCTTGGCCTCTCAAAGTGCTGGGATTACAGGTATGAGCCACCGTGCCTGGCCTTTTTATTTTTTGAGACAGGGTCTCACTCTGTCACCCAGACTGGAGTGCAGTGGTGTGATCTCGGCTCACTGCAACCTCTGACTCCTGGATTCAAGCGATTCTCCTGCCTTAGCCCCCCAAGTAGCTGGGATTACAGGCGCCCACCACCACACCCAGCTAATTTTTGTATTTTTAGTAGAGACAGGGTTTCGCCATGTTGGCCAGGCTGGTCTCCAACTCCTGACCTCAGGTGATCCAGCCACCTCTGGCCTCCAAAGTGCTGGGATTGAGCCACCGCACCCAGCCACCGCACCCGGCCTCAGGCACTGTTTTGAGCCAAGGATCTGCAAACAACTCCTGTGCCAAATCCAGCCTTTTTTTTTTTTTTTTTTGAGATGGAGTCTTGCTCTGTCGCCCAGGCTGGAGTGCAGTGGTACGATCTCGGCTCACTGCAAGCTCCGCCTCCCGGGTTCACACCATTCTCCTGCCTCAGCATCCCGAGTAGCTGGGACTACAGGCACCCACCACCATGCCCGGCTAATTTTTTTTTTGTATTTTAGTAGAGACGGGGTTTCACCATGTTAGCCAGGATGGTCTCGATCTGCTGATCTCGTGATCCGCCCGCCTCGGTCTCCCAAAATGCTGGGATTACAGGCGTGAGCCACCAAGCCTGGCCAACCTTTTTTTTTGTAATTCAACCTTTAGTAGAACACAGCCATGCTCATTCGTTTATGGATTATCTGTGGCTGCTTTCCTGCTACAAGGACAAAGCTGAGTAATTGCAAATAGTAAATTCCTACCTCTTTACAGAAAACGTTTGCTGACGTCTGTTCTAAGCACATTACATATGATTGCCATCTAATCCTCAGGACAGCTATAGGAGGTAGGAACCGCTGTCTACATTTTATAGGTGGGAAAACCAAGGCATGGAATGGTCAAGAAACTTGCCAGGTTATGCAGGCAGCAAGTGAGGCTGGTGTCCAAATCCAGGCAGGGTGGGTTGGGAAACTGTGCTCTTAACTGCCAGGCCTTGCCACCTTCTCGGACAGACAGAATTGCAGTAACTGCCCCACAGACCCCTGACCAGATGCTCCACGGGCATGAAAAGCAGGGGCTTGGCTGGACGCGGTGGCTCACGCCTGTAATCCCAGCACTTTGGGAGGCTGAGGCGGGTGGATCACGAGGTCAGGAGATCGAGACCATCCTGGCCAACATGGTGAAACCCCGTCTCTACTAAAAATACAAAAAATTAGCCGGGCGTGGTGGCGGGCACCCATAGTCCCAGCCACTTGGGAGGCTGAGGCAGGAGAATGGCGTGAACCCAGGAGGCGGAGCTTGCAGTGAGCTGAAATCAAGCCACTGCACTCCAGCCTGGGTGACAGAGTGAGACTCTGTCTCAAAAAAAAAAAAAGAAAAGCAGGGGCTTGAGGGCTTGAGTTCCAGGCCCAGCAGCAGCTCTTATGATGGAGTTAGTCACTGCTCCTGAAGGCTGTTTGCTCATCTGTTTGTAAAGCCTTAGACCCAGCCAGTCACCGGCCCCACCCAGGTGCCAGTTGACGTGAGTCATGCAGTTTCTCCTGACACTACTGTTACAAAGTCTAGCAGATCCGGGAGGCTACCAGGGCCTCTGGCTCCTCCCCTCTCAGACTAAGCTCTGGGCTGCTGTGATTGAGGCCCCTCTATGCTGTATTTATTTATTTTGAGACAGTGTCTCTCTCTGTCACCTAGGATGGAGTGCATTGCTTCCATCACAGCTCACTGCAGCCTCAACCTTCCAGGCTCGAGCGATCCTCCCACCTCAGCCAAAAAAATGTTTTATTTTTCTGTAGAGACAGGGTCTCACTATGGTGCCCAGGTTGGTCTTGAACTCCTGGGTTCAAGCAATCCTCCCGCCTCATCCTCTCAAAGTGTTGGGATTATAGGCATGAGCCACTGCATCCAGCCAGTCATATTTCAATTGCTTAATAGTCCCATGTGGCCAGTGGCCACTGTATTGGACAGTGCAGATATAGAACATGCCCTTCATTGCCGAAGCCCAACAAAGGGTAAGCCACCATGCCCGCACCCCTGACTTATTTTTCTCCATGCACTTATCAACATCTGAAATACATTGTTTTTACTTGTTTAATGTCTGTCTCCTCCAAATAGAATGTAAGTTTCGTAAAAGCAGGGAAATGGTGTGTGGTCTTCAAGGCTATGTTGTAGTCCTAGAACAGTGCTTGAGTGGTGATAGTTGCTCAGTAAATGTTTCTGAGTGACTGACTGGTGGGTGAATACATGAATAGATGGATGGGTGGGTGGTCTTTCCAGGAGCAGGGCAATGATCAGCCACTGGCTTTGGAGGGCTTCTTGCAATTGATTGACATGTCATAGCAGCTTCAACTAGAGTCTGGGGACGTTTTTTTGTTTTTGTTTTTGTTTTTTTTGAGATAGAGTCTCGCCCTGTTGCCCAGGCTGGAGTGCAGTGGCGCGATCTCGGCTCACTGCAAGCTCTGCCTCCCGAGTTCACGCCATTCTCCTGCCTCAGCCTCCAGAGTAGCTGGGACTACAGGTGCCCGCCACCACGCCCTGCTAATTATTTGTATTTTTAGTAGAGACGGGGTTTCACCATGTTAGCCAGGATGGTCTCGATCTCCTGACCTCGTGATCCACCCGCCTCAGCCTCCCAAAGTGCTGGGATTACAGGCGTGTAATCACGAAGGCTGCGAGCCACCACGCCGGGCAGAGTCCGGGCTTTATGAGTTCTTGGGTTAAGACCCTTTAGTAGCTGTAAACACAGATTATCTGGACACCCTCCCTCCACTTAACATCCAAAATAAAAACAATTCAGCCAGGCATGGTGGCTCACGCCTGTAATCCCAGCACTTTGGGAGGCTGAGGCAAGTGGATCATTTGAGGCCAAGAGTTCGAGGGCAGCCTGGCCAGCATGGTGAAATCTTGTCTCTACCAAAAATACAAAAAATTAGCCGGGCGTGGTGGTACACGCCTGTAATCCCAGCTACTTGGGAGGCTGAGGCAGGAGAATCGCTTGAACCCGGGAGGCAGAGGTTGCAGTGAGCTGAGATTGCGCCACTGCACCACTGCACTCCAGCCTGGGTGACAGAGCAAGACTCTGTCTCAAAAGCAAAAACAAAAAATAAAAACAATTCAAGTGAAAAGAAGTCCATAATGTTCTGAGATTGATATCTACATCGACTTATCGGTAATATCAAATTGTGTGTGCATGCATGACATTTTATCATTTCATGAGAAGAAAAAGCAAAGCACATTTCTAATAGGGCTGGTTTGTGTAGAGTACCTGAAATAGGAAGAATGTGATATATGGTCAACATCCCAGTCAATATTTTTTGCCAGCTTTTTTTACCCTGTAAATTATTTTTGTTCCAGGTACGGTGGCTCACCCCTGTAATTTCAATACTTTGGGAGGTGGAAGCAGGTGCATTGCTTGGGTCCAGGAGTTTGAGACCAGTCTGGGCAATATGGTAAAACCCCATCTCTACTAAAAATACAAAAAATTAACTGGGTGTGGTGGCACACACCTGTAGTCCCAGCTACTTGGGAGGCTGAGGCCAGAGGATTGCTTGAGCCTGGGAGGCAGAGTGAGTGGAAATGGCACCACTGCACTCTAGTGTGGGTGACAGAGTGAGATCCTGTCTCAAAAATAAAACACCAAACAAAACAACAAAATGTTTTGTATTGTGAAAAAAATACATCATTCATATAGAGAAGAATAATATTCAAGGGTTAAATTCCTAAAATCTTTTACTCATTTTTTTGACACCCTTTCTTTCCTGGTATGTAAAGTACTTTGGTTGGCGTGGTGGGTGATCTAACCTATCTTGTATCCTCAGCATCAAATTCATTCATTCCTGAATTATTCATTCATTCAACTTAGAAGGTATTTATTAAGCATCTGTCCTGTACCAGGCTCTGTGCTAGACCCTGGTAATTCAGCAGTGACAGAAAGAGATAAGGTCCCTGCCTTCATAGAAGTTATAGAGTCAGAGACAACACACAAGTAAAAAATTAAAAAGGACAGAGTAGGCTGAGTGTGGTGGTTCACACCTATAGTCCCAGCACTTTGGGAGGCTGAGGTGGGAGGATCACTTGAGCCCAGAAGTTCGAGACTAGCCTGGGCAACATAACGAGACCTCATCTCTATTAAAATATATGCATATTAACTGGGTGTAGTGGTGCACACCTGTGGTCCCAGCTACTCAGGAGCCTGAGGCGAGGAGTATTGCCTGAGCCTGGGAGATCAAGGCTGCAGTGAGCTATGATGGTACCACTGCACTCCAGCCTGGGCAACAGAGCAAAACCTTGTCTTAAACAAACAACACAAAAAGGATGGAGTAGTAACAGGGGTGAGTGAGTGCGGTGGAGTGGGTACTTAGGAGCTATGTGGTGTTTGAAGGAGTGAGCAAAAGCTCATCAAAGCACAGAGCAAGTCTTCATCTTCTCCAGAGTCCCAACCTCCAGTCTGGAGTCTGGCCCAGAGAGAGGATCCACGCAAGTTGTCAAACAGAACTAATTCCCATAGCAGCTGGTGAGAGGCCTGGATCCAGTGACCTACAAGGTCCCTTTTTACCCAGAGTTTCCATGATACTTTGTGTGGGAAACAAACCCCTGCTGTGAACTCAGCACCAAATACGGTTGGGCAAGTTTCTTGGCTAGAACGCGGGGGAAGCTGGTGGTGGTTTTAGTGCCATTTAGATCATACTTGGCTGGTGCCCACATCCTGGGAGGTTCATGCCTGTTGGTAGGATGTGGTGTCCTGTGGGAAAAGTTGCCAAGAAAGGACCTCAGGATGCTCACCAGATGTACCTGCCTCTGCCACTGCTCATTCATTCATTCATTCATTCTTCAGATGGAGGGCCGCTTTTTTTTTTTTTTTTTTTAAGATGGAGTTTTGCTGTTGTTGTCCAGACTGAAGTGTGATGGAGTGATCTCGGCTCACTGCAACCCCCGCCTCCTGGGTTCAAGTGATTCTCCTGCCTCAGCCTCCCAAGTAGTGGGATTACAGGCATGCATCACCACGCCCGGCTAATTTTGTATTTTTTTAGTAGAGACAGGGTTTCACCATGTTGGTCAGTCTGGTCTTGAACTCCTGACCTCAGGTAATCCACCCGCCTTGGCCTCCCAAAGTGCTGGGATTACAGGCGTGAGCCACAGTGCCCAGCCCGGATGGAGGGCCTTCTGTGAGCAAGACACCGCTTTTAAGCCTCAGAGAGACTTTGTCCTTAACCTGGAAGAATAGTATATGGCAGAAAAATTGGCTATGCCTGGCCCTGCTCCCTCATGTCTCCTGGAATTACCCAGTCATCCTCCTACCTAAGTAATAATCTCCTAATTGCTGAAATCTGGCCCCAGTGACCAAGAAGTTCTAGGCATTCTTAGAGGCACCCCAATATCTGAAATATGCTACCTGCTCCTGTGCAGATGGTCAACAGCAGCCCACGCTGACCACAGGACTACAGTGGCCATCCCAACAGCAAGGCTCTTGGCTGGACCAATTCAGTAGAATGTCTGACAATAACTGTAATGAGATGATCTTATTCTTTAAGGATGAGAAGGACATCAAGGCTCTAAGTGGTGAAATGACCTGTGGTAAAACCAGGAGTCTGTCTTGACACTCAAGTCTTGGGCAAGTCACCATGCCTGGGCCTCAGTTTCCCTGTTGGAAAGCCAGAGCAGGCCAAGGGTGGTGGCTTATGCCTGTAATCCCAGCCCTTTGGGAGGCTAAGGCGGGAGGATCACTTGAGCCCAGGAGTTTGAGACCAGCCTAGGCAACAAAGCAAGACCCCGTCTCTACTAAAAACTGAAAAAGAAAAAAATTATCCAGGTGTAGTGGTGTGCATCTGTAGTCCCAGCTATTTGGGAGGCTGAGGTGGGAGGATCGCTTGAGCCCAGGAATTCAGGTTACACTCCAGCCTGGGCAATAGAGCAAGACCCTATCTCAAAAAAAATAAAAAATACCAGGGCAACGGCCGCCCCTACTGGGAAGTGAGGAGCCCCTCTGCCCGGCCAGCCGCCCCGTCCGGGAGGGAGGTGGGGGGGGTCAGCCCCCCTGCCCGGCCAGCCGCCCCGTCCGGGAGGTGAGGGGCGCCTCTGCCCGGCCGCCCCTACTGGGAAGTGAGGAGCCCCTCTGCCCGGCCACCACCCCGTCTGGGAGGTGTGCCCAACAGCTCATTGAGAACGGGCCAGGATGACAATGGCGGCTTTGTGGAATAGAAAGGCGGGAAAGGTGGGGAAAAGATTGAGAAATCGGATGGTTGCTGTGTCTGTGTAGAAAGTAGAAGACATGGGAGACTTTTCATTTTGTTCTGCACTAAGAAAAATTCCTCTGCCTTGGGATCCTGTTGATCTGTGACCTTACCCCCAACCCTGTGCTCTCTGAAACATGTGCTGTGTCCACTCAGGGTTAAATGGATTAAGGGCGGTGCAAGATGTGCTTTGTTAAACAGATGCTTGAAGGCAGCATGCTCGTTAAGAGTCATCACCAATCCCTAATCTCAAGTAATCAGGGACACAAACACTGCGGAAGGCCGCAGGGTCCTCTGCCTAGGAAAACCAGAGACCTTTGTTCACTTGTTTATCTGCTGACCTTCCCTCCACTATTGTCCCATGACCCTGCCAAATCCCCCTCTGTGAGAAACACCCAAGAATTATCAATAAAAAAATAAATTTAAAAAAAAAAAAAAAAATACCAGGGCAAGTGAAGCCCTCTGTGCTTACCTCTGCAGGTTGGCGTGAGAAATGAGGTGACGTCATGCTGGGAAAAGTGTGTGTTATATGCAAACGAGGGGGTGGATCCTAGTTATAAAAATAATGATGCCTGTGTTCAAAGACATGGTCGTGACATTTTTTGTTTGAAGTTGAGGAACTTCCCTGGAGTGTCTAAAGAGGAAAAATCAGAACAGTTCTTCCTAGGAGGGGGTAGGTGGTGTATGAAAAACAGGATAATTACCTAGTTGATTTGTATGGAATTTTATTTTTATTTTTATTTATTTATTTGTATATATTTTTTGGGATGGAGTCTTGCTCTGTTGCCCAGGTTGGAGTGCAGTGGCGTGATCTCGGCTCACTGCAACCTCCGCCTCCTGGCTTCAAGCAATTCTCCTGCCTCAGCCTCCTGAGTAGCTGGGATTACAGGCACTTGCCACCATGCCTGGCTGATTTTTCTAGTTTTAATAGAGACGGGGTTTCACCATGTTGGCCAGGCTGGTCTTGAACTCATGACCTCAAGTGATCCACCTGCCTCAGCCTCCCAAAGTGCTGGGATTACAGGCGTGAGCCACCGTGCCCAGCTTATACGGTATTTTAACATTTACAAACACTTTTAAATCCATGGCCCCCTGAATTTTTTCATGGTGAAGACTACAGCTTTGGGGTCTGATAAACCTGTGATGGGTTCCTAGTTCCAACACTTACTGTGTGAGCAAGCAACACTTACTAATTGTCTGAGCCTCAGTTATTAATCTGTAACATGGAGATAATTCTTTTGTTTGTCTTTTGGGTTTTTTTTTTCTTGGAATTGGAGTCTTGTTATGTTGACCAAGCTGGTCTTGAATTCCTGGGCTCAAGCAATCCTCCTGCTTTAGCCTCCCAAAGTAGCTGAGACCACACCAGCACAATGGGGATAATTCTCTCTAAAGAGTAGTTCGGAGTATTAAGTGTGACGATGCATGTTAAATACTTTATTTTATTTATTTATTTATTTATTTATTTATTTATTTATTTATTTATTTTCTGAGACGGAGTCTCGCTCTGTCGCCCAGGCTGGAGTGCAATGGCAAAATCTTGGCTCACCACAAGCTCTGCCTCCTGGGTTCACGCCATTCTTCTGCTTCAGCCTCCCAAGTTAGCTGGGACTACAGGCACCCGCCACCATGCCCGGCTATTTTTTTGTATTTTTAGTAGAGATGGGGTTTCACCATGTTAGCAGGATGGTCTTGATCTCCTGACCTCGTGATCCACTCGCCTCGGCCTCCCAAAGTGCTGGGATTACAGGCGTGAGCCACCACGCCTGGCCCGCATGTTAAATACTTTAAATGGCCTGGTACAAGGTAGGCAAGTACTCAATAAATCTTAGCCAGTGTTGTTCATGTTGTTTGCAACTCCTTCCTCACCATCATGCTGATGAGGCCCATGGTATTAGATCCTCCATTCCCGAGATGAGAAAAATGTGACTCTGAGGCAGCTGTGGTCTCTCCTGGGGTGGCTTGGCTGGTGGGTGACAGGCCAGTATTTTAAACCAACCCAGGCTCCAGCCTGGGGCCCCTGACCCCACAGCTGTTGAATATTCAGTAGGTCCATGCTGTTCTATATTCAAAGACCTTTGTTTGTGGCTAATAATAGCTCTTTGTTTCTGCTTGCAGGAGGGTAGCCTCCATGCAGGGCTTAGACCCTTTTCCTTTTCAGGGACCACACCCACCCTACCCTCATATTGGCTCTAGGGAGCCACTGCCACTAATGGAAGTGTGTCATATCCTCAGGGTGTGCCAGGCAGGGAGGTAGAAGGGTGGGTGAGGCTCGTAGACTTGCACATGGTGATTGGCAGGGCCCCAGCCACGTGTCCATGTGTCATCTACAGTGGGACAGCTGCTCCATTGTGTCTGAACTTGCCTATCCGAGAAAGGCAAAGATTACAGTGTCAGAGCCAGGCCTTGACCGGTCCCCACCTGGCCCTGCCCCTGCCCATCCTCATCCGGTTGGTGCCTTTATGGAGCTCTGTGTGTGCCGAGCACTGCCTGGGACCTTCTACCCATGTGATCCCCTTTAATGTTCATAAACAGGCTGTGTAGCAAGTCCTGACCCCAGCCTTGCCCTTGCAGCCTCCAGGGTGACCTTTTTTTTTTTTTTTGGACGGAGTTTCGCTCTTGTTGCCCAGGCTGGAGTGCAATGGCACGATCTCGGCTCACTGCAACCTCCGCCTCCTGGGTTCAAGCGATCCTAAATAGCTGGGATTACAGGCACGCGCTAGCGTGCCCAGCTAATTTTGTATTTTTAGTAGAGACAGCGTTTCTCCATGTTGGTCAGGCTGGTCTTGGACTCCCAACCTCAGGTGATCCCCTTGCCTTGGCCTCCCAAAGTGCTGGAATTACAGGCGTGAGCCACCGTGCCCGGCCCAGGGTGACCTTTTAAAATGCAGTCAAAGCACAACATCCCAAGGTCCTGCCACAGTCTACAAAGCCTGACTTGGTTCGACCCCAGCCACCCCTCTGACTTTAACGTTTCCATTCTCCCTGTCCTAAATACCTATTGTTGCTCAACACACTGCTCCAAATGTGCTGGCTTAAGCCATGTTGTTATTTCTGCTGATTCTGTGCATCAGGGACGATGCAGGGCACGGGGGAGCCCGCTTGCACTGCTGCCTGGGATGTCTGCTGGCGCTGGAGCACCCAAGATGGCCTCATCATGGCGATGCCTGGTGAGGATGCCCCAGGGGTTTTTTTTGTTTTCTTTTGTTTTGCTTTTTTGAGACAAAGTCTTGCTCTGTCGCTTAGGCTGGAGTGTAGTGGTCCAATTTCGGCTCACTGCAACCTCTGCCTCCCAGGTTCAAGCTATTCTTCTACCTCAGCCTCCTGAGTAGCTGGGATTATAGGCGCGTGCCACCACGTGCAGCTAGTTTTTTTTTTTTTGTATTTTTAGTAGAGATGGGATTTCACCATGTTGGCCAGGCTGGTCTTGAACTCCCCACCTCAGGTGATCCGCCTGCCTCGGCCTCCCAAAATGCTGGGATTACAGGTGTGAGCCACCGTGCCTGGCTGTCCCAGGGGTTTGAAGACACGAGCCTGGGGCCTTGGTTCTTGCAGTCACCCAGGTTGTTGGTTCTTTTTGTAGGCTTAGGGGCTCTTCCTCTCCACCTCATTGTCCTAGGCAGTTGGACTTCCTACCAGGTAACCCTGGCCCGAGAACACAGAAGTGGCTACTGCAAGGCCCTCTTATGACTTTGGGCTGGAAATGGCAGAGCATTACTTCCATTGAGTCCTTTGGTTAAAGCAAGCACAGGTCCTGTGCAGATTCAAGGAGGGGACCACGCAGAGGGCCAGGCCAGTGTGGCTCATTGGAGGCCACCAACGAAACCGCCCACCAGGTTCTTGCTCATTAACTCTTCCTCCAACCTGTCACACACTCTTCTGCCGCTGGGCCTTTCCACTTATGGGTTCCCTCTGCCTGGGGTGCTTTTCCCCAAATATCCAGGGGTCTCACCCCTTCCCTTCATTCAGCCTTAGCTAAATGTCACCTTTAAAGAGAGACCGAGATCACGTGCCACTGCACTCCAGCCTGGGTGACAGAGCGAGACTCCGTCTCAAAAAAAAAAAAAATAAATAAATAAAATAAAGAGAGACAATACCTGACCCCACCTTATCAAAAACAGTTTACCCCTCTCATATCACCTCTGTCCCCTGACACCACTCTGTTCTTTTTTTTTTTTTTCATTACACTTATCACTTCCTGGCATAATATTTACTGCCTGTTTATTATTTGATATCCCTCTCCCTCATCTCAGAATATAACTGCCGCGTGAGTAGGGCACTTGCCTTGTTCACTGCAGTTCCCTTAGTTCCAGATATGACATATGGTAGATAGAGTTGTTGAATGAGTATTTGAGATGAGGAAACTGAGTCTTAGAAAGGTTAAGTAACTTTCACAAAGACATACAGCTAATAAGTGACAGAGTGGGGATCCAAACTCAAGCATTTGGCATTGATCATGAAGCTTTGCTGCATAGAAGCTTTGCTGCATAGGGGTAATTGCTTAGGTAATTATGGCTGCCTGCCCCCTCTTCTCCCTGAGTCCTGTCTGTCTCCACTCAGAGTGATCTTCCTGCAACTAAAATCTGATCAGGGATAAAACCCATCTTGAAGGTAGCTTCCCTCCCCTTCAGCAGAAAGCCCGCCTGCCTTAGCCTGCTGCCCAAGACACAGCAAAGCTTGGCTTCTAGCTCTGGCCTGATATAGAAACGATAAGGGTTTTGGAGTCAGCCCTGGCTTTGTCTGCAGTGCTCCCAATCACCAGCTCTCTAAATGCAAGCAAATTAGGAATGTCATTCATTCTGAGTGTCTGTGGTTAGCAGGGCGGTCAAGCTGGCTGAAGACTGGTCTGGAGCGGCCTCAGCTGGGGCAGTCATCCCACATAGTCTCATCTTCCAGCAGGCTAGCTCAGGCTTGTTCTGGCTGGGCTCCAGAGACAAGCAGAAGTCTGCAAGACCTCCTAAGGCTGGGCTTAGAACTGGCCCAGCATCACTTCTGCTGTGTTCTGTTGGTCCAAGCAGATCAGGAGGCCAGCCCAGATCCCATGAATATGTGTGAAGCTCTTAACACCATGCCTGACACACAGGAAATGCTATTATTATTGTTGCTGATGTTGTTGCCATGCATTTGCATGGTATACTTTATGCTTTTTAGAGTTTTATTGAATACATTACTATACCCTACACTGTGGGAGGAAGTTGGAGCAAATATTACCAGCCCCATTTGACAGATATTTAAAATATTTAAAACTTTGGGCAAGTTTAGATAACTTGCCCAAGGCCATGCTTTTAGCTAGTGTCTGTAGCCAAACACTGGAGATCAGATATTGTGCAATTTAAAGCATGTCTGCAAACACATCTGCAGAAAGCGAGCCCATCTGCAGATGATTTCATTGTCCTGAGCACCACTGTGGTAAATAAAATAAGATCAAAATGCTGTCGTCACTGACCCAGGCTAGTAACTATCTGCAAGGTTCAGTGATGATGTCCAAGATCCAAGTTTCCTGCTTGGCTTCCGAACTCACTGGAGTGAATGATGACTTTCTTTTCTTTTACATAGAGAACCTCTCTCTAGACTCCAGTTGCTTCTCTTCTCCACCTGTGAACTTCCTCCAAGAATTGCCAAGCTACCGGTCCATTGCACGTAGGAGAACGACTGTCCATTCCCGGGACAAGCAAAGCGGAACTTTGCTAAAGCCAACCGACTCTTACAGCTCCCAGCTGGAGGACAGAATCGCTGAAAACCTCAGCAGCCATTCTCTTCGAAATTATGCACTGAACATCTCTGAGAAGCGGAGACTAAGGTTTGTTCACTAGCCACCTGGAACCTGCATTGTGTATGTTATGGCCCAGAGGTATGTTTTGTGCGTGAAATGCATTTCCTGAAGAGCTCATATAATTAAAATTTTATTCCTTAGGGTAAGCTAAGCCTCTTTGACAAACATACCTGAATTTTCTTCTCCACTCCTACTGCTTCACTTGACTAGCCTTAAAAAAGAAAAAAAAAAAGACACCCAAACATACTCAACATGTTAGTTTCTTTCCAGGCCGGGCGCGGTGGCTCACGCCTGTAATCCCAGCACTTTGGGAGGCTGAGGCGGGTGGATCACCTGAGGTCAGGAGTTCGAGACCAGCCTGGCCAACATGGTGAAACCTCGTCTCTACTAGAAATACAAAAAATTAGCTGGGCATGGTGGCGGGTGCCTGTAGTCCCAGCTACTCTGGAGGCTGAGGCAGGGGAATGGCGTGAACCCGGGAGGCAGAGCTTGCAGTGAGCCGAGATTGCGCCACTGCACTCCAGCCTGGGGAACAGAGTGAGACTCCAGCTCAAAAAAAAAAAAAAAAAGAAGTTTCTTTCTTTCTTTCTTTTCTTTCTTTCTTTCCTTCCTTCCTTCATTCCTCCCTTCCTCCCTCCCTCCCTCCCTCCTTTCTTTCTTTTTCTTTCTTTCTTCTTCTTCCTTTCCTTTCCTTTCCTTTCCTTTTTCCTTTTTCCTTTCCCCTTCCCCCTTTCCCCTCTCTCCTCTCCCCTCCCCTCCCCTCCCCTCCTCTCCTCTCCTTTTGAGACACAGTTTCACTCTTGTTGCCCAGGCTGGAGTGCAATGGCATGATCTTGGCTCACGGCAACCTCCACCTCCTGGATTCAAGCGATTCTCCTGCCTCAGTCTCCCGAGTAGCTGGGATTACAGGCATGTGCCACCATGCCCAGCTAATTTTGTATTTGTAGTAGAGACAGGGTTTCACCATGTTGGCCAGGCTGGTCTCGACCTCCTGACCTCAGGTGATCCGCCCGCCTTGGCCTCCCAAAGTGCTGGGATTACAGGCATGAGCTACCGTGCCTGGCAGAAGTTTATTTCTTGCTAGCATAAAGTACTAGGTTCAGGTCAGTGGGGGACTTTGCAGCCATTCAGGGACCCAGGCTCTTTCCATCTTGTGGCTCTGCATACCCCTAAAGCCTCATTTTTGTCTGCAACCAAGCAGTACAAAAAGAAAGAGTTTGCAGTATGAGTATACCAGTCAGCTACGCAGCAGAATAAATCACCCCACAACGGAGTAGCCTAAAACAATAGTTTCTCAAGTCTACCAGTCAGCTGGACAAATCCTTCTAGTTTCAGTTGGGCTGAATCTTTATCCATAGTCGGCTGTGGTTGGGGAGGTGTCTCTGCTGATCTAGGCTGGGGATCAGCTGGCTGTAAGCTGGTCTGGGGTGGCTTCAGCTGGGATGATCACATGGTATCATCAGGATAGCTCGGGTTTGTTTGCATGGCAACAGCTGGAGCCCAAGAGAGGATCGGAAGCCTGCAGAACCTCTTGGGACTAGGCTTAAAACCAGCTCAGCTTCCCTCCTACTGCAGTCTGTGGTCTAACAAGATCACAGTCCAGATTCAATCGGTGGGAAAATATTCCTCCCGCTAATGAGAAGAGCTGTAAAGTCACATGGCCACGAGGCATTCACACATTCATTGAGTAATCGGGAGTTTTGGGAGTGGGTTAAGAGCCAAGTCTGAAAGGTGCACATATCACTTTTCTTTACATTTCTACCAGAGAGAATTTAGCCACATGGTCATACCTAACTGCCAGGAAGGCTGGGAAGTGTCTCCAGCTAGTGCCAGAGAAGGGGAGAATGGATTTGGGTGGTAGCTTGCCATCTCCCCCATTCTTGAAGAATTTAAAACATAATTTTCCGATTGACCTGGTGTAATGACAGAGGTGGTTATTTCTGCTTAACTCTCGAATTACTGCCCCCCACAGGGTCAGTAGCATAAATGCATTAGAAAGGTCAGGCAAAGTGGCTCATGCCTGTAATCACAGCAACTTGAGAGGCTGACGCAGGAGGATTGCTTGACAGCAGGAATTCTAGACCAGCCTGGACAGCATAGCAAGACCCTGTCTTTACAAAATAAATAAATAAATAAATAAATAAATAAATAAATAAATAAAATAATAATAATAGAAAAATTAGCTGGGTGTGGTGATGTGTGCCTATAGTCCCAGCTGCTCAGAAGGCTGAGGTAGGTGTATCACTCAAGCCCAGGGCTAGGAGGGCTGCAGTGAGCTATGATTCTGCCACTACCCTCCACCCTGGGTGACAGAGTAAGACCCTGTCTCTATGAAGAAAATAGCAAAACAAAATAACACATTGGATGATACACTGTACCTTGTAGGTTTGAGAATACATTATCTTTGGTTTTATTTTTAATTTGGGTGGTCTTGTATTCTCAAAAAATATTGAGACTTTATAAATGTATTTTAGCTGGCACAGTGGCTTACACCTGTAGTCCCAGCACTTTGGGAGGCTGAGGCAGGTGGATCACTTGAGCTCAGGAGTTCGCGACCAGCCTGGGCAATGTAGTGAAACCCTGTTTCTACTAAAATTACAAAATTTAGCTGGGCATGGTGGTGCACTCCTGTAGTCTCAGCTACTCAGGGAAGATCACCTGAGCCCAGGAGGTTGAGGCTGCAGCAAGCCAAGATGGCACCACTGCACTTCAGTCTGGGTGAAAAAGTGAGATGTTGTCTCAAAAAAAAAAAAAAAAAAAGTATTTTAGTGCTCCCTTTGGCAGCACATATACTAAAATTGGAGCGATACAGAGAAAATTAGCATGGCCTCTGAGCAAGAATGACACACAAATTCATGAAGTGTTCCATATATAAATTTATTTAAAAACCAAATAAATAAATAATGTATTTTATTTCCCACTCTTTCAGATTCACAGATTTTGAATTCTTATAAACTATTACTGCTCTATGCCAAACTCTGCCACACCTAAGAGAGAGACATATTTTCTTCCATCAAGGGACTTCCAGGCTCACTGGAAAAATGAAACTAACAGACTCTCATGAGCAGGGCCCATGTCTATCTGGTTTACCAGTGAATCCCTAGAAAGTGGCAAAGAAGGCTGGGTGCGGTGGCTCATGCCTGCAATCCCAGCATTTTGAGAGGCCAAGGCGGGTGGATCACCTGAGGTCAGGAGTTCGAGAACAGGCTGGCCAACATGGTGAAACCTCATCTCTACTAAAAATACAAAAATTAGCCAGGTGTGGTGGCGGTTGCCTGTTATCCCAGCTACTCGTGAGGCTGAGGCAGGAGAATCACTTGAACCCAGGAGGCGGAGGTTGCAGTGAGCCAAAATCGTGCCACTGCACTCCAGCCTGGGCGACAGAGTGAGATTCCATCTCAAAAAAAAAAAAAAAAAAAAAAAAAAAAAAGAAAGTGGCAAAGAAAAGGACACAGAAAGGAGAAAGGATCATTCTTTTTTTTTTGAGACGGGATCTCGGCTCACTGCAACCTCCCTGCCCCAGGTTCAAGCAATTCTCCTGCCTCAGCCTCCTGAGTAGCTGGGATTACAGGCACCCACCAGCATGCCTGGCTAATTTTGTAATTTTTAGTAGAGACAGGGTTTCACCACGTTGGTCAGGCTGGTTTTGAACTCCTGACCTCAGGTGATCCGCCTGCCTTGGCCTCCCAAAGTGCTGGGATTACAGGCTTAGCCACCGCACCGGGCCAGGAAGGACAATTCTAATTGCTAATAGTTGTTATTCTAAGCTCTTTATTTCCTTTAATCCCCACTCCACCCTCTGAGGCAAGGTTTTCAAATTATTATTATTATTTTATTTATTTATTTTTAGACGGAGTTTCGCTCTTGTTGCCCGGGCTGGAGTGCAATGGTGCGATCTCGGCTCACCACAACCTCTGCCTCCCGGGTTCAAGCGATTCTCCTGCCTCAGCCTCCCTAGTAGCTGGGATTACAGGTATGCACCACCACACCTGGCTAATTTTGTATTTTAGTAGAGACAGGGTTTCTCCATGTTGGTCAGGCTGGTCTCAAACTCCCGACCTCAGGTGATCCGCCTGCCTCGGCCTCCCAAAGTCCTGGGATTACAGGCATGAGCCACCGTGCCTGGCCTATTTTATTTATTTTTTTTGAGACGGAATCTCACTCTGTCACCCAGGCTGGAATGCAGTGGTGCCATCTCGCCTCACTGCAACCTCTGCCTCGCGGGTTTCAGCGACTGTCCCACTTCAGCCTCCTGAGTAGCTAGGATTACAGGCACCTGCCACCATGCCTGGCTAATTTTTTTTATTTTTGGTAGAGACGGGGTTTCACCATGTTGGTTAGGCTCGTCTGGAATTCCTAGCCTCAGGTGATCCATCTGCCTTGGCCTCCCAAAGTGCTGGGATTACAAGCATGAGCCACTGCGCCCGGCCGAGGGAGGGTTTTTTTAACCTTAGCACTCTTGCTTTTTTTTTTTTTTTTTTTTGAGATGGGGTCTCGCTCTATTGCCCAGGCTGGAGTGCACTGGCACCATCTTGGGTCACTGCAAGCTCTGCCTCCCAGGTTCACGCCATTCTTCTGCCTCAGCCTCCCAAGTAGCTGGGACTACAGGTGCCCGCCACCGCACCCAGCTAATTTTTTTGTATTTTTTATTTTGTTTTTAGTAGAGATGGGGTTTCACCGTGTTAGCCAGGATGGTCTTGATCTTCTGACCTTGTGATCTGCCTGCCTCGGCCTCCCAAAGTGCTGGGATTACAGGCGTGAGCCACCACACCTGGCCGCACTCTTGCTTATCGAGATTTGGGGCCAGATAGTTCTCTGTTGTGGAGGGCTGTCTGTGGATTGGAGGATGTTTAGCAACATCCCTGGCCTCTACCCACTAGATGCCAGAAGCATGTCCCCCTCCCCCAAGTTGTGACAATCAAAGATGTCCCCAGACCATTGCCTGATGTTCCTTGGGGGGTATGCAAAATCGCCCCCACTTGAGAACCACTGATCTAAGGGTAGGTACTTTACTAACTCCAAGTTACAGATAAGGAACCCAATGCACAGCACTGCGAGGCTCGTTTGGATGGAAGGTTCAAGTCCTTTTCTTTAATAGGAGCTCCCTGTCTGATGGAGGACAGACTGGTGGGAGGGTGGAGGCGTGTGCCGTGTGCCATATGCCATGGATGGCTGGCAAATTCCTCATGTTTCCTCTCTCGCCTTCAGGCCCCAGCACCTTCTCTTTCCCCTGCTCTCCTTACTCCCTGCTCCAACACCAACTTGGACTTGGGGCGCCTCCTCCAGGTTTCCAGAGCTCTGACCACATCCCCTTTTGTAGCACTTCCCCCAGGGAGCTGTCGTTGTTGGACGTCAGCCTGTTTGCCTTCCCTCCAGACTCAGGATCAGCTTTGTGGGCCGTGTAGTCTCTGTTGCAACTACTTAATTCTCCTGTTGCAGATGGTTCATAAATGAATTGGCATGGCTGTGTTCTAGGAATATTTATGGACACTGAAATTCGAATTTCATGTGATTTTCATGTGTCACAAAATATTATTTTTCTTTTGGCTTTTATTTTTATTATTTTTATTTAATTGTTTTTTTGTTTTTTTTTGATATGGAGTCTCGCTCTGTCACCCAGGCTGGAGTGCAATGGCAACATCTCGGCCCACTGCAACCTCCGCCTTCCGGGTTCAAGCGATTCTCCTGCCTCAGCCTCCCTAGTAGCTGGGATTACAGGTGCCTGCCACCATGCCCACCTAATTTTGGTATTTTCAGTAGAGACGGGGTTTCGCCATGTTGGTCAGGCTGGTCTTGAACTCCTGGCTTCATGTGATCTGCCTGCCTTGGCCTCCCAAAGTGATGGGATTACAAGTGTGAGCCACTGTGCCTGGCCTCCTTGTTTTTTTTTTTGTGACAGGGCCTTGCTCTGTCTCCCAGGATGGAGTGCAGTGGTGAGATCTCAGCTCACTGCAGCCTGATCCCCCAGGCTCAAGCAATCCTCCTGCCTCAGCCTCCCAAAGTTCAGAGATTACAGGCATGAGCCACTGTGCCTGGCCCGTCATTCCTTTCTGAGGTTGAATAATATCCTATTGTGTGGATAGACCACATTTAAAAAAATCCACTTATCTGTCAGTGGACATTTGGATTGTTTCTACCTTTTGATTATTAGCAACAATGCTGCTACGAACACTCAAGACAAGTTTTTTTTTTTTTTTTTGAGACCGAGTTTCACTCTTGTTGCCCAGACTGGCCAACATAGTGCAGTGGCATGATCTCGGCTCACTGCAAACTCCGCCTCCCGGGTTCAAGAAATTCTTCTGCCTCGGCCTCCCAAGTAGCTGGAATTACAGACGCCCACCACCATGCCTGGCTAATTTGTATTTTTAGTAGAGATGGAGTTTCACTATGTTGGCCAGGCTGGTCTCGAATTCCTGACCTCAGGTGATCCACCTGCCTCAGCCTCCCAAAGTGCTTGGATTACAGGCATGAGCCACCACGCCCAGCCTCATGACAAGTTTTTGTTTGAGAGCCCTGTTTTCAATTCTTTGTATGTACCTAGGAGTGGAACTACATGGCACATGGTTATTCTGTTTGACATTTTGACGGACTGCCAAACTTTTTTCCATAGCGGCGGCATTTTATATTCCTTGCAGCAATGTATGAGAGCTCACATATTTCTCTGTCCTTTCAGCTGGGATTTTATGAGATGCTGAGTCTTTCTTTTCTTTTCTTTCTTTTTTTTTGAGATGAAGTTTCACTCTTGTTGCCCAGGCTGGAGTGCAATGGCACCATCTCGGCTCACCGCAACCTCCGCCTCCCAGAGGTTCTTCTGCCTCAGCCTCGTGGAGTAGCTGGGATTACAGGCGCCCGCCACCACACCTGGCTAATTTTGTATTTTTAGTAGAGATGGTGTTTCACCATGTTGGCCAGGCTGGTCTTGAACTCCTGACCTCAGGTGATCCACCTGCCTCGGCCTCCCAGAGTGCTGGGATTACAGGCGTGAGCTACTGTGCCAGGCTGGGATGCTGAGTCTTGATGCTGCTGTTGTTGTCATTGTCATGATCATGTTTTCCATGCAGGGACATTCAAGAGACACAAATGAAGTATCTCTCCGAATGGGACCAGTGGAAGCGGTATAGCAGCAAGTCTTGGAAGAGGTTCCTAGAGAAGGCTCGAGAGATGACGACCCACCTGGAGCTGTGGCGGGAGGACATCCGCAGCATAGAAGGTATGCTGTCCTCACCTCTCTGCAGGCTCCTCCGCAGAAGTCTGTGTCTGGGGAGCAAGTACAGCTTCGTTTCCACTAGGGTCTAGCTGAAATTGAGCATTTCTTTCCATGATGAATGTGAGCAACAAACCACAGCAAGGTTTAGCAGAACCTGTGACTTTGTCACCAGGAAAAATCGTGGATATTTTCCTGTCCCTTCCAGTTGTTGTATTTATCTTGGAATACCGTTAATACCCATGAATACTTGGAAATTTCAGTCATTATTAGACTTCCCACTAGATCTTGTTATTTAATGTGCTAGTGAAGACCAGGCGCAGTGGCTCACTCCTGTAATCCCAGCAATTTGGGAGGCCAAGGTGGGTGAATCATGAGTTCAGGAGTTTGAGACCAGCCTGGACAACATGGTGAAATCCCGTCTCTACTAAAACTACAAAAAATTAGCTGGGCATGGTAGTGCATGCCTGTAATCCCAGCTATTTGGGAGGCTGAGGCATGAGAATCACTTGAACCTGGGAGGTGGACGTTGCAGTGAGCTGAGACCGCACTATTGCACTCCAGCCTGGGTAACAGAGTGAGACTCTGTCTCAAAAGAAGTGCCAGTAAAGGTGCTCATGATGCTCACATAGGTTATTCTATCACACATATTTTTAAAATAATATGATAACTGTATATCTTTTTATCTTATGCATTTAAATGAAATGCATGAATAGTATTATTTAAAAATAATATTAAATTATTTAATAATTTAATTTAAATTAAATGCATAAAATAGTATTATTTAAAAATAATATTAAATTATAATATTTTAATATTAGTAAACTATTATTTCATGCATTAAAATATTATGCATAAATATATTATTTTAAAATGTTATACTTTTAATTTCAATGCATAAAATAAAAACAGACATACAGTTATCATATTATTAAAAACATTATCCCAGCCAGGTGGTGGTTCATGCCTGTAATCCTAGCATTTTGGGAGACTGAGGCAGGAAGAGCATCTGAGCCCAGGAGTTTGAGACCAGCCTGGGTAACAAAGTTTAAGACCTTGCCTCTTCAAAAAACAGTTTTTTTTTTTTTTTTTTTTGAGACTGAATCTTGCTCTATCACCCAGGCTGGAGTGCAGTGGTGCAATCTCGGCTCACTGCAGGCTCCGCCCCCCGGGGTTCACGCCAGTCTCCTGCCTCAGCCTCCCGAGTAGCTGGGACTACAGGTGCCCGCCACCTCGCCTGGCTAATTTTTTGTATTTTTAGTAGAGACGGGGTTTCACCGTGTTAGCCAGGATGGTCTTGATCTCCTGACCTCGTCATCCGCCCTTCTCGGCCTCCCAAAGTGCTGGGATTACAGGCGTGAGCCACCACGCCTGGCTCCAAAAAAAGCTTTAAAAATTAGCTGGATGTGGTGCTATATGCCCATAGTCCCAGCTTCTGGGGAAGCTTAGGCAGGAGGATCACCTGAGCCCAGGAGTTTGAGGCTGCAGTAAGCTATGATTGTGCTATTGCACTCCAGCCTGGGTAACAGAGCCAGACCCTGTCTCAAAACAAAAACATAAATAAACAAACAGAAAGCCTTATTATCCTGAGTCGAGGTTCATCACTTTTACCAAACTGCAAAGAGTTCCTGTGGCCCTGAAAATACTGTGAACCCCTACTTTCCTATAATGGTGAGAATTTGGGATTAAAATATTGTTATTAGTTGGCTTGGGCTGCCATAACAAAATACCGCAGACTGGATGGCTTAAAAAACAGAAACTTTTTTTTCTCATAGTTTTGGAGGCTCGAACAGGCCTTCTTGCTGTGTTCACGTAACCTTTGCTTTGAGTGTGCTCTGAGAAAGAGTGCAAACTCTCTGGTGTCTCTTTTTATAAGGACACTAATCCCATCATGGGACACCACTCTCAAGACCTCATTGAAACCTAATCACCTCCCAAAGGCTCATCTCCAAATACCATGACACTGGGTGTTAGGGCTTCACCATACGAATTTGAGGGTGGGGACACAATTCAGTCCATAGCAAGTATGCAAAAATGGGAAGTTGTGCCAAAATACAAAATTAGCCAGGCACAGTGGCTCATGCCCCCATCCTAGTGCTTTGGGAGGCTGAGGCAGGAGGATCACTTGAGCTCAGGAGTTTGTGACCAGCCTGGGTAACATAGTAAGATCCTGTCTCTATTTAATCTAAAAATAAAAATGAAAATAAAAAAAAACCAAAATACAAAATTAGAAACATTAAACATTTTTTTGATTATCTATTTTATTTTATTTTTTGAGACAAAGTTTCGCTCTTGTTGCCCAGGCCGGAGGGCAATGGTGCAGTCTTGGCTCACTGCAACCTCCGCCTCACAAGTTCAAGTGATTCCCCTGCTTCAGCCTCCCACGTAGCTGAGACTACAGGCACGTGCCACCAGGCCGGCTAATTTTTGTATTTTTAGTAGAGACAGGGTTTCACCATGTTGGACAGGCTGGTCTTGAATTCCTGACCTCAGGTGATCTGGCTGCCTTGGCCTCCCAAAATGCTGGGATTACAGGCGTGAGCCACCACGCCCGGCCAGGATTATCTATTTTACAGCAAAACATTTTTCAAACATCTCCCCAAAACTGCTAAAATGGAAACTTTGTGAGGTTTGTAAGGAATGTAGTAGGATAAACAAAGGAAATGATTGTCTCCATTATTACTATTTTAAGACCTATAAAATACAATTGGCAATCTATCCAATGAGCTACCTTTTTATTGTTGTTTTATTTGGAGAATATAACATATTTCTAAAAGGCTTCTTGGCTCACTTAAGACTTTAACCATGCACTCATACTTTTTCTCTTGAGATTTAAGTTTAACATTATGTTTGGAGCAAAATAATAAAAGCTAACTGTTACTGAACATTTACTATAAACCAGGCATTGTGTTAAGCACTTCACTCATTACCTCAGTTAATCTTCAAAGGAAACTTTCATTTAGGTACTTGTCATTTGCATGGCTCAGAGAGTTTGAGATCTTGTCCAGGTTCACTCAGACAGGGTGAGGCAGAAGCAGGGTTTGAACCCAGGCATTCAAGATGTAGAGTCCAAGGTTTTAGCCACTATGTCTAGCTTCCTCTCTTGTGAAGTGGTAGGCTTTCTTCAGATTTTCATTCAGAAAGTGGCTTGTGTGGTAGACGGTAGGTTCTCCCTGGGAACCGGGATTTTGATTTTCTCTGCAGTTACTCTACCCCTGTGATTTCTTGGCTGGGTAGGTGCTCATCTGACATGAAGTGCAGGTGTGATAATTAAATTTCTTGCCTCTGGCAGATTGCTAAGTATTAGACAGTGGCAAAAAACTGTGGGTATCTTATATCTTCGGTCTCCAGTAATAAGTTCTTTGCCCCTACCAAGAACAAGAAGCCATCCTTGCTCTTCAGAATGCTTTCTATCCTCAGCAATTTAATCATTATCTAGCGGAAGGTTGGTTTTCTATTTGCAAATCAATCGATGTAATTCACCACAAAACAGAATAAAAGAAAAAAAATATGATCATCCCAACAGATGCAGAAAAAGCTCTGATAAACTTCAGTTCTCATTTTTAGCAAATAAGAAGTAGATAAGACCTTTCTTAATTTTGATTTTAAAAACCTATAAACATTATACAGCAAACAACATACTTAATGATGAAATATTGAAAGCTCTTTCCTTGAGATTGAGAATGAGAAAAAGGTGCCGATTATCACAGATTCTATTCAAAATCATCCTGGAAGTTCTAGCCAATGTAGTAGGATGGGCGGGGGGAAGGATAATAATTGGAAAGGAAGAAATAAAATGTCATTTTTTTTTGCAGATGACAATGATATGCATGTAGATAATTAAAAAGAACTATTAATGTTAATGTAACAAGGTTTATTGTTAATGTTAGTGTCTCTATATAAAATGAATTGTATTTCCATGTACCAACAACAAACATTTAGAAAGTGAAATTTTTTAAATGATACAATTTACAATAGTATCAAAAATGTCAGGGCTGGGCGTGGTGGCTCACGCCTATAATCCCAGCACTTTGGGAGGCTGAGGCAGGTGGATCACCTGAGGTCAGGAGTTCGAGACCAGCTTGGCCAACATGGTGAAACCTCATCTGTACTAAAAACATAAAAATTAGCTGGGCGTGGTGGCTCAGCCTCGGGAGGCTAAGGCGTGAGAATTCCTTGAACCCAGGAGGCAGAGGTTGCAGTGAGCTGAGATCACGCCACTGCACTCCACCCTGGGCAACAGAGTGAGACATGGTGTCAAAAATAAATAAATAAATAAATAAATAAATAAATAAATAAAAGCCAGATATCTAGGAATATATCTAAAGAATCATATGCAATAATTATGCACAGAAAACTATAATAGTATTATTGAGAAAAACTAAGGAAGACCTAAATATACCATGTTGATGGATCAGAAGACTTAATATTATAAATATGTCACTTCTCCTCAAATTGACCTGTATATTTTATGTAATCCCAATCAGAATCTTAGCAGATTGCACGTGAAAATTAAAACACTAATTCTAACATTTGTACATAAATGCAAAAGACCAAAGATATCTAAGACAATCTTGAGGAGTAACAAAGCTTAAAGATACCATGTGACAAGTCTTACAAATCTGCAGTAATTAAGACAGTCTAGCATTGGTGTAAGGATAGACATGTAGACCCATGGAACAGGATAGAGTTTAGAAACAGATTCATACATATATGTTCAGGTGATTATTTCCAAAAAAGGCAGCCAATAAATGGTGCTGAGTCAACTAGAGATTCATATAAGGAAAAGATAAATATTGAGCCCTCCCTCATACGATTCTCAAGTGATTAATTCAAGATTGATTGTAGATCTACAGGTGAAAAGTGAAAACACTAGAAGATCGAGTCTTAAAGCTAACAATTGAGAAAAAAATAAAACGTTTCTTCCTCCTTCCAGCTACTGATTCCTCCAGCTTCAGCTTTTGTGGCTGATTGAATCTATGATGTGTAGTGTATCAATATCCCTGGTCAGTGATGTCCGGGTTTGTTTTTTCCAGGGAAATTTGGCACTGGGATTCAGTCCTATTTCTCCTTCTTGAGATTCCTGGTGTTGCTGAATTTGGTGATATTTCTGATCATCTTTATGCTGGTTTTGCTCCCAGTCTTACTCACGAAATACAAGATCACCAACAGCAGCTTCGTGCTCATTCCTTTCAAAGACATGGGTGAGTGTAAGGCCTGGTTTACTACGAAGTGTGTTTGTTTTTCACCATGTACCTTGCTACAATGCTTCCTTTGCTAAGAATCTTTATTCTAATTCTTGGGCGACTGTATTAGTCAGGATGGTCTAGGTTATGCTGCAGAAACAAGTGACCCCATAATGCTCATGCTGCTGTGGAATAACAGCATGCAGGCACGACAGCATAACAGTATGAGACTGTGAGTGAGAAATAACCACAAAGGTTCATTTCTCACTCACAGTCCATGTCCACTGTGTGCTCTGGAGCCCAAGCTGATGGAGCAGCCTCTATCTGGAGCATTGATAGTCACACATACAAGCAAAACACAAGCTCTACATGTGGACTTACATACAAAATATGTAAAAAAGACATATCCCCAGATGTGTGGGGAGAATAGTGAAGGAAACATTAGAAGTAGAAGGAGAAAGAGATGTTACTGTATTGGACACATTGGGGTTTGGACTGAAAATGGCAAATCACAAATACACAAACATATCTATGTGCAAATATGCAAATATATATGACATTTCTAAATGTAATATACATATACAGTCATGTACCCCATGTCAATGTTTCAATTAACAATGGACCACATATGCAATGGTGGTCCCCTAAGATTATAATACTGGATTTTTGCTGTACTTTTTCTTTGTTTAGATATGTTTAGATACACAAATACTTAACATTGTGTTGCAGTTACCTACAGTATTCAGTGCAGTAATGTGCTGTCCACGTTTGTAACCTAGGAGCATAGGCCATACCATACAGCCTAGGTGTGTAGTAGGCCATCCCATCTAGGTTTGCGTAAGTCCACTCCGTGATGTTCGCATGACGAAATTGCCTAAGGACATATTTATCAGACTGTATCCTCCTCGTTAAGCCATGCATGACTGTACATGCTTATACACACAAATAGTGAAAAACAGGCAGGCTGTGGCCGGGTCCGGGGGCTCACGCCTGTAATCCCAGCACTTTGGGAGGCTGAGGTGGGTGGATCACCTGAGGTCAGGAGTTCAAGACCAGCCTGGCGAAACCCCATCTCTACTAAAAATACAAAAATGAGCCAGGTGTGGTGGTGAATGCCTATGATCCCAGCTACTTGGGAGGTTGAGGCAGGAGAATCGCTTGAACCCAGGAGGCAGAGGCTTCAGTGAGCCAAGATCACGCCATTGCACTCCAGTCTGGATGACAGAGCGAGACTCCATCTCAGAACAAACAAACAAACAAACAAACAAAAAAACCAGGCAGGTTATAGAGACTAAAACTGTTTCCACTGACATTCTGGTTTTTGTTTCTTACAGATAAACAATGTACAGTCTATCCAGTAAGCAGTTCTGGACTCATTTACTTTTACAGTTATATCATAGACTTGCTTTCTGGCACTGTAAGTATTTAACATAATCCTTTGTTTAGCTCCTCAATCTACTAAAAATTGATTGATTTAAAGATCAGTTTCCCAAATTTCTGCAGTGAGAGCTAAACACAAGTGTTGGTTGACACATGTACCAGTAAATGAAACAGGATTTGCAGTTACCTCATCAGAAAGAACAATGTTCACCATCGCCTGTTAGAATGTCAGGAAATATGCTTTATCACTTTCGGCCATTGGCCTTTTTCTAGTCCTTTCTTTTTATTTATTATTATTATTTTTTTGAGATGGAGTCTCGCTCCGTCGCCCAGGCTGGAGTGCAGTGGTGCAATCTTGGCTCACTGCAATCTCTGCTTCCTAGGTTCAAGTGATTCTCCTGCCTCAGCCTCTCGAGTAGCTGGAATTACACGTGTGTGCCACCACGCCCAGCTAATTTTTGTATTTTTAGTAGAGACGGAGTTTCACCATGTTGGCCAGGCTGGTCTGGAACTCCTGAACTCAGGTGGTCCACTCTCCTTGGCCTCCCAAAGTACTGGGGTTATAGGCGTGAGCCACCATACCGGCCTCTAGTCCTTCAATCTTTGTATTGATCTGCAACACAATACCGAGGTCCCCCACAGAAAGAAGCTTCAGTGAAAATGAACCCAGATAGAATGTTTACAATTTCTCTGACACCGATAAACCCCAACATTTTGGAGTCCCAGACTGGATGGATGAAAGACATAGCTCTTCTTTCCAGAAATTACACACAGGGACATGTGCGATGCACAACCTCACACTTTCAGATGATATGCACATATACCTGCATATCATGTACATGGGCGTATGAAGATTCTCTGAAATCCCTTATAAGTCAATCCAAGGTTAACATCCCCCACCACCACCCCAACTCTAAAATGGACTTAATCTCTTTGCTTTTATGGTAGTTGTAAAAGGTTTTTATTATCGCCTTCTAAAGAAATGATTTTGGCCAGGCGCAGTGGCTCACACCTGTAACCCCAACACTTTGAGAGGCCGAGGCAGGAGGATTGCTTGAGGCCAGGAGTTTGAAACCAGCCTGGGCAACATATCTCTACACAGAATAAACAGAATTAGCTGGGCGTGGTGGCGTGCACCTGTAGTCCCAGTTACTCTGGAGGCTGAGGTAGGGGAATCACATGAGCCCAGAAGGTTGAGGCTGCAGTGAGCCAAGACTGAACCACTGCACTTCAGCCTGGGCAACAGAGCAAGACCCCATCTTAAAAAACAGATTTTGTGGTTTTTCATTTTTTTATTTCACTTTTTTCATCAAATAAGATTGCAGCTATGAAAAGTGGCTATCTTTGCCCTTTAGACCAGGGTTTTTCAAACTTGGCACTATTGATATTCTTTTTTTTTATTTATTTTTTATTTTTTTAGAGATAGGATCATGCTCTGTTGCCCAGTTAGAGTGTAGTGGTGCAATTGTAGCTCACTGTAATCTCAAACTCCTGGGCTTAAACGATTTTCCCAAGTAGCTAGGACTACAGGCGTGCACTACACTTGGCTAAAAGCAATGAGATTTTGGCTCAGTGTGGTGGCTCACACCTGTAATCCCAGCACTTTGGGAGGCCGAGGTGGGTGGGTCACAAGGTCAGAAGATCGAGACCATCCTGGCTAACACGGTAAAACCCCATCTCTACTAAAAATACAAAAAATTAGCAGGGCGTGGTGGCGGGCGCCTGTAGTCCCAGCTACTCGGGAGGCTGAGGCAGGAGAATGATGTGAACCCGGGAGGCGGAGCTTGCAGTGAGCCGAGATTGCACCACTGCACTCCAGCCTGGGCAACAGAGTGAGACGCTGTCTCAGAAAAAAAGCAATGAGATTATAAGTACTGGGGGAACAGGCATGAGCCACCGTGCCCAGTGGATTAGATAACTCTGTGTTGTGTAGAGCTATCTGGTGCACAGTAGCATGCTGAGCTGTATCCCTGGTCTCTACCCACTAGATGCCAGCAGCACTGCCCTCTTCCAACTCTGACAACCAAAAATGTTTCCAGAGATTGCCAAATGTTTCCTAGTGGACAAAATTACCCCCAGATGAGAACCACTGCTCTAGGTGTTTAAGAAATACAAATAAGTATTTTTATTTTTTCAGAAATACTTTCTGAAAATTACTGGTATCAAAATACCATACCGGCCGGGTGCGGTGGCTCATGCCTGTAACCCCAGCACTTCAGAGAGGCCAAGGCGGGCAGATCACCTGAGGTCAGGAGTTCAAGACCAGCTTGGCCAACATGGTGAAACCCCATCTCTACTAAAAATGCAAAAATTATCCAGGCATGGTGGCGGGTGCCTGTAATCCCAGCTACTTAGGAGGCTGAGGCAGGAGAATTGCTTGAACCTGGGAGGCCGAAGCTGCAGTGAGCTGAGATCACGCAACTGCATTCCAGCCTGGGCAATGAGAGGGAGAGTTTGTCTCAAAACAAAACAAAACAAAACAAAAAACAAAAAAACAAATAAACAAATGCCATACCATTGAGCTTCTACTTTTCTGAATAAATTGGTAGAAAGCCTTGAATTTGTCCACTGCATTTGATTTTGAAAAAGCCCCCCACCCTTTTTTTTTTTTCTTTTTGAGACAAGATCTGGCTCTGTTGCTCAGAGAGTGCAGTGGCACAATCTTGGCTCATTGCAACCTCTGCCTCCTAGGCTTAAGCCATCCTTTCACCTCAAGCCTCCGAAGTAGCTGGGACTACAGGTGCATACCCCCATGCCCAGCTAATTTGTGTGTGTGTGTATGTGCGTGTGTTTGTTTTGTAGAGACAGAGTTTTGCCATGTTGCCTAGGCTGGTCTCGAGCTCCTGAGCTCAAGCAATCCACCTGTCTCGGCTTCCCAAAGTGCTGGGATTACAGGTGTGAGCCACTATGCCGCACCTGATTTTGAAAAAACCCTTTTACATCTCTGATCTCACGTTTTCCTAAAAACAACCCAGGGGAATTGTTGGGTGGGTGTTCAAATGTCTACTATGCAAAAAAAGTTAAAAAAAAATAGATGGCTTGGCACAGTGGCTCACGCCTGTAATCCCAGCACTTTGGGAGGCCGAGGCGGGTGGATCATGAGGTCAGGAGATCGAGAGCATCCTGGCTAACACAGTGAAACCCTGTCTCTACTAAAAATAGAAAAAAATTAGCCAGGCGTGGTGGCAGGCACCTGTAGTCCCAGCTACTTGGGAGGCTGAGGCAGGAGAATGGCGTGAACCTGGGAGGTGGAGCTTGCAGCGAGCCGAGATCATGCCACTGCACTCCAGCCTGGGCGACAGAGTGAGACTCCGTCTCAAAAAAAAAAAAAAGAAAGCAAAGTTAGGATCAAATCCCAGAGCTGCTGTTAACCCCATTTCTTTAGATTACATCCCACAAGAAAAGTTTCTGTTTGTGAAAAAAAAAAGTTTCTTCGCACACTGTAACCTTCTTCCTGATAGGAAAAATTTTATAGGAGAGTTAGCTGCGCTTAATTATAGATGTTCAATAAAGTAAGCATGATAACAGCCTGTCTGAAAGAGAACTTTCTGCAATGATCTGGAGAATGTGGACCTGTGCTGTATAACAATGGAACCACTAACTCTTTTTTGTTTGTTTTTTGAGACAGATTCTTGCTCTGTCACCCAGGCTGGAGTGCATTGGCATGATCTCGGCCCACTGCAACCTCTGCCCCCTGGGTTCAAGCGATTCTCCTGCCTCAGCCTCCCAAGTAGCTGGGGTTACAGGCGCCCACCACCACACCCAGCTAATTTTTGTATTTTTAGTAGAGACAGGGTTTCACCATGTTGGCCAGGCTGGTCTTGAACTCCTGACCTCAAGTGATCCACCCACCTCGGCCTCCCAAAGTGCTGGGATTACAGGCATGAGCCACCACACCTGACCTTTTTTTTTTTTTTTTTTTTTTTTTTAAAGACAGAGTCTCGCTCTGTCACCAGGCTGGAGTGCAGTGGTGCAATCTTGGCTCACTGCAACCTCTGCCTCCTGGTTTCAAGCAATTCTTGTGCCTCAGCCTCCCAAGTAGCTGGATTACAGGTGTGTATGATGACGCCCAGCTAAATTTTGTTTTTAGTAGAGACAGGGTTTCATCATGTTGGCCAGGCTGGTCTTGAACCCGTGACCTCAAGTGATCTGCCTGCCTCAGCCTCCGAAAGTGCTGGGATTACAGGTGTGAGCCACTGTGCCCGGCCCAGAACCACTAACTCTTGAGCACTTGAAATATGTCTAGTGTGGCTGGGAAACTGAATTTTCATTTAATGTTATTGTTAATAATATAAATGTAAATAGGCACAAGTGAAAGAGGGCCAGAGAGATCAAACAGGGGCTTGTTTTTCTTAAAAACAATTGAACCAAGCTCATTATCAAATCAGAAAATATTTTCCAGGCCCAGCCGACCTTTCCCCTGTAATTGTTACATTATTTTTAGGGAGAGGTTGGTGACAGCCCTGATATCAGCCCTTGGCAGTATAAACAGGTTTCTTCTGGTTGGACACGTTTTTATGGCCTTTGGGAGAGTTGAAAGGAGAATGGAGTCTTCTGCTTCTACTTTTTCTTTTCCAGTTAACACATGACTTAATTACCCAGATAATATAAGAATGCACGGTTGTCTTGTATAATTTTAAAATACAGATATGCACAATTGTATAACGTAAATATGCTCAGCTTCAATAAATTTGTTTTAAGAAGACACACACACACACACAAGAATGCACAGTTGTCATGAAAAATACAGAATTTATAGAGTAAAAAATGAAAATATCCCTCCCCAGAGGTCACTGAACATTTAACCCCATGGTTTACAGCCTACTTGACCGCTGACCTTTCTCTGTGCACTTACATGGTCTTGCTTGATATTTCATAATATGGATTTTTAGTGTTCTAGCCCAATCCCTGTATGGACATTCAGATTTCCTCTCATTTCCTTCCTTTATAAACAATGCTGTAGGGAACCTCTATGTATTATCTACCTACAATGTTTCTGCTATATCTGTTCTCTTCTTCACTCTCCTGGAGTTTTCCTGCCATCCAAGGAGGTGTTTGAGGTGTTCAATCATTCCCACCATAAGAAGTCAGTCAGCCGGGCACAGTGGCTCAAAACCTGTAATCCCAGCACTTTGGGAGGCTGAGGCTAGAGGATCATTTGAGCCCAGGAGTTGGAGACCAGCCTGGGCAACATGGCGAGACCATATCTCTACTTTTTTATTTAAAAAAAAAGAAGGAGAAGAAGTCAGAGAGTGTTCTGAGCCACCAGGCCTTACTGTTCTTCTTCTTCAAAGTTGTTTTGGCTCTTTTTCTGGGTGTGTTGCGATTCCATATGAATTTTAGGATCAGCTTGTCAGTTTTTCTATAAGGAAGCCAGCTAGGATTCTAACAAGGATGATGTTGAATCTGTAAATCAATTTGAGGAATTTGGCCATAGATCTTCTGATCCATAAACATGGGATGTTGTCCGTTTCTTTAGAGCTTCTTTAATTATTATTATTATTATTATTATTTTGAGACAGAGTCTCGCTCTGTTGCCCAGGCTGGAATGCAGTGGTGTGATCTCGGCTCACCACAACCTCTACCTCTCGGGTTCAAGTGATTCTCCTGCCTTAGCCTCCCGAGTAGATGGGACTACAGGCACATGCCACCATGCCCGGCTAATTTTTGTATTTTTAGTAGAGATAGGGTTTCACTGTGTTGGCCAGGCTGATCTTGAGCTCCTGACCTCATGATCCACCCGCCTCGGCCTCCCAAGGTTCTGGGATTACAGGCATGAGCCACTGTGCCCGGCCGAGATTTGCACTTTTTAAAAAAAAATTTTTAATTGTTTTATTTTATTTTATTTATTTATTTATTTATTTTGAGACAGAGTCTTGCTCTGTCACCCAGGCTGGAGTGCAGTGGCACAATCTCGGCTCACTGCAAGATCCGCCTCCCGGGTTCACACCATTCTCCTGCTTCAGCCTCCCGAGTAGCTGGGACTACAGGCGCCCGCCACCACACCCGGCTAATTTTTTGTATTTTTAGTAGAGACGGGGTTTCACTGTGTTAGCCAGGATGGTTTTGATCTCCTGACCTTGTGATCTATCCGCCTCGGCCTCCCAAAGTGCTGGGATTACAGGCATGAGCCACCGTGCCCGGCACGAGATTTGCACTTCCTTAGTTAAATTTAGTCCTAATGTTTTATTCTTTTCGATGCTATGGCACATGGAATTTTATTCTTAATTTCAGTTTTGGCTTGTTATATTTGCTTTTTTTCTTTCAGAGACAGGGTCTTGCTCTGTTACCCAGTCTAGAGTGCAGTAGCACAAACACGGCTTATTCCAGCCTCCTGAGCAGCTGGGACCATAGACATGCACCTCTATGCCTAGCTAATTTTTTTAAAAAAAATTTGTAGAGATAGGGATCTCTCTGTGTTGCCCAGGCTTGTCTGAAACTCCTGGGCTCAAGTAATCCTCCTGCCTCGGCCTTCCAAGGTGCTGGGATTACAGGTGTGAGCCACCACGCCTGGCCATCTGTGCATTTTTTTTTTTTTTTGAGATGGAGTCTCATTCTGTTGCCCAGGCTGGAGTTCAGTGTTATGATCTCAGCTCACAGCAACCTCTGCCTCCCGGGTTCAAGTGATTCTCCTGCCTCAGCCTCCCGAGTTCAAGTGATTCTCCTGCCTCAGCCTCCCGAGTAGCTGGGGTTACAGGCGCGCAACACCAGGCCCAGCTAATTTTTTTGTATTTTTAGTGAAGACGGGGGTTTTGCCATGTTGGCCAGGCTGGTCTTGAACTCAAGACCTCAGGAGATCTGCCCGCTTTGGCCTCCCAAAGGGCTGGGATTACAGGCGTGAGCCACCTTGCCCGGCCCACCTGTGCATTTTTAATGCCAGGGTTTTATCAGTGCTTTATTTACCAAACACTGAATACTCCCTGTGCCTCTGGGGCTGTTCCAGTCTCTGGGGATACAGAGAGGAAAGGGGACACTGGAACTTGTGTTCCTTGAGGCAGGGACTACTCTTCTGGTTCCCTGCAGTAAGCTGACCAGTCTGACTTCATGCTCTTGGCTTCGTTTCAGGGTTTCCTGGAGGAAACTAGCCTCTTTTACGGACATTACACCATTGATGGGGTGAAATTTCAGAACTTCACCTATGATCTGCCCCTGGCGTATTTGTTAAGCACAATCGCCTCCCTGGCCCTGAGCCTTCTTTGGATAGTGAAAAGGTAAAGTCTGCCTTTGCATTCTCTCTGAATTACCCCTGATGGCTGGAGGCTATTGGAGATATGGGAGCTCTGGAAGCCATTGCCTAAAGGATGAGTGGAGTCCAATGATGGGTTTTGTGGGGAAGGGTTTGTGAGTCCATTGGCAGCTGAAGAGACCTGGGAGAAATACAAGTCAGGATTTGGGATGGAGTAGCAGACTGAGGTTCTTCTTTTTTTTTTTTTTTTTCCAGACAGAGTCTTTCTCTGTCACACAGACTGGAGTGCGGTGGCGGGATCTCGGCTCACTGCAACCTCTGCCCCTCAGGTTCAAGTGATTCTTGTGCCTCAGCCTCCTGGGTAGCTAGGACTACAGGAACGTGCCACCATGCCTAGCTAATTTTTGTATTTTTAGTAGAGTTTCACCATGTTGGCCAGGCTGGTCTTGAACTCCTGACCTCAGGTGATCTGCCTACCCTGGCCTCCCAAAGTTCTGGGATTACAGGTGTGAGCCACCGCACCTAGCCTGGGGTTCTCCACTCAATCATTACTGAACACATCTGGCAATCCCACCCCACTGCACACATACCCCTTCCTTTGCTTAGGTGTGTATATTAACTAGGTCTCTACTGGGTTGTAAGTAGCAGAAACCTAGCTCTGAGGGTTATTGAGTGGCTCACAGATCCAAGGAAGGGAGGAAACTCAAATTACAGGAAGGACAAAGATGGAGCCATGGCTTAGGAACGATATCAAAAGTAAGAATCCCTCGTCTTCAATTCTTAGGTGTAGTGGTGCCTTTCTTAAATGGTGGGAAATAGGGCATCTTATAGTTTGCATCAGCCTTGACCTCCTGGGTCACAGGTGCAGAAATCCTTAGAAAAGACTTGTTGTATCTGCTTCATTCAGGTTCCCAGCCGTGACCCTTCCACCGTTGCCATGGGGAGCAGTGTGTCTGCGATGAGCCCCTGGTGGTTCAAGTGCCCAGCACTGTGCGAGCACTTCAGCTGTGGCCAGGGGCTGGGGTCCTATGACAACATGACTTTTCCTGTGGGAGACAAGTGGTTTAGGGAGAGAGAGCAATTCCCAAGAAAAGAGAAGAGTATTAATTCCCTTAACAAACAACAGGTACAAAAGGCACAAAGACCCAAACACAATAGAAATTTTATTTCTTCTTTATTAGCTGGGCGTGGTGGCACACACCTGTAGTCCCAGCTGCTTGGGAGGAGGAGACAGGAGAATCACTTGAACCTGGGAGGCGGAGGTTGCAGTGAGCCAAGATCGTACCACTGCACTCCAGCCTGGGCGACAGAGCGAGACTCTGTCTCAAAAACAAACAAACAAACAAAACAAAAACAAAACCTGTATTTCTCTTTTACATGACAGTCCTGGGTGGGGGCACAGGTTAGTGTGGTAGAATTCATCTTATAGTATTCTAGGACTAAAGTTGACCAAAGTTCAGCCATCTTCAGCATGTGGCTTCGAAGGTCCTGCCAAGGGATGGGAAAGGAAAACTCACGGAGGAGAACCATGCGGATGGTATTTATAGGCCAGACCTGGAAGTGGTGTACATCACTCACATCCCATTGGCTACAGCTCAGTCACATGACTATAGCCAACTGCAAGGGAGGCCAGGAAACATTGCTTCTGGCTGGGCAGCTATTTACCCAGCAGTGACACTGTATTATAGAAGATGGACCACAAATTTTTGATGGACAGCTTGCCATCTCTGCGCCAGGGGGGTTGCTTGGCAGACAGTATCATGGATGGGCCTCTTTCTTGCCCACTTGATTGTCCCTGTGAGAGCATGCACAGTGTTGTAAGCCATGGAGCTGTGAAGCTCCTTATCACAGGTGCAGAAGAGACCAGGGTGCTGTGGATTGATCTGGCCCTCCATAAGGACCAGGATTCACCATTGCAAAGAAAACCCCAATGCCCAGCTGGGCACTTGTATCCTGAGTTAGAATCTGTGAGATGAACGTGAACTAGTGAGCGTCCATCCCCCACCCAAGTGTACTATGTACAAATGAGAAGCAGCCTCAGGCTGCTTTTGAGGGGCAAAGAGATGCTTGGTAAAGAAATATTGGTTGATTGGGGTTCCGTGATTGTGCCAGGGGAGATCCAAGTTTTATGGACCTACAGGGTAGACAATTTGGAAGTGCCATCTTTAAGACAAAGAGTATGAAAATATGTTTTGTAAATGATAAAAAAAAAAAAAAAGACCATAGGGACACATTGCTAGAGTCTTCCAAAGCCTTGGAGGGGGCCCTGAAGAATGAAGAAGGTTTTTTGTTTTTGTTTTTCAAGACGAGTCTTGCTCTGTCACCTAGGCTGGAGGGCAGTGGCATGATCTTGGTTCACTGCAACCTCTGCCTTCCGGGTTCAAGCAATTCTTCTGCCTCAGCCTCCCAAGTAGCTGAGATTACAGGTGCACGCCACCACGACTGGCTTAATTTTTGTATTTTTAGTAGAGATGGGGTTTCACGACGTTGGCCAGGCTGGTCTCGAACTTCTGACCTTGTGATCCACCCACCTCGGCCTCCCACAGTGCTGGGATTACAGGCGTGAGCCACCGCACCCAGCCGAATGAATAAGGTTTGTTAGTTGCACAGCGAATCTACCTGTGAATCTCGTTCAAGCTCAAGGGCTTGATTGCTTTCTGGGGAAGGTCATGGAGGGAGGGCTGGGTGTGATGTAATGGGAGAAAGGCCTGCTGTGGCCCAGAAAGTGGATGTGCCACAGAGTGACAAAGAGTATGGACTTTGTAGGCCAGAGACCATCGCTGGAATGCCAGTTCACCTCTTTGAGCCTCATTTTCTTCATCTGTGAAATGTGCATCCTGGAAGGGTTGCTGGGAGGATTAACATAAACTAGGCAGGTGAATGAAATCTTAGCACTCTGCCTGGCACCTTATAGACATTTATGAAGTTAAAATTATCATCATCATCATCCTTATCATCAAAGTAGCACCAGTTCTGCCACCTAACTCTCTGGATATAGGGAAATAATTTTCCTTCCTCTGGATCTTAGTTTTCTCATCTGTAAAATGTAGTTCTGGGTCAGGCCCGGTGGCTCACACCTGTAATCCTAGCACTTTCTGAGTACAAGGTGGGTGGATCACTTGAGCCCAGGAGTTCAAGACCAGCTCTGGGCAACATGGCAAAACCCTATTTCTACAAAAAATACAAATAATTAGCTAGGTGTGGTAGCGTGTGCTTATAGTTTGAGCTATGCGGGAGGCTGAGGTGGGAGGATCACCTGAACTTGGTGAGGCTGAGGCTGCAGTGAGCCATGATCACACTGCTGCACTCCACCCTGGGTGACAGAGTGAGACCCCATCTCAAAAAGTAAAAAATAAAATAAAATGTAGGTCTGGTCTGAATCAGAGGCTTGCAACTGAGATGGGTCAGCATGAGCTTTATAACATGGCATATTTCTGGAGCCCACATGAGACCTATCGAATTGAAAATCTCAGGTAAGAAACCATTTGGGAACCTGGATTTGGGGAAAGCACTCCATGTTGTTCTGACATAAATTATTTGCTGTAATCCTTTGGCAGAATGACTGATCATAACAATTCCTTCCATTTCTATTGTCTTCATGCCTCACTGGCAAATCCTAAAAATAACCTCTTTCATCTACAGAGGACTGTGCATGGCATCTGGTGTTTTATACCAAGTGCCAGGTGTATTTTTTCCATGAAAGCATTTGAATGAATAAAAATATGCAACAGAATTGTATCTGACCTAAACAGGTGCTCACTAAATAGTTAATTTAAGTCATTTATTCATTGCTTTATCCATCAGTTGCATGTTAACCAAAGTATATAGTCCATATAAAGGTGGCAAGATAGCCAGGGTACCTGCTCTCAAGGAATTTAAAATTTAGTTAGAGTAAGGAGTTACAAGCAGTAAACAGATGAATAAGATAATTGCAAGTTAGTGTCATTCCTGTGAATTAAATAAAAGGGATTGGGCTAGGTGCGGTGGCTCATGCCTGTAATCCCAGCGCTTTGAGAGGCCGAGGCGGATGGATGATGAGGTCAGGAGATCGAGACCAGCCTGGCCAACCTGGTGAAATCCTGTCTCTACTAAAAATACAGAAAATTAGCTGGGCGTGGTGGCAGGCGCCTGTAATCCCAGCTACTCGGAAGGCTCAGGCAGGAGAATCGCTTGAACCCGGAAGGTGGAGGTTGCAGTGAGCCGAGACTGCACCACTGCACTCCAGCCTGGGCAACAGAGTGAGACTCCATCTCAAAAATAAATAAATAAGTAAATAAATAAATAAATAAATAAAAGGGACTGACTTGAAGTGGGGGTTATAGCCTTAGATGGGGAGGTGAGGGATTATAAAGGGGTTATTTGAGCCAAAACCTGAAGGATGGGAAGGAGATCAGCCATAGGGAGGGTCAGAGGAGCACCATCCTTGGGGATGGTAGTGGGAATTCCCAAGGGTAGAGTCCCAGAGGCAGGAACAGGAATTTGTGTGTTTATAGAAAGGAGAGAAAGCAAGTATAGTTACATGGGAGGAGAGACGACAGCAGAGCTGGATCATATAGGATATCTAGGCTGTATTAAGGAGTTTGGATTTTAAAAGAAAATGAATCGTTCTACCAAAAAGACATATGCACTCGTATATTCATCACAGTGCTATTCACAATAGCAAAGAAACGGAATCAACCTAGGTGCCCATCAATGGAGGACTGGATAAAGAAAATGTGGTACACATACACCATGGAATACTACACAGCCATAAAAAAGAATGAAATCATGTCCTTTGCAGCAGCATGGTTGCAGCTAGAGGCCATTATCCAAAGCAAATTAATGCAGGAACAGAAAACCAAACACCGCATGTTCTCACTTATTAGTGGGAGTTAAACATTGGGTACTCATGGACATAAAGATGGCAACAAAAGAAACTGAGGAATCCTAGAGTGGAGAGGGAGAGAGGGAGGCAAGGATTGAAGAACTATTGGATACTGTGCTCAGTACCTGGATGATGGAATCATTTCTATCCCAAATCTCAGCATCATGCAATATTACCAAGGTTACAAACCTGCACATGTACTCCTGAATCTAAAATAAAAGTTGGGGAAGAAAATTTGGATTTTATTCTAGCTGTAATTGAAGCGATTAGATGGGTAAAAGGAAAGGATCAACAATGAGATACCTTGTTAGCTGCCACATATATTTAGAATGGCCCCAAACTTGACCATGTCACAATGGGCTGAAAATGCAGCTATGTCTAACTTTTTAAGTTTCAGACACAGCCAATTCAGGGGACTCTCTTTTGCTGTTGTTTCTATAAGAAGGATGATTGTGTTTTGGGGTCAGGTCGGTGGAAGGATTCAAAATCAACCTGATTCGGAGTGAGGAGCACTTTCAGAGTTACTGCAACAAGATATTTGCCGGCTGGGACTTCTGCATCACTAACCGCAGCATGGCGGATCTGAAGCACAGCAGCTTGCGGTACGAGCTCCGAGTGAGTGCTCCTGAGTTTGTCCGTGGTGGGGTCCTCACCAGCAAGGTCCTGCCTTTGGAGCCTGAGTTTTCAGCTTGCAGAGGATCAAGGGTCGGGGACAGGTTGTCCCTGGTACTTAGCAAGTTACCCCTCTGTAGCTTTCAAGAACGTTTCACAGCGAACACGTTACTGGGGTTGATTACCCTAGACCTGAACAGGAGCACTGGTGAACTGGGACTGGGAAGTGGGGTGGGGATGCAGTGGCTGGAAGAAGGTGATGTCTTTCCCCACACCCTGCTACTTTACACTGTTATTTTTCCACCTGAGGAGGACCTGTCATAAACACTACTTATACCAGGAGAAATGGGAGTGAGGAGGGAATGTTATGACAATAGTGTGAGATGGAGAGTATATGAAAAAGTACAGACCGGGCGTGGTGGCTTATGCCTGTAATCCCAGCACTTTGGGAGGCTGAGGCAGGCATATCACAAGGTCAGGAGATCGAGACCATCCTGGCTAACACGGTGAAACCCCATCTCTACTAAAAATACAAAAAATTAGCCAGGCATGGTGGCACATGCCTGTAGTCCCAGCTACTTGGGAGTCTGAGGCAAGAGAATCGCTTGAACCGGGAGGCAGAGGTTGCAGTGAGCCGAGGTTGCACCACTGCATTCCAGCCTGGGTGACAGAGCGAGACTCCGTCTCAAAAAAGAAAAAAAAAGTACAAGAGAGTTTCCAACCATCTCTACTAAAAATACAAAAAATTACTTGGGCATGGTGGCACATGCCTGTAGTCCCAGCTACTTGGGAGTCTGAGGCAAGAGAATCAATTGAACCAGGAGGCAGAGGTTGCAGTGAGCCTAGATTGTGCCACTGCATTCCAGCCTGGGTGACAGAGCTAGACTCCATCTCAAAAAAAAAAAGTACATGAGAGTTTCCAAATGAATAAGGAGAGAAAGGAGTAAAGAATAGCATGTTAATAAAAATAAACCCATCAAAGAAAAGGAGGAGGGGACAAATAAATCAAAAGCATAATAAAATGGAAGGAATCAAATCAAATCTATTCTTTCTTACACTAAATACGAACTGATTAAATTATCCTAATAAAAGCAGAGACTACTACATTGTGTAAAAGAAAAAATAACAACACCTCACCTGTATTGTGTTTGAAGAAATGACACATACTATATTTAAGTAATATGAATAGTTTATAGTTCTGTTTTCACATTTATTGCAAAGCCCAATTGCAGTCTTAAATAGGAGGTTCTGTCTTTACTTAGGTCTTTAGTAGACATAAAAAATAGTTGGGCTAGGCCAGGCGCAGTGGTTCATGCCTGTAATCCAGCACTTTGGGAGGCCGAGGCAGGTCAGGGTCAGGAGATTGAGACCATCCTGGCCAATATGGTGAAACCCCGTCTCTACTAAAATTACAAAAATTAGCTGGGCATGGTGGTGCATGCCTGTAATCCTAGCTTCTCGGGAGGCTGAGGCAGGAGAATGACTGGAACCAGGGAGTCAGAGGTTGCAGTGAGCCGAGATTGGACCACTGCACTCCAGCCTGGCAACAGAGCGAGACTCTGTCTCAAAAAAAAAAAAAAAAAGAAAGAAAAAAAGTAGTTGGGCTAAGTCTAGGATGGTTTCTTGGGGGAGATGAATATTTAAAAGATGTCTTTTTTTTTTTTTTCTGAGATAGCATTTTACTCTGTCACCCAGGCTGGAGTACAGTGACGTGATCATACATCACTGCAGACTCGAACTCCCGGGCTCAAGCAATCTTCCACATCAGCCTCCCGAGTAGCAGCGACTACAGGCACTCATCACCACACCCAGCTAATTCTTCTGGGTTTTCTTGTAGAGATGGGGTCTCACTATGTTGCCAGGGTTGGTCTTGAACTCCTGGGCTCAAGTGATCCTCCTACCTTGGCCTGCCACGGTGCTAGGGTTACAGGAGTGAGCCACCATGCCTGGCTAGAACTCTTAAAGATGGATGGGGAGAGAATGATGAATCAATTTCTATCCCTGAGTATCCCTTCATCCCACTGCTCACAAGTGAATTTTCTTTTATCTTCAGGCAGATCTGGAGGAAGAAAGAATGCGGCAGAAAATAGCAGAAAGGACCTCAGAAGAAACAATACGCATTTACTCTTTGAGACTGTTTTTGAACTGTATTGTTCTGGCTGTTTTAGGGGCATGCTTTTATGCAATATACGTAGCAACTGTCTTCTCGCAAGAGCACATGAAAAAGGTAAATTAACTTGTACTCTGGCTGGACATTATGCCTAGTGCACTGAAAATCTGTGAGGTAGATACCATCGTCATTTCTGTTTTACATATGGAGATACAAGTTTGGCTGATATGATCAAGACCTGAAAATCAGAGGTGATCAGTTTCCACTTTTTTATTTTTTTTTGAGATGGAGTTTTGCTCTTCTTGCCCAGACTGGAGTGCAATGGCATTGTCTTGGCTCACTGCAGCCTCTGCCTCCCAGGTTCAAATGATTCTCCTGCCTCAGCCTCCCGAGTAGCTGGGATTACAGGCATGTGCCACCACGCCTGGCTAATTTTGTGTTTTTAGTAGAGACTGGGTTTCTCCATGTTGATCAGGCTGGTTTTGAACTTCTGACCTCAGGTGATCTGCCCGCCTCCACCTCCCAAAGTGCTGGGATTACAGGTGTGAGCCATTGTGCCCTGCCCAGTTTTCACTTTTAAGAGAACTTTTTTGTTTTTGTTGTTGAGACAGAGTCTCACTCTGTCGCTCAGGCTGAAGTGTGGTGGTGTGATCTCAGTTCACTGTAACCTCCACCTCCCAGGTTCAAGTGATTCTCATGCCTCAGCCTCCCTAGTAGCTGGCATTACAGGGATGTGCCACCACACCCAGCTAATTTTTGTATTTTTAGCAGAGACGGGGGTTTCACCATGTTGGCCAGGCTGGTCTCGAACTCCTGACCTCAAGAGATCCACCCACCTTGGCCTCCCAAAGTGCTGGGATTGCAGGTGTTAGCCACCGCACCTGGCCTTAGAGAAAATTTTAAAAGCATCTAAAGTGTAGTGTTTGAGATCCTTACTGCTCCTGGAATTTGCAATATTCAAAACTAGGCTGGACTAGGGTTTTATCCCTGACTGTTATTTTTGAACTAAGGCCTTGGTTTACCTAAAATAGCAGTGGTTTTAAAATTCCAAGTTTGTCTAGTGGCTCTGTTTTATGCAATCAATCATCAGGGGTCCAGGTTCCGTTCATCTTGTGGCTCTGCCCTCCCTAGGATATGGTTTTCTTTTCTTCTTTCTTTTTTCTTTTTTTTTTTTTTTTGAGACAGAGTCTCACTCTGTCACCCAGGCTGGAGTGCAGTGGCACGATCCCGGCTCACTGCAACCTCCACCTCCCGGGTTCAAGTCATTCTCCTGTCTCAGCCTCCCGAGTAGCTGGGATTACAGGCACCCGCCAACACACCTGGCTAATTTTTGTATTTTTGGTAGAGACAGGGTTTCACCAGTTTGGCCAGGCTGGTCTTGAACTTCTGACCTCAAGTGATCCACCTGTCTCAGCATCCCAAAGTGCTGGGATTACAGGCATGAGCCACCACACCTGGCTGGGTATGGTCTTCTGTATGGTACAAGATAGCTCACCACCATGGCCACATTCTAGCCAAGGGGAAGGAGATGAAGGGGCTAAGGAGGGCACATTTCTTCCTTTAAAGGGCATAACCTGTGGGTTACACTAAAAACTTCCACTTATATCCCCTTGGCCAGAATTTAGTCACATGGTAGTACCTAGCTACAAGGGAGGCTAGGAAATTTACTTTTTATTGCGGATGGCTATATATTGTCCAGGTAGTCTGTTACTGTGAAAGCAGGGAATTGCTATTTCAATTTCAAATCAAATCAATTCTACACCCTTGAAGATACTTTAAATTGCCCGTTTATACAGAATACATGGGTCTTCTTATACATCCCTTTAATAAATCCAGTAGATCCTGGTTTTCTTCCTGCACAGTACTAGATACCTCTTTTTGAATATCTGAAGAAGGAGATGGCGGCCGGGCGAGGTGGCTCATGCCTGTAATCCTAGCACTTTGGGAAGCCAAAGCGGGTGGATCACCTGAGGTCAGGAGTTTGAGACCAGCCTGACCAACATGGTGACACCCTGTCTTTACTAAAAATACAAAAATTAGCCTGGCATGGTGGGGGGTGCCTGTAGTCCCAGCTACTCGGGAGGCTGAGGCAGGAGAATCGCATGAACCTGGGAGACGGAGGTTGCAGTGAGCCGAGATTATGTCCCTGCACTCCAGCCTGGGTGACAGAAGGAGACTCCATCTCAAAAAAAAAAAAAAAAAAAAAAAGGAACGAGATGACTTATGCTTACAGGCCATGTTGAATGACAAATACGTTTTGTTTGCCCAACACACATAGTTGAGTTCTTTTTTGTTCTATCTATTTGTGGTGTAACTTCCTCATATACTCCTGACTAATAAGTTTTGTTATCCTCCTAGGAAATCGACAAGATGGTTTTTGGAGAGAACCTCTTCATATTGTATCTACCGTCTATTGTGATCACGCTGGCCAATTTTATCACCCCAATGATCTTTGCCAAGATCATCCGCTATGAGGATTATTCTCCAGGCTTTGAGATCCGTCTGACAATCCTTAGGTAATGCCTAACATGAAGATGGCAGGCATGTCAAGCCAGTCACTACCTGCCCACTCTCTTGCCCATGGCAGACATCGCTAATCAATTGTAGTGCATTTTCCTGCTGAGCCAAGAGTCCTCCTCAACCTTCAGACAGCCCCCATGAATGAATCAGAATTTGTATATATGGTGAAATGTCTTTGATTTGAAAGTCTACTCCTTGGTATTATATTTTTGCTTCATATAATAGCACAGGGCACAGGCTGGGACCCTGAGAGGAGGGGTTGCTCTAAAGCTGTCAGAAATGACAGCTATAAGGCAGAGTCCAGGGAGTTAACACAAATGAGTGGAGAGGACCAGGTGGGACTGTGCAGGACTTGAGAGTTTTCTTTCTGTTTCTCAAATGCCTTAGATTGCATTTGCATCTTATTTCAAACATTTTTTATTTTGAAAATTTTCTTTGATTCTTTTTTTTTTTTTTTTGAGATGGGGTCTTACTCTGTCCCCCAGGCTGGAGTGCAGTGATGTGATCATAATTCACTGCAGTCTCAAATCCCTGATCTCAAACAATCCTCCCACCTCAGCCTCCCACATAGCTGGGACTACAGACATGCACCACCATGCCCAGCTAATTAAAAAAATTTTTTTTTTTGTAGAGACAGGGTTTTGTTATGTTTCCCAGGCTGGTCTTGAATTCCTGGGCTTCAGTGACCCTCCCACCTCCAGCTCCCAAATCCTGGGATTACAGGCAAGAGCCACCATGCCCGGTCTCAAAGTTTTCAAACAGAATGCATAGTGTAATGATCCCCATATGCCTTTCACTTACATTTCAGTCATTCCCAGCATTTTGCTAATCTCGTTTCCATCCATTCCCTCCTAATTTGCTAGATTATTTTAAGCAAATCTCAGGCAACATGCCATTTCATCTGTAAACACTTCATTATACCTTTTTTTTTTTGAGACGGAGACTTGCTCCGTTGCTCAGGCTGGAGTGCAGTGGCGTGATCTTGGCTCACTGCAACCTCCACCTCCCGGGTTCAAGCGATTCTCCTGCCTCAGCCTCTCAAATAGCTGGGACTACAGGCACGGGCCACCATGCCTGGCTAATTTTTTAAAATATATTTTTAGTAGAGATGGGGTTTCACCATGTTGGCCAGGCTGGTCTCGAACTCCTGACCTCAGATGATCCACCCACCTTAGCCTCCCAAAGTGCTGGGATTACAGGCGTGAGCCACCGTGCCCAGCCAACTTCATTATATCTCTAAGTGATGGGAGCTTTAAATATATAACCATCATCACACCTAATAAAATTGAGGCGGTCTCCCCAGTGGGGTTGCAGATGGTTTTCCATGTTTGATTTGTTCAAAGCTGAATCCAAACAAGGCCCACATGCTGTTTGGTAGTCATGTGTCCTAAATCTCTTTTATTATTTTCAGAGTTTCCCCTCCCCTTTTGTTAGGCCTTTGATTTGTGGAAGAAACTGGATCATTTTCCTGTAGAATAGCTCCTATTCTGGATTTCGTCCATTGTTTCTTCCTGGTGTGTTTAATTTGTTTTTCTATGCCCATAGTTGCTATAAATGACTGTGGAGATTCAGAGTTTTTGGTAGATTCTGTGTCAGTTTTTAGTTAAGGAAACCTCATCAGGGGTGCCGTGTCCTTCCTGTTGTATCCCAGCAGAGGCACAGAAGGTGGTGTTAGTAATGAGAACAGTGAGCAGAGGGCGTGGGTTCGCTCTTTCCCCCATTCTTTTCTTTCCATTTTATTTATTTATTTTTTTTGAGACTGGGTCCAGGCTGGAGTGCAGTGGCATGATCGTAGGTCACTGCAGCCTTGACCACCTGGGCCCAAGTGACCCTCCTGCCTCAGTCTCTCGAGTAGCTGGGACTACAGGTGCACACCACCATGCCAAGCCAATTTTTAAATTTTTTGTAGAGACAGGATCTCCTCACGTTGCCCAGGCTGTTCTCAAACTCCTGGGCTCAAGCAATTCTCCCACCTCAGCCTCCCAAAGTGTTGGGATTACAGGCTTATGAGCCACCATGCCCAGTCTCCCTTATTCTTTAAATTATTCCTTCTTTTTTTTTTTTTTCTTTTTTTTGAGACGGAGTCTCACTTTGTCGCCCAGGCTGGAATGCAGTGGCTCGATCTTGGCTCACTGCAAGCTCCGCCTCCCGGGTTCACGCCATTCTTCTGCCTCAGCCTCCCGAGTAGTTGGGACTACAGATGCCCGGCACCACGCCCGGCTAATTTTTTGTATTTTTTAGTAGAGATGGGCTTTCACCATGTTAGCCAAATGTTTCTATTTAATTTATTTTTTTATTTTTATTTTTATTTTTCGAGACGGAGTCTCGCTCTGTCACCCAGGCTAGAGTGCAGTGGCGCGATCTCGGCTCACTGCAAGCTCCGCCTCCCGGGTTCACGCCATTCTCCTGCCTCAGCCTCCCAAGTAGCCGGGACTACAGGCCCCCGCCACCATGCCCGGCTAATTTTTTGTACTTTTAGTAGAGATGGGGTTTTACTGTGTTAGCCAGGATGGTCTCGATCTCCTGACCTCGTGATCCGCCCACCTCGGCCTCCCAAAGTGCTGGGATTACAGGCGTGAGCCACCGTGCCCGGCTACTTAATTTATTTTTGTATTACAAACCAAACAATGGAAAATTGTCTTAAAAAAAAAAACAAGAACAAAAACTCACCGTCTCCGCCCACCTCCCTTGAATCCAGTGTGTTTTTGTCTGCACAGTTCCTTATGTTTGTGCCAACACTCACGTTTTTTCTTCCAAAAATAGGATCATATTTATGTGATATCTCTGCAGCATACTTTTTTTCACTTTTCAGCATGCCAGACATCCCGCGACCCTGATACAGAAAAGATTCCATTGGTTCTTTTCAGGACTGTGTCATGTCTTGTAGTGTCACTATGTCATCACAGAATTAGGAGGTCCCAGCTTTCTGATCTTTTAAAAAAATTGTAGTAACATATATGTAACATAGAAGTTGCCATTTTAACCATTGTCAGAGTACAATTTGGTGGCATTTAAGTACAGCCCCAATGTTATGCAGTCATCACCAGCATCCATCTCCAGAACCTTTTCAACAGCCCCAACAGAAATTCTGTACCCATTTAGGCATTTGCTTATTATTTATTTATTTATTTATTTCTGAGATGGAGTTTCGCTCTTGTTGTCTAGGCTGGAGTGCAATGGCGTGATCTTATCTCACCGCAACCTTCGCCTCCCAGGTTCAAGAGATTCTCCCACCTCAGCCTCCTGAGTAGCTGAGATTGCAGGGATGTGTGCCACCATGCCCAGCTAATTTTGTATTTGTAGTGGAGACGGGGTTTCTCCATGTTGGTCAGGCTGGTTTCGAACTTCTGACCTCAGATGATCTGCCTGCCTCTACCTCCCAAAGTGCTGGGATTACAGGCGTGAGCCACCGCGCCCGGCCTGCTTTTGTTTTCTTTGAGATGGAGTCTTGCTCTGTCGCCCAGGCTGGAGTGTAGTGGTGTGATCTCGGCTCACTGCAACCTCTGTGCCCCAGATTCAAGCGATTCTCCTGCCACAGCCTCTGAACTAGCTGGGACTACAGGCGTGTGCCACCACACCCAGCTAATTTTTGTATTTTTGGTAGAGACAGTTTCACCATGTTGACTAGGCCAGTCTTGAATTCCTGACCTCAGGTGATCCCTCTGCCTCGGCCTCCCAAAATGCTGGGATTACAGGCATGAGCCACCACGCCCGACATTGGTTTTTTTGTTTGTTTGTTTGTTTTTTCTCACTCTGTCCCTGAGGCTAGAGTACAGTGGCTGAATCTCCGCTCACTGCAGCCTTGATCTCCTGGGCTCAAACAATCCTCTGGGCTCAAGCAATCCTCTTGACTCAGCCTCCTGTGTAGCTGGGTCACCACCACACCTTGCTCATTTTTATTTTTATTTTTTTGTAGAGACGGCCAGGGGGTGGTGGTCTTACTTTACTGCCCAGGTTGTTCTCAAACTTAAGGGCTCACGTGATCCTCTGGTCTCTACCTCCCAAAGTGCTGGGATTACAGGCGTGAGCCACTATGCCTGGCTGGGGTTTTAAGAAAGGCAGCTTTGGGCTGGGCACCGTGGCTCACACCTATAATCCCAGCACTTTGGGAGCCCAAGACAGGCGGATTGCTTGGGGCCAGGAGTTCGAGACCACCTGGGCAATATGGTGAAACCTCAGATCTACTAAAAATAGAAAAAAAATTAGCTGGGTATGGTGGCAGACACCTGTAATCCCCGCTACTTGGGAGGCTGAGGCAGGAGAACTGAGATCACACCACTGCTCTCCAGCCTGGGCAACAGAGCAAACACTCCATCTCAAAAAAAAAAAAAAAAAAAAAAAAAGGCAGCTTCTACATTCCCTAGCCCCAGTTCCAAGGGACCAGCCACCCTGAGGGCCTCATCTTCCCATCCTCTCTCCTTCTCTCCCCGAAGGTGTGTCTTTATGCGGCTGGCCACCATATGTGTCCTGGTGTTCACGCTGGGCTCCAAGATCACATCCTGTGATGATGACACATGTGACCTTTGCGGCTACAACCAGAAACTCTACCCGGTGAGTTGCGGGGCGGGGGCGTTCGGCTGGGTGGGTCCTTCTGGAATACAGTGTCATGGTCAAGAGAACAGCGGTTGAAGCCATGGGTTTGAACTGCATTTGCTTCGCTTTCTTGTTCTAGTGATGAGACAGAGTCTGGCCCCATGGAGTCTAACCCCAGGCACTTCTGAGGGCTTGGAAACCAAGGTCTGTGCTGAGGCTCAGAGTTTGCATCAGCTGATGCCCTCACTGGAGCCACAGGATCTGGAGTTGGAAAGGGAATTAGAAGGTGTCTTGGGAGCCTGGTTTTCTCTGCCTCAGCTAGGGTCTTTCAGTTTCCCTCACTCTCTTTGATTTCAGTGCTGGGAGACCCAAGTTGGGCAGGAAATGTACAAGCTGATGATCTTCGACTTCATCATCATCTTGGCTGTGACACTCTTCGTGGATTTTCCTAGAAAGTAAGTGCGAGGGGTGCCCATATTATCCCCCCCACCACACACATGCACACACACACATACACACACACACAACTGGAGGGTCCCATTGCAGCTGCATTCCAGAAGCTGCTGGATGACTCTACAGCCCTGGAAATCTGACAACTGGTAACTTTCTTTTTTTTTTTTTTTTTTTTTTTGAGGCAGGGTCTTGCTCTGTCACCCAGGCTGGAGTGCAGTGGCGCGATCTTGGCTCACTGCAACCTCCGCCTCCCAGGTTCAAGCGATTCTCCTGCCTCAGCCTCCCGAGTAGCTGGGACTACAGGTGTGTGCCACCATGCCTGGCTAATTTTTTGTATTTTTAGTAGAGATGGGGTTTCACCATGTTAGCCAGGATGGTCTGGATATCCTGACCTCGTGATCCACCTGCCTCGGGCTTCCAAAGTGCTGGGATTATAGGCATGAGCCACCGCGCCCGGCCAAGTTTTTAATTTTTTGTAGAGAGGGGCTCTTGCTATGTTGCCCAGGCTGGTCTCGAACTGGCCTCAAACGATCCTCCTGCCTCAGCCTTCCAAAGTGCTGGGATTACAGGTTTGAACCATTGTGTCTGTTCACAACTGGAAACTTTCAAGCAGCTCTAGGCTGTTGACCTCAGCATTCATTAGTTGCCCATCTAAAGGCAGCATGAAGAGCAGAAATGGGGTCGCTTTCCATGAGGTTTTGCTGGGGATGACCTTCTGCCATCAGCACAAAAGGTGCAGACCTTCCAGGCTGCAGTGGACACCTGTCTCCCGATCTGGGTTCAAACTCCCTCCCTGCTCCTTGCTAGTCATGTGACCTTGGGCAAGTTATTTAAGCTCTGTGCCTATTTTCTCATCTGTAAAATGGGGATAGTAGTAGTACCCACCCAGTAACTTTGTGGTGAGGAGTAACTGGGATAATTAATGCAGATAAAAGCACTGAGAACACTCCACAGTATAGAACTCAACAAAACATCAGCTATCACCAGCATGATTATCATAAACTGTGTTGTCATTTCTGTTATCATTCTCTGTTCACTTAACCACTGTTTACCCACATATGCAGATAATCTAGGCAGAGGCCAGAGGTCCAGTGAGCCCTTAAAAATAAATATGGAAGCCTGGGCACAGTGGCTCACACCCATAATCCTAGCACTGGGGAGGCCAAGGTAGGAGGATCACTTGAGGCCAGGAGGTTGAGACCAGCCTGGGCAAAATAGCGAGACCCTGTCCCTACAAAACACAAAAATTAGCCAATTAGCCAAGCATGCACATGTAGTCTCAGCCACTTGGGAGGCTGAGGCAGGAGGATCACTTGAGCCTTGGAGGTCGAGGGTACAGTGAGCTATGATTGCACCACTACACTCCATACTGAGTAACAGAGTGAGACCTTGTCTCAAAAAAAAAAAAAAAAGTCAAGGATTGTATGAATTTCAGTGCTGAACTATAGATCTGAGACTTGGAACCTGATCTTAATGATTCCAGAGTTCATTATATTCTGCATCTTTAAGACATTTGACTAACCAGTGTCCATGAGAAATATGCATGGAAATAGTCCTGATCTTTGTGATATGGTTCTGTGGCCTTGGCAGACACCAGTAGCCCAAATGAGAATTGTCTGTTTCCAGGCTCCTGGTGACCTACTGTTCCTCTTGCAAGCTGATTCAGTGCTGGGGGCAGCAGGAGTTTGCCATTCCTGATAACGTCCTGGGGATAGTTTACGGGCAAACCATCTGCTGGATCGGAGCCTTTTTCTCACCCCTTCTCCCTGCAATTGCAACCCTGAAATTCATTATCATCTTCTATGTGAAAGAGGTAAGGAGCCGGTGGGAATGGGGGCTCATATACTGGGCCATTTTCGACCTTCCAGGGCACCAATATGTCTGGAGCTCACCTCACATCCCATGAGACGTATCAAAATTACATCCTTTATTTAAAATATATGTTTATTCTAGAAAAATATTGCTTTTTTTTTTTTTTTGAGATGGAGTCTCACTCTGTCACCCAGGCTGGAGTGCAGTGGCGTGATCTCGGCTCACTGCAACCTCCCCCTCCTAAGTTCAAGTGATCTCCTGCCCCAGCCTCCCGAGTAGCTGGGACTACAGGAGCCTGCCACTGCGCCTGGCTAATTTTTGTGTTTTTAGTAGAGACGGGGTTTCACCATCTTGGCCAGGTTGGTCTTGAACTTGTGACCTCATGATCCACCCGCCTCGGCCTCCTAAAGTGTTGGGATTACAGGCGTGAGCCACCGTGCCCGGCCGAAAAAGACTCTTGATGGATTTTTTTTTTTTTTTTTGAGATAGAGTCTCGCTCTGTCATCCAGGCTGGAGTGCAGTGGCACGATCTCGGCTCACTGCAACCTCTGCCCCCCCAGGTTCGAGCGATTCTCCTGCCTCAGCATCCTGAGTAGCTGGGATTACAGGTGCGCTGTGATTTTTGTACTTTTAGTAGAGACGGGGTTTCACCATCTTGGCCAAGCTGGTCTTGAACTCCTGACCTCGTGATCCACCCGCCTCGGCCTCCCAAAGTGCTGGGATTACAGGCGTGAGCCACCGCACCCGGCCTACTCTTGATGAATTTTTATGTTTTTATAATTTTGAGAGTTTTGTTAAGAATTTTTTTTATTAAGGCTGGATGTATTTTGTAATTTTCTGTTGTATTTTGGAGCCAATGCATTTTTTTTATTTGTTTGGTTTTTTTGAATTTTTTTTTTTTTTTAAATTAGAGATGGAGGTCTTGCCATGTTGTCCAGGCTGGTCTTGTACTCCAGGGCTCAAGTAATCCTTCTGCTTCAACCCCACAAAGTGCTGGAATTGCAGGTGTGAGCCACCCCGCCTGGACCAGTGCATTTATTTTCGGGTTTCAATGATTTGTGTAAGACCCTGGGCGGTTCACAGTCCATTGCACCAGATCTAAGTGCTAATGAGGGATGTAGCCTTGCAGATGACTGGCTCATCTGGGCATATTAACCTCTTTTTTCTTTCTTTATTTTATTTTATTTTTTGAGATGGAGTTTTGCTCTTGTTGCCCAGGTTGGAGTGCAATGGCATGATCTTGACTCACGGCAACCTCCACCTCCCGGGTTCAAGTGACTCTCCTGCCTCAGCCTCCTGAGTAGCTGGGATTACAGGCATGTGCCACCACGCCCGGTTAATTTTGTATTTTTATTAGAGAGAGAGTTTCTCCATGTTGGTCAGGCTGGTCTTGAACTCCCGACCTCAGGTGATCTGCCCGCCTCAGCCTCCCAAAGTGCTGGGATTATAGGCATGAGCCACTGCGCCCAGCCTCTTTTTTCTTTATTATAGAGGCAATACAATATTAAACATTTAAATAATGCACATATGTATACAGTAATTTCTGTCCCTTCTTCCAGAGGTACCCTCTGTTAACAAGCCCAACGTTTATTGATTACCTGTTATGCCAGGCCCTGAGGATTCAAAATTGAAAATCATAACAATAGTGTTAATAATGATAATAATGGTGTTAGTAATAATAGCAGATAATAATGCCATGTGTCCCCACTCTGCCATTACTTTACACAAATTATCATGCACTGATTACACCCACCCTTTGACAAAGTACTAGATTATATTTTAGTTAAGAAATTTTTTTTTGAGACAGGGCCTCACTCCAAGTTGGAGTGCCGTGGCGTGATCTCAGCTCACTGCAGCCTCTGCCTCCAGGGTTCAAGCGATTCTTGTGCCTCAGCCTCTTGAGCAGCTGGGATTACAGGCATGCGCCACCGTGCCAAGCTAATTTTTGTATTTTTAGTAGAGACAGCGTTTCACCATGTTGGCCAGGCTGGTCTCCAACTCCTGGCCTCAAGTGATCTGCCTGCCTTGGCCTCCCAAAGTGCTGGGATTACAGGTGTGAGCCACTGCGCCCGGCCAAAGTGTCATATTTTATAAATTAGGAAGCTGAAGTTCAGAGAAACTGGTCCAAGGTCACACAGCTTTTAAGTGACCCCTTGGATTTGAACCCAGGTTTATTTCACTCCAGAGCCTAAGCTCTTAACCCAGTAAGCAAGGCCCTGAATTGGGCCAACCGTTCTACCTGGATGTTTTGGCTTTTGAAGAATGTTCTGATGCTTTCACTTGAAAACACAGGTTGGCCGAAATCATCAAAGGAGAGATGGACGTGAGAAAGCTCACAGGAACTTTTTTTTCCCTTTCCAGGAAATACTGATTAGCCCGTGGCTTCGCAGTGTGTAGCATAGTACAGACACTGTGGGGTGATGGGTTGGGTCATGGTGGGTACCTGGCCTCACTTCCGTCACTCACACCAGGCATGTCCCGCCGGCTGCCCCGAGGCTGGGCACCAAGTATCTTCGGTACTCAGTGTCCTCTGGCTCACAAGATGTTCCGGCTCCTCCTGAATTCAGAAGAACTTATGTCCCTGCGCAGTAACACAGCTTTTTAAACTATTGAGAAATTTCATGCCTGTTACCATTATATCCTTTCTTACTCCCCATTTGATATTTCCTTCAAGTCTTTCTTCCCTCAATGGAAATACTTATTTTTAACATGTAGGAGAAAATATATGTGCTTGTAAAAAACTTCAAATAAAGGAACTCCTAATTTGGTGTATATTATTGTAGATACAGTTATACATGTTTAAATCCCTATAAGGAATACATACTTAAAAAAAACTTAAATGGCCGGGCCCGGTGGCTCATGCCTGTAATCCCAGCACTTTGGGAGGCCGAGGCCGGTGGATCACGAGGTCAGGAGATCGAGACCATCCTGGCTAACACGGTGAAACCCCATCTCTACTAAAAATACAAAAAATTAGCCGGGCTTGGTGGCGGGTGCCTGTAGTCCCAGCTACTCGGGAGGCTGAGCAGGATGGCATGAATCCGGGAGGCGGAGCTTGCAGTGAGCCGAGATCGCGCTACTACACTCCAGCCTGGGAGACAGAGCGAGATTCCGTCTCAAAAAAAAAAAAAAAAAAAAAAAAAACCAAAAAAAACAAAAAACTTAAATGAATTCATCTTGTACGGAGTTTTGAAATCTACCATTTTCACAGTGCCACATGGGGATGTAAAGCTGTCTCTCATCCTTCTTTTTTCTTTTTTGAGACGGGGTCTCACCCAGACTTAGGGCAGTGGCACAGTAGCATGATACAGCTCACTACAGCCTCAACCTCCTGGGCTCAATCCATCCTCCCACCTCAGCCTCCCAAGTAGCTGGGAATACAGGTGCACACCACCATGGCTGGCTAATTTTTGTAGAGACAGGGTTTTTTTTAATAGAGATGGGGTTTCACCATGTTGGCCAGGCTGGTCTCGAACTCCTGGCCTCAAGTGATCCACCCACCTAGGCCTCCCGAAGTGCTGGGATTACAGGCGTGAGCCACCACGCCCGGCCTCATCCTTCTTTAGGACTGTATGGTATTTCATGCTATATAGATGTACTTTAACCTTTAACTATAACCTAATGAACTCCTGCTCCCCACCTTCACTTTTCTTTTTGAGACAGGGTCTCTCTCTGTTGCCCAAGCTGGAATGCAATGGCATGATCATAGCTCACTGCAGCCTCAAAGTCCTGGCCTCAAGTGATCCTCCCGTTCTGACCTCCCAAAGTGCTGGAATTACAGACGTGAGATGTCTCACGCAGCCACGAGCCCCCACTGATAGCTATTTAGGTTGCTTGCAGTTATTCCGTGTTATCAATGACTGTAGCGTTAAACATCCACATACCTGTGTTTTGGCCCATTTCCCCTTCTATTTCATCAGCATGAATTCTCCAAAGTTTGGAGTCTGGATGAAACCTTTTTTTTTTTGGATTTTTTTCTCCACCAAAATCTTTTTTTTTTTTTTAATTTTATTATTATTATACTTTAAGTTTTAGGGTACATGTGCACAACGTGCAGGTTTGTTACATATGTATACATGTGCCATGTTGTTGTGCTGCACCCATTAACTTGTCATTTAGCATTAGGTATGTCTCCTAATGCTATCCCTCCCCCCTCCCCCCACACCACAACAGTCCCCGGTGTGTGATGTTCCCCTTCCTGTGTCCATGTGTTCTCATTGTTCAATTCCCACCTATGAGTGAGAACATGCGGTGTTTGGTTTTTTGTCCTTGTGATAGTTTGGATGAAACCTTTTTCATTTTGATCTGTATTGCTGGACTACCCTCTGGAAAGGTTAGAGTGATTAACATTCCCACTGTAATGCAGGAATGCACTTATTTATCTTCACAGAAGCTGTACTTATTGATCTTAATTTTTCTTTCTTTTTCTCCTTGTAGTGGAGTCTGCTTTACACCTGCAGACCCTCCCCCAGGCCGTTCAGAGCATCCAATTCTAATTTCTTCTTCCTGTTGGTGTTGTTGATCGGGCTGTGTTTGGCAATAATACCTCTGACAATCAGCATATCACGGTAAATGTGACTTTGTTTTCTAGAACATTTCATTGCTTCTTGACCTCTTCCTCTTTTATGTAAAAGCGTCCGTCATATCACATTTTTTTTTTTTTTGAGATGGAGTCTTGCTCTGTCACCCAGGCTGGAGTGTGGTGGCGCAGTCTTGGCTCACTGCAACCTCCGTCTCCCAGGTTCAAATGATTCTCCCGAGTAGCTGGGACTACAAACTCCATCTCCCCAGGTTCAAACAGCCTCCTGAGTAGCTGGGACTACAGGTGTGTTCCACTATGCCCAGCTGATTTTTATATTTATTAGTAGTGACAGGGTTTCGCCACGTTGGCCAGGCTGGTCTCAAACTCCTGACCTCAGGTGATCCGCCCGCCTTGGCCTCCCAAAGTACTCGGATTACAGGCGTGACGCACTGTGCCTTTATTGGCTTTTCTCATGGTGTTCTACCCACAGAGGCTGACAAGACTTCCAAGACTCAAGCGATCTTCTTCCCTCAGCCTCCTGAGTAACTTGATACTACAGGTGTGCACCACCATGCCTGGCTAATTATTTAAACTTTTTAATTTTTCTGTAGAGACAAGGGCTCACTATGTTGCCCAGGCTGATCTCAAACTCCTGAGCTCAATGATCCTCTTGCTTCAGCCTCCTGAAGTATTGGGATTACAGGCATGAACCACCACACCAGGCCAAATTTTGTTTCTTCACCTTTAAATTAAAAGCCTGTACTGGGTGCGGTGGCTCACACCTGTAATCCAACACTTTGGGAGGCCCAGGTGGGGGTACTGGTTGAGCCAAGGAGTTCGAGACCAGCATTGGCAACATAGCAAGACCTTGTCTCAAATTAAAAACAAAAAAACAAACAAAAAAATAGGAAAAGCCTGGAACTTTGAGTCCCTCTCTCAGATTTTGTTCTTTTTTTTTATGAGACACGGTCTCACTCTGTTGCTCAGGATAGAGTGCAGTGGTGTGATCTTGGCTCCCTGCAACCTCTGCCTCCCAGGTTCAAGCAATTCTATGGCCTCAGCCTCCCAAGTAGCTGGGATTACAGGGACCTGCCACCACACCCAGCTAATTTTTGTATTTTTAGTAGAGACAGGGTATCGCCATGTTGGCCAGGCTGGTCTCGAACTCCTGATCTCAAATGATCCACCCATGTCGGCCTCCCAAAGTGCTTGGATTACAGACATGAGCTACCATGCTTGACCAGATTTTATTCTTTTTTAACACTTTGATTCTGTATGTGTTTTGTTGCTCTTTATTGTTATGATAATATACATTATATAAAAAATTCAAGCAGTACAGAAGGGTGTAAATTGAAGAGAAAAAAATTGCTCCTTATCTTCACCTCTTATTCTCACTCTCCATAGGTTACGTAACAACTGTTAACATTTTCTTATGAATACTTCCAGAAATTCTTTATGAAAAGCAATTATTTATTTTTTAAGAAAACGTGAGATAATAGTATAATCCTGCTTGGTAATTATTTTTTCATTAATATTCTTTTTTTTTTCTTTTTTTTCCAGTTAGTTTTATATTGTATCCTTTCCCATGTCCATGGACATACTAAACTCTTCTTTCAAAAATATTTTTAGCTTTGATTTTTTTTTCTTTTTGAGACAGAGTTTCGCTCTTGTTGCCCAGGCTGGAGTGCAGTGGCGCGATCTTGGCTCACCGCAACCTCTGCCTCCCAGGTTCAAGCGATTCTCCTGCCTCAGCCTCCAGAGTAGCTGGGATTACAGGCATGTGCCACCATGCCCGGCTAATTTTGTATTTTTAGTAAAGACGGGGTTTCTCCATGTTGGTCAGGCTGGTATCAAACTCCCGACCGCAGGTAATCTGACTGCCTCGGTCTCCCAAAGTGCTGGGATTACAGGCGTGAGCCACTGTGCTCGGCCTGATTTTTTAAAATAGGAAATGCATTCACATAGCACAAAATTCAAAAGATATTTTAAAAAATGGTGAAAATTCATTTTCTCATTCCTTCTCAAGTACTTAATTTTCCTGAGTGATGGTCATCTCCTCATATCTGTGTCTTTTCTTTCTTTTTTTTTTTTTTTTAAAGATGCGATCTTGCTATGTTGCCCAGGCTAGTCTTGAACTCCTGAGCCCAAGTGATCCTCCCACCTCCACCTCTCAAAGCACTGGGATTACAGGCGTGAGCCACCGTGACTGGCCACTTTTCTCTCTTTTTCTCTCAATGGTTCTTCAGTATTCAGTCATATGAATGGGCCATAAATTGTTCATCCATTTCCTTAAACAACATTTAGGTTGTTTCCAGCAATTTATTTTTATCCCTACATAAAGGGCTGCAATGGAAAGTCTTATACACAGACCTTTGTGATGTGAATTTAGTCAGTTCTTTCCAGGTCTTAATTTTAGTGCTTTCCTATTGTAATTTTATTTTATTTTTTTCTCTCCTTTTCATTTTGAAAAAGTTTAAATCTACAGAAAAGCTGAAAAACTAGCAGCAGTAAAACGCATATGCCCTTCAACTGGATGTCCCAATTGTTAACATTTTACTATGCAGTCTCCCTCAGGACCTTTGGGGAACTGGTTCCATGATCTTCCCCCCCAACCACATTAAAATCTTCAGATGCTCAAGTCCTTGCTATAAAATGGCATGGTAGGCTGGGCGCGGTGGCTCACTCCTGTAATCCCAGCACTTTGGGAGGCCAAGGAGGGCGGATCACCTGAGGTCAGGAGTTCGAGACCAGCCTGACCAACATGGAGAAACCCTGTCTCTACTAAAAATACAAAATTAGCTGGGTGTGGTGGTGGGCGCCTGTAATCCCAGCTATTCCGGAGGCTGAGGCACGAGAATCACTTGAACCTGGGAGGCAGAGGTTGCAGTGAGCCGAGATTGCACCAATGCCACTCTAGCCTGGGCAACAAGAGTGTAACTCTGTCTCAAAAAAAAAAAGCATGGGATTTGCTTTTTTTTTTTTTTTTTTTTTTGAGAGGGAGTCTCACTCTGTCACCCAGGCTGGAGTGCAGTGTCACCATCTTGGCTCATTGCAACCTCCGTCTCCCAGGTTCAAGCGATTCTCCTGTCTCATCCTCCCAAGTAGCTGGGATTACAGGCACGTGCTGCCACTACGCCTGGCTAATTTTTGTATTTTTAGTAGAGACGGGGTTTCGCCATATTGGGCAGGCTGCTCTTGAACTCCCGACCTCAAGTGATCCATCTGCCTCGGCCTCCCAAAGTGCTGGGATTATAGGCACAAGCCACCGCACCTGGCCATATTGTTATTTTTTATTTTTCAAATATTTTTATCTAAGGTTGGCTGAATTTGATGAAGAACCTTTGGATATGGGGGGCCAACTGGATTTGTTTTCTCTATGCATACTTTTTTTTGGATAGGAAATAATTTGAAATTAACTTATAGACATCATAATATTTCACTGCTAAATACTTTAGTGTGCAGCTCCTAAGACTAATGGCACTCTCTTTTATGTGTTTCCACAATAATATATCACACTTAAGAAGATTAATACTAATACCATGTTTCTGTCATTTTAAATTTCTCCAATTGTCCCCTAAATAGTCTTTAGTATAGCTTTTTTTTTGGAGATGGCATGTCGCTCTGTCGCCCAGGCTGGAGTACAGTGGCCCGATCTCGGCTCACTGCAATCTCCACTTCCTGGGTTCAAGCAACTCTCGTGCCTCAGCCTCCCGAGTAGCTGGGATTGCAGGCGCCCACCACCATGCCCAGCTAATTATTGTATTTTTAGTAGAGACGTGGTTTCACCACGTTGGCCAGGTTGGCCTCCATCTCCTGACCTCATGTGATACACCCGCCTTGGCCTCCCAAAGTGCTGGGATTACAGATTTGTTTTTAAAATAGTGATCTTTCAAGTTTGACCCATTGCTTCTATTTCTTCTATCTCCTTAGTCTCTCTTTTTTTAAATTTAAATTTAAATTTTAAGTTCTGGGGTACATGTGCAGGACGTGCAGGTTTGTTACCTAGGTAAATGTGTGCCATGGTGGTTTGCTATACCTACCCCCGTCACCTAGGTATTAAGCCCAGCATACGTTAGCTATTTTTCCTAATGCTCTCCTTCCTTAGTCTCTTTTAATCCCTGATTCTTTGAAGAGTCCAGGCCAGTTTCCTCACTTCTAAATTAAGAGACCGGAGAATAGAATGCCCACATTTTGGATTTGTCTTGTTATTTTCTTACACTGTCATTTAACTTGCTCTTCTGTCCTGAATTTCCTGTAAACTGGAAGTTAGGTCTAGAGACTTGATAAAATTTCAGGGTAAGCATTTTCTTTCTTTCTTTCTTTCTTTTTTTTTTTTGAGACGGAGTTTTGCCCTTGTTGCCCAGGCTGGAGTGCAGTGGTGCAATCTCTGCTCACTGCAACCTCCGCCTCCCAGGTTCAAGTGATTCTCCTACCTCAGCCTCCCAAGTAGCTGGGTGGGCATGCACCACCATGCCCGGCTAATTTTTGTATTTTTAGTAGAGATGGGGTTTCACCACGTTGGTCAGCCTGGTCTCGAACTCCTGACCTCAGGTGATCCACCCGCCTCGGCCTCCCAAAGTGCTGGGATGACATTCGTGAGCCACCGCGCCCAGCCAGGGTAAGCATTTTCGACTCAAACATTCCAGAAGGCCCAGGAGGTTAGGTGGCTCCCTGTAGGCCATTGTTAACAAAACATTCTGGGTGTACAGGGGCGGGACACTCAACCTGTGCTGCACGCTCCTTCTGAGCCCGTTGGTCTGTGTCCTGGCAGCATCCCTTCCTCGAAAGCCTGTGGGCCGTTCACCAACTTCAACACCACCTGGGAGGTCATCCCCAAGACGGTGAGCACCTTCCCCAGCTCGCTGCAGTCCTTCATCCATGGTGTCACATCCGAAGCCTTTGCAGTTCCTTTCTTCATGATTATTTGGTGAGTGAGAACCACCAGGACCCACTGAGGCACGTGGGCTCCTCCCATTGGGAAATGGCGGCGGTCGGGGCGGGGTCACCCTAGACTTGACAAGTTACTGAGCTTCTTTGAACTGCACTTTCCCATCTCTAAAATGGGCATAATAGGCCAGGCGCGGTGGCTCATGCCTGTAATCCCAACACTTTGGGTGGCTGAGGCGGGCAGATCACTTGAGGCCAGGAGTTCGAGACCAGCCTGGACAGCACAGGGACACCCCGACTCTACAAAAAAATAAATAAATAAGTAACAAAAATTAGCTGGGCATGGTGGTGCATGCCTGTAATGCCAGCTACTCAGGTGGCTGAGGCATGAGAATCGCTTGAACCTGGGAGGTTGAGGTTGCAGTGAGCCAAGATCATACCACTGCACTCCAGCCTGGGTGACAGAATAAGACCCTGTCTCAAAAACAAATAAATAAATAAATAAACTAGGCATAATAATAGTCACTCTTTCAGAGGCTCATTGGGCAAATTAAGAAAGATCACACTTAGCCCAATGCCTGGCTTATAAAAAGCTAATATATATTGCCTATTATTAACATTACTGTTTATTTACAGAATCTCTTGCTCTTTGACAAGGAACAGATTTCTGAGCAGAGAGATGAACATCAGATTAGAAGCATGCCCTTGAACCCTGGCTCTACCACTTATAAGCCATGAATAACTGGCATTAATTGTACCTTGCATGTACTAACTCATGAAATCATCGCAATTACTCTGTGATGCAGATATTCTTACAGTAAAACCCCAGCATAATACAAGAAGTGAGCCCAAAGAAATGTACCTGTAAAAAGGCAGGATACCTTTGATGAGATTAATACAATGACTTGGGGGAGCTGTGCAGCTAGCCAGACTCAAATTCGTAGGATCCAGGGCTCCAGCCGCTTCACCCTAATGGGTTCACCCCAGCAGTGCTTTGGCTGGTGCCACCTGGTAGCACTTCTCTGATCTGACTTAAGTATCTCAGGGACTTCCAGGGGAATACTGTGGACGTCACTGATTTCAGGATCTCCTGGTTACTTGGCCCTCATTTCATCAGCCTTGTCTGAGGAGACTGGATAGGAAACCACCTTCCCTTCATTCAGTGAGGTTGCCTTCTGTTTTTATGAGGGCTTGCCCTCCATTCCATTTGCCCCTCTCCCCAAATATAATAACTTTAACCACCCCCATTTCAGATCTAGAGCTGCACAGAAGACAGAAGCCAGCAGTTGATTTTTTTTTTTTTTTAGGAGACAGTGTCTTGCTATGTTGCCCAGGTGGGTCTTGAGCTTAAGTGGTCCTCCCTCCTTAGCCTCCTGAGTAGCTGGGACACCAGGCACCAGGCACCTTCTACTACACCTGGATTTGATTGCTTTTAATTAAAATGATATTATCAGCCAGGCATAGTGGCTCACGCCTGTAATCCCAGCACTTTGGGAGGCCGAGGCGGGTGGATCACTTGAGGTCAGGAGTTCGAGAGCAGCCTGACCAACATGGTGAAACACCGTCTCTACTAAAAAATATATAAAATTAGTCAGGCATGTAATCCTAGCTACTTAGGAGGCTGAGGCAGGAGAATTCCTTGAACCCGAGAGGCAGAGGTTGCAGTGAGCTGAGATCGCGCCATTGCACTCAAGCCTGGGCAACGAGAGTGAAACTCCGTCTCAAAAATAAATAAATAAATAAAATAAATAAAATAATTTTATCCCAAGCTTGCAAACACTGGGTTTTATTATGTTTTCCCTATTTTACAAATGAGGAAATGGGCTAGAGAGCCTCCACAGTGATCATCCACGTGTTAATTACATGCTCAGCTGACTTTCTCAACCATGTCATTCTCTCTCTTTCTGTCATTCTGTATGTACAAGGCGAACATCTGCAAATTTTAATATTAAAAGTAAAAAGCAAGGCATAAGTCAGATTCTGCTGCCACTGCCAAATAAAAACTTCAGTAGCTGTTTCTTATACCCTCTGCTTGGAAGAGATGAGGGTTTTCTTTATTTTTTGTGGAGACAGGGTCTGGCTCTGTTGCCCAGTCTGGAGTATGGTAATGTGATCATAGCTCACTGCAGCCTTGAACTTCTGGGCTCAGATTCTCCCACCTTAGCTTCCTGAGTAGCTGGGGACTACAGGCTCACGCCACCATGTCTGGCTAATTTTACATTTTCTTTTCCTTTTTTTTAGACGGAGGCTTGCTCTGCCGCCCAGGCTGGAGTGCAGTGATGCGATCTCAGCTCACTGCAACCTTTGCCTCTTGGGTTCAAGGGATTCTCCTGTCTCAGCCTCCTGAGTAGCTGGGATTATAGGCGTCCACCACCACGCCCAGCTAACTTTTGTATTTTTAGTAGAGACGGGGTTTCACCATGTTGGTCAGGCTGGTCTCAAATTCCTGACCTCAGGTGATCCGCCTGCCTCGGCCTCCCAAAGTGCTGGGATTACAGGTGTGAGCCACTGCGCCCGGCCATATTTTATTTTTCTAGAGGTGGGGCTCTCCCTATGTTGCCTGGGCTGGTCTCAAACTCCCAGCCTTAAGTGATCCTTCTGCCTGGGCAAAGCACTGGTATTATAAAATGAGCCATCATGCCCAGCCTTCTTTTCTAACAAGAGTAAAACTGTTCCAAGGAAAAATATGTTGGGTTATTTTTCTATTGGCCTTCAGATGATCCAGACTCCCTTGTGACCTGTCTGTCTTGTGTTGCAGCCTCATCATGTTTTACTTCATTGCCTTAGCTGGAGCACACAAACGGGTGGTCATCCAGCTCCGAGAGCAGCTATCCCTGGTAAGGAAGCATAGCTCCAGAGGGTCATGGCTGGGGACATTTACCCAGGACACTGCAAGGAAAGTGCTGTTTTCCTGGGAGGGAGTGAAATTACTGCAGCCTTCTCTCACCACCACCTCCCCAAAACTCTGCCTTGAGGCCCAGCCGCGTCCAGCTTCATTAATTCACTGATTCATCCATTCCTTCAAGATGTGTATTAAGGGGGATGTGGTGGCTCATGCCTGTAATCCCAGCACTTTTGGGAGGCCGAGGCAGGCAGATTACTTGAGCTCAGGAGTTCAAGACCAGCCTGGCCAACATGGTGAAACCCCGTCTCTACTAAAAATACAAAAAGTAGTTGGGCGTGGTGGTGGGCACCTGTAATCCCAGCTACTTGGGAGGCTGAGGCAGGAGAATCCCTTGAACTCAGGAGGTGGAGGTCGCAGTGAGCTGAGATTGCGCTATTGCACTCCAGCCTGGGTGACAGAGTGAGACTCCATCTTAAAAATAAAAATAAAAAAAGATGTGTATTAAGTACCTACTCTGTGCCTTGTACTATGCTGGGTGCTGGGACGCTTTGGTGAACAAGAGACAAAGCTGCTGGGTAGTTAATAAGATAAATGCTGATTAATTATAGCTTCTATGAAGACAATAAAAACAAGGTAGAGTGACAAGCGGGCTATCAGTTACTGCAGATGCGGCTGTAGAAGGCTTCTTTGAGGAGGTGATTTTTTTTTATTTTTTTATTCAGGACGGGGTCTCACTCTCTCGCCCAGGCTGGAGTGCGATTGTGTGGTCATAGCTCACAGCAGCCTCAAACTCTTGGTCTCAAGCCATCCTCCCACCTTAGCCTCCCAAGTAGCTGGGACTACAGGCGTGCATCACCATGCCTGGCTAATTTTTAAATTTTTTATAGACATGAGGTCTCCCTATGTTGCCCAGGCTGGTCTTGAACTCCTGGGCTCAAGTGATTGTCCCCTCTCAGTTCCCCAAAGTGCTGGGATTACAGGCATGAGCCACTATGCCTGGACCCTAGCTGAGACTTGAATAATAGAGAGAGGAGCCCATTATCTGAGGTCCTATTTAAGGATGAAAGTAAGAGGCAAAGAGCACAGTAAAGAAATGAGCCAGGCACTTCAGGGGGACAGGAGGGAGGGGACAGTGTGGCCACAGGGTGGTGAGTGATGGGAAGAGGCAAGGTGATATTGTAATAGCAACCAGAGTCATCAAGTCACAGTGCCTTGAGGGCTCTGTTTAGAGTTTTATTCTGAGTGGGATGGGAAGCTGCTGAAGGGTTTGTAAGAGTCTACTGTGCATTTTTTTTTTTTTTTGAGACAGAGTCTTGCTCTGTCACCCAGTCTGGAGTGCAGTGCCGCAATTTCAGCTCACTGCAACCTCCACCTCCCGGGTTCAATTGATTCTCCTTCCTCAGCCTCCCAAGTAGCTGGGATTACAGGCACCCACCATCACAACCGGCTAACTTTTGTATTTTTAGTAGAGAAGGGGTTTCACCATGATGGCCAGTCTTTTTTTTTTTTTTTTTCCTTTGAGACAGGGTCTCACTCTGTCGCCCAGGCTGGAGTGCAGTGGTGTGATCTCAGTTCACTGCAACCTCCACCTCCTGGGTTCAAGCAATTCTCCTGCCTCAGCATCCCAAGTAGATGGGATTACAGGCACCTGCCACCACGCCCGGCTAATTTTTTGTATTTTTAGTAGAGACGGGGTTTCGGGGTTTCACCTTGTTGGCCAGGCTGGTCTCGAACTCCTGACCTCAGGTGGTCCACCTGCCTCGGCCTCCCAAAGTGCTGAGATTACAGGCGTGAGCCACCTCGCCTGGCCTAATTTTTGTATTTTTAGTAGAGGTGGGGTTTCACCACGTTGGTCAGGCTGGTCTGAAACTTCTGACCTCAGGTGATCCACCTGCCTTGGCCTCCCAAAGTGCTGGGATTACAGGTGTGAGCCACCTCACCCGGCCTAATTTTTGTATTTTTAGTAGAGATGGGGTTTTACTATATTGGTCAGGCTGGTCTCAAACTTCTGACCTCAGGTGATCCACCTGCCTCGGCCTCCCAAAGTGCTGGGATTACAGGCATGAGCCACCGTGTCCAGCTGTACTGTGCATTTTTTAAAAAAAGGATCGGCTGCTTTGTGGACAAGGGGCTGTGGAGCAGACACAATGACAGACCAGATGAGAGGCCATTACAATAGTCCAGTGGTTAGAATCCTCAGCCCTCAGTCTGGTAGGTAATGATGGTATTTGTTTCCAAATATATTAAATGTACATGTGAACTTATTATTTTTTAGGAAAGTCGTGACAAGTGCTACCTAATCCAGAAACTAACAGAAGCCCAAAGGGACATGAGGAACTAACTAGACTGAGCGTGAAGATGGTGCTGCCTGTTGCTTCTAAGCTGACCTAGTGATTCTGCTGAGCCTACAGAGTCTACCTGGGTTTTGAGTGGACATTTAAAAATATATTTTTCTTGAGTTTAGGCTTTTCCATATGTGCAGCTGTGTTTACCTAACCCAGCCCTTAATTAGGGCTTCAGTGACTTAGAAAAGCAGGGGAAACCCAAGGCTTTGCCTGCAGACCGGCCACTCTGTGACAACTCTACCAAAAACCAACAAGCCATTCAAGCTTTTACAAGAATGAAAGAGCGGAGACGGTAGTTTAGTATTTGAGCCACGAGTTTATGTGCACAAGTGTTTTGGGTTGTGGACTGAAGCTCAGCCTGTTAATCAGACCAGCCCATGAGTGTATAACAAACAGAATTGGAGGCTGGTTTCTTAAACACACACGTCCACATTTTTTAGGGTTGTTTTCCTGTGCTTACAATTTTTAATGCATGTGCCTTTATTTCACAAAACATGTGGCTGGGCGCAGCGGCTCACGCCTGTTATCCCAACACTTTGGGAGGCCGAGGCAGGCGGAGCACCTAAGTTGGGGAGTTCAAGACCAGCCTGACCAACGTGGAGAAACTCCGTCTCCACTAAAATACAAAATTAGCTGGGTGTGGTGGCACATGCCTGTAATATCAGCTACTCAGGAGGCTGAGGCAGGAGAATTGCTTGAACCCAGGAGGTGGAGTTTGCAGTGAGCTGAGATCACACCATTGCACTCCAGCCTGGGCAAAAAGAGCAAAACTCTCCCTAAAAAAAAAATGTAGAATATCTCTTAAGATTTCCGTTATGGTAAAAACCATATGCAATAAATACCTCATTGTAAGCTTACCCAAAATTGATAGATGTCAACCTTTTAACAGAAGAACAGAAGTTTAAGTTATTGTTTAATGTAATCAGTTTTCATTTTAATATCTTTGAAATCTTTTTCAAAGGACTGTAGTTTTGTAATGGACTTTTCAAGCCTTCCTTCCATTGTTTTTCTTCCGTTCACTGGCTCCACACGTTTCCTGGGGAGTAGCCTGGAATTTAAAGTTGGGTGCAGGTTTTAGAAAGCTGTTGCTGTTAACAATAATTCTCCCGGCCATCTCCACTCCACTACTCAAAAATGCCTGAATCCTTGCTCAGAGGAGCAAAGGTATCTTCTCGTCCCTTTCTTACAGCCATTTTCTTGCTTTTCCACAAAGATATTATTTAAAGTGGAATATTTTTGTAACTGGGATACCAATGAGCTTTTCGGTCTTTTCCTGACTTGGTAAGGTTTATGGGTTTCTAAATCTAATAACTACAGTCATACCACCCTGAAAATGCCTGATCTCGTCTAAATCTAATAACTGGTGTCATGGAATTTTGAGTAACCAAAGATTCATTCCAGTCTCACTTAAAAAAATAAATTCTGCTGGGCACAGTGGCTCATGCCTGCAATCCCAGAACTTTGGGAGTCCAAGGAGGGCAGATCACCTGAAGTCAGAAGTTTGAGACCAGCCTGGTCAATGTGGCAAGACCCCGTCTCTACTAAAAGTACAAAAATTAGCCAGGCATGGTGGCGTGTGCCTGTAATCCCAGCTACTTGGGAGGCTGAGGCATGAGAATCACTTGAACCTGGGAGGTGAAGGCTGCAGTGTGCGAGACCGTGCCACTGTACTCCAGCCTAGGTGACAGAGGGAGACCCTATCTCAAAAAAAAAGATAGGTGAAAAGAAAAAAAAAGTTGTAATTGTAAACATTTCTGCCCAGTGCCTTTATATTTATATAACATTTTCACTGTGACCAGACTTGATGATATTCAAGTTTTCTATTTGTGTGTGTGTGTGTGTGTGTGTGTGATGAACACAACGAAAACGTACTGCGTTTTTTTTCCTATTATAAAAGTGATACTGAAATATGCTAATTAATATATTAATTTTAGTTAAATGCTGCTAATATGCATACCTCTTACTTGAAGGTTTTTAATATGTTTTGATAACTTTAATAACTTCAGGTGATGTCTGTATAACTTTTAAAGTGCAGCTCTCTCTAACAAATGTGCCTTACAACTCCTGATTAAACGGCGTCTTGAAGGTTTTAAAATGTGATCGTGTATACTGGAATTCAAAGAGGCTTCTTGTCAGCAGTCAAGTGATGATGGAAAACTGTAATAGTTTGTAAAGTTCCTCTTTGCTTTTTCCTAAAATGAGAGAAAAGAAAGAAGTGTTTAATGTAGTCCTCAGATGAGTGCTTTTAAAGCTCCTTGGCTCTGTTGAAGCCAAGGAGGGTGTATGTGTGTAACTGCCCAACTGGTTCATTTTGCCCGCTGCCTGGATACAGCCCATTCATCAAGACAGAGGAATTGCAGCAGAGGAATTGCAACAGAGAAAGCGTTTGATACATGCAGAGCTGGCTAAACAGGAGACCAGAATATTATTATTACTCAAATCAGTCTCCCTGAAATTTTGGAAACTGGGTTTTCCTGTGTATGTATTTTCTCTCTCTCTCTCTGTGTGTGTGTGTGTGTGTGTGTGTTTGAGACGAAGTCTTGCTCTTGTTGCCTAGGCTGGAGTGCAGTGGGGTGATACTGGCTCACTGCAACCTACACCTCCCAGGTTCAAGCGATTTTCCTGCCTCGGGCTCCCGAGTAGCTGGGATTACAGGTATGCGCCACTACACCCAGCTAATTTTGTATTTTTAGTAGAGACGGGGTTTCTCCATGTTGGTCAGGCTGGTCTCAAACTCCCGACCTCAGGTGGTCTGCCTGCCTCGGCCTCCCAAAGTGCTGGGATTACAGGCGTGAGCCACCGTGCCCGGCCGTGTTTTTTTTTTTTTTTTTTTTTTAATATGTAGTCTCTATTGCCCAGGCTGGAGTGCAGTAGTGCGATCTCGGCTCACTGCAAGCTCTGCCTCCCGGGTTCACCATTCTCCTGCCTCAGCCTCCCGAGTAGCTGGGACTACAGGCGCCCACCACCACACCCGGCTAATTTTTTGTATTTTTAATAGAGACAGGGTTTCATCAGGATGGTCTTGATCTCCTGACCTCATGATCTGCCCGCCTCGGCCTCCCAAAGTGCTGGGATTACAGGCGTGAGCCACTGTGCCTGGCTGTGTTTTTTTTTTTTTTTTTTTTTGAGATGTAGTCTCACTCTATTGCCCAGGCTGGAGTGCAGTAGTGCGATCTCGGCTCACTGCAACCTGGGTTCAAGTGATTCTCCTGCCTCAGCCTCCCAAGTAGCTGGGACTACAGGTGTGTGCCACCATGCCCAGCTAATTTTTGTACTTTTAGTAGAGATGGGGTTTTGCCCTGTTGGTCAGGCTGGTCTTGAACTGCTGACCTCAAGTGATCCTTCCACTTCGGCCTCCCAAAGTCTGGGATTACAGGGGTGAGCCTCCGTGCCTGGCTGGAACTAGTTTTTTTAATGGATAATTTGGTGGGTAGGGGGATGGAATTAGGGAATAGTATGCATTTTTGTTTTTTAAATTTTGTTTTGCCATTATAAAAATACTTGTTTTTTATAGCAAATACAGAGAACATCAAAAGCAACAGAGAAAAAAACTTAAAAAGCAGCACTTATGGGCACGCACTGTTAATCCTGGCAAAATTCTTTTTAAGATAGAAAGTACAGAGGGAGGGAAAAAGAAGGAAAAAGAAGGAAAGAACTTTGGTATTCTAATTTCTTTTTCACTTAATATGTGTTTTCCTGAAGAATCTAGTGTTTTCTCCTGTTATTAAAAGCTCTTTACAAACATTTCAATGGGCTACATAACATCATACAGTTGGATTTTTTTTTTTTTTTTTGAGCCAGAGTCTAGGTCTATCACCCACTCTGGAGTGCAGTGGTGTGATCATGGCTCAGTGCAGCCTCAACCTCCTGGGCTCAAGTGATCCTTTTAGCCTCACAAGTAGGTGGGATCAGAGGCACACACCACCATGCCTGACTAATTTTTAAAATTTTTTGTAGAGATGGAATCTCACTGTGTTGCCCAGGCTGGTCTTGAACTCCTGGGCTCAAGTGATCCTCTCGCCTCAGTCTCCCAAAGTGTTGGGATTACAGGCGTGAGCCACTGCACTCGGACATGATGTTTTGATATTCAATTGTTGCTTAACATTTTGTTTCCAAATTTTCCCAGTAATAAATAATGGGCACATCTATAAATCTTTGTCAACATTTTTTCTCCTTAGAAACAGAGACCTAGGCCAGGCGTGGCGGCTCACGCCTATAATCCCAGCACTTTGGGAGGACAAGGTGGGAGGATCACTTGAGGTCAGGAATTTGAGACCAGCCTGGCCAACACAGCGAAACCCAGTCTCAGCTGGGCGTGGTGGTGTGTGTACCTGTAATCCCATCTACTTGGGAGGCTGAGGCAGGAGAATCGCTTGAACCCGGGAGGCAGAGGTTCCAGTGAGCCAAGGTCTCCCCACTGCAATCCAGCCTGTGCGACAGAGTGAAACTCCATTTAAAAAGAACAAAAACAAAAAACAAAACAAAAAGGAAACAGAGACCTAGAAGTGGTATTACAGCAAAGGTTTTGAACATTTTAAGGCTTTTGAGCGCCAGATTCAGACACTCAGTAGTTTTACATGAGAGTGCTACAACATCCTCACTAAGTAGTATTTGGGTTCATCATAATTTTAAATTATTTTGGTGTGTCAATTTGAACACTAGAGTGATATAAAAACTAAAAACTTGAATTCAATAATTTTACAATTGTATTCCATCTTAAAATATTTTATGGTAAACTTGGATAAAGTATATAAATAATCCAAGGGTGTAAAGTAGAAAGTGAAAGCTCCCTTCTCCCAGTTCCAGCCCCCTGATGTTGCCAATATTAAACGTTGTATATCCTTGCAGACACGCATCTTTGATTTTTGCCCTCATGTACATTACTCATTTAAAAATTATTTCGTTGAGTAGATTCCTAAAAGTAAGACTGCTGTATTATATGATCTTTTTAAAGTATGTTGCTAAATTTCCCCTCCCTTCTCAAAAAATTCCAATTTGCACAAATATACATGCATACATGCACACAGTACATTAAGGTGGATACCAAGGATAAAACATGTTCTCTGTTTCTGAAAATAGAGAAAAGACCGGGAAGAAGTTTAAAGTTGGCTTTCAGCCCACCAATAGAGATAACACTATATAACACCATTAACCATGTGGTGCATGTAATTTAGATATACATATAATTTTATTTATTTATTTATTTTTCAGACAGGGCCCAGGCTAGAGTGCAGTGGCAGAATCACGGCTGACTGCAGCCTCGAGCTACCGGGCTCAAGCTATCCCCCCACCTCAGCCTCCCGAGTAGCTGGGACTACAGGTGTGCTCCACCAGACCCGGCTAATTTTTAAAATTATTTGTAGAGGCGGGGTCTCGCTATGTTGCCCAGGCTTACTATTTTAAAGTAGATGTAGGATACAAATAAAAAAAAAAATCTCCTTCCACGTAGGTAAAGCAGGAAATACCGTGCCTTGTTAATAAGTAATTCCCTCATGATCCTTTTCCCCAGGAACTTGGGTGAGAAATCATAACCTTGTCCTGATCTTTCTAAACAGCAATTTAGCATTTTCATCTCCCTGGCAACCCAAGGCGCCTTGGCCTTGGTCTTCCGAGTGATTGACAGTGACCCCACCCAATAAAATCTTTTTATTTGTCGTATCTAACCAATCTAACCCCTAGCGCAGAGCTAGGGGGCGTTCCCACCGGTGCGCGGGCGAGCTGAGCCTTCCTTACGTCTGCTGTGCGTCATCAGTCCGAGCCAAGGGCACTATTGGCCAGTTCCGTTCAACGAAGTGGTTGCTTTTTTTAGTTCCGGCAATGAGTTGCGCCGGGGCGGCGGCGGCTCCCCGCCTTTGGCGGCTGCGCCCGGGGGCCCGGCGGTCCCTCTCAGGTAAAAGGAGGCGCGCAGTCACAGTCCTGCGCCGGTCTAGCGAGCTAGGGAATTTTCGCTTGAGGTTTGGGTCGAAGAGGTCACGGGGGAGAGGTTCGTAACGTCACAGGCCTGCGACGGAGCGCGACTGCGTGACTTCGGCCTCCGGGGCGCTGGCGGGCGGGGCGGGGTCTGTAGTTAGCGGCGAGAGTGACAGGAGGACAGGGGTTGTTTCGGCAGTGACGCCTGGGGAGTGACGCAATTGCACCCCTGTGCAGTGATGTCACGGCAGGTGCGGCCAGCGTTCCGAGTCGAGGACAGTTGGCGACACTGAAAATTCAGCGTCTCCGGGAGTCTCTCTCTTTGTAGTCTTTGCCCAGGGCCTTGCCAGGCAAAGGGTAGCCCGACGACCAGCAGCCTCCGCTACTTCTGGGCGCTCGCTAGAAATACAGATTCTCGGGCCCCACCCCGACCTACTTGGTCGGTATCTGTGATCTGTGAACAGGACCTTTAGGTGATTTGCATGCACTGTAAACTGTGAAAGCCATCAGTGTAGTGGAAGGAGCATCGAATTTAGAGTAGAGAGACATGGTTTTGGACCCTGGTTCCTGCTTTCCTTGTTTCATCTGTGCTGCCTTAGAAAATTGTCATGAGCCCGGGCGCGGTGGCTCCGGCCTATAATCTCAGCACTTTGGGAGGCCGAGGCTGGAGGATCCCCTGAGGTCAGGAGTTTGAGACCAGCCTGGCCAACATGGTGAAACCCCGCCTCTACTAAAAATACAAAAATTTGCCAGGCGTGATGGCAGGTGCCTGTAATCCCAGCTACTCAGGAGGCTGAGACAGGAGAATCGCTTGAACCCGGGAGGCAGAGATTGCTTTGAGGCGAGATTGCACCACTGCACTGCAACCTGGGCGTCAGAGCGAGACTTTGTCTCCCCCGCGCAAAAAAAAAAAAAAAAAAGAAATTTCATGAAGTCGTTTTCTCAACGTTAAATTACCGTGTACCACTTTCGGGATTTTTGCCTAATGGCAGTACTGCTTGAACTTTTGATTACTAGATGTGTTTTTTTGTATAGCTATGTCCCATTTAAAAATTAAATTAATTTCCTTGAAACAAAATCCTTATGGTGAATGGGAAGCCAGTGCCACTTGCCACAAATGGGTGAGTAATCATTAAAAAAAAACAAACAAATTAAAAAGTTATGAAATTGTATTAAATACTGTCTTTCTGTTACAAAGGGGAAATTAGCAAGTGTTGGGAAAGTGTTAAGGCTATACCAGCTGTAAATGGAGTTATCTTCCTTAATGAAAGAGATTGCAAGAGATTTTGAAAGAGTACCCCTTACTACATGGGGTTATTTGCTGCATATCCATAAGCCACTTAATATTTTGTAGGTACCACACTGGCATGTTTCACACTTTGGGAAAATATGGACATAAAGTGATGCATTTGAGAGCTAGCACCGAGCCTCAATTTTACTTTAAAGTATATGGTAATGCAGGCAAAACTCCGAGGGTTGTTGAATGTGAATTTTAATGCTGCTCTGTTCAGCCAGTGAGCATAACAGAATAAGACTCATTTCTGTTTATAAAGTTACTTTGCTTCTTATATCTTATTTTATCCTCATAACTCAGTAAGAAAAGTTTATTATTGTATGTTTTCCCTTAAAAAGGAAAGAGCCTGATTATTGCCTTTTTTTTTTTTTTTTTTTGAGGCAGAGTCTTGCTTTGTCGCCCAGGCTGGAGTGCAGTGGCGCGATCTCAGCTCACTGCAACCTCCGCCTCCTGGGTTCAAGTGATTCTCCTGCCTCAGACTCCCGAGTAGCTGAGGCTGCATGCATGCACCACCACGCCTGGCTAATTTTTGAATTTTTGGTAGAGACGGGGTTTCGCCATGATGACCAGGCTGGTCTCGAACTCCTGACCTCAAGTGATTCTCCCTCCTTGGCTTCCCAAAGTGCTGGGATTACAGGCGTGAGTCGCCGCACCCAGCCAATTTTATATGTAAGAAATGTCGATCCTGATTTTCCCAAGGCTAGTGTTAGAGATGGGACACATGTTTTATGCTTCTTTTTTTCTTTTTTTGAGACAGAGTCTCACTCTGTCACCGAGGCTGGAGTGTAATGGTATGATCTTAGCTCACTGCAGCCTTTGCCTACTGGGTTCAAGTGATTGTTCTGCCTCAGCCTCCTGAGTAGCTGGGACTACAGGCACGTGCCACGATGCCTGGCTAATTTTTATATTTTTGGTAGAGATGGGTTTTCACCATTTTGGCCAGGCTGGTCTTGAACTCCTGGTCTCAAGCAGTCCACCTGCCTCAGCTTCCCAAAGTGCTGGGATTACAGGCATGAGCCACCACACCCGGCCTATGCAGTCTCTTTAGTCAGATATGCTCAGTGAGATGGAGAGGATCATGGCGAGGAGTAGACCAAAGCTGGGTCACTATGCTTCAGAACTTAGGTCCACGCTTCTTTGTTAAAAGTGTGACATTTACAACCCCATCTGGTAGAAGATTTCAAGTTCAGAGCCACCCCAAATTTCACCAACCCACCTCACTACCTTGTGTCCAAAGCACTCAAGCCTTTGTCATGAAAGAACCACATATGTATCTAAAATGAATTTTTTCCACATATTCGCTGGCTGTTGAAGTTAGCCTAAGTGAAAAGAAGTTTGCATAAAAGACATGGTAGTCACGGCTAAGAGCCCTAAAACATTACAAAGTGATACCAATGCTGGCTGGGCATGGTGGCTCACGCCTGTAATCCCAGCACTTTGGGAAGCCAAGGTGGGAGGATTGCTTGAGCTCAGGAGTTCGAGACCAGCCTGGGCAACATGGTGAAACCCCGTCTCTACTAAAAATATAAAAATGTAGCTGGGCATGGTGGCACCTGCCTGTAGTCCTAGCTACTCTGGAGTCCTAGCTGCTCTAGAGGCTGAAAAAGGAGAATTGCCTGAGTCTGAAAGGTGGAGTTTGCGGTGAGCCAAGATCGCACCTCTGTCTCCAGCCTGGGCGATACAGTCAGAGTCTGTCTCAAAAAAAAAAAAAAGTGATACCAGTGCAGATCGAAGCTACCATTACAAACTAAATGACCCTTAGGTCACTATTTTCCGTATCTGCAAAATGAGGTGAATACACCTTACACACCTAAGAATGCTGCAAAACTCCTCTCTGGCAGGGAAAAAAACCTTTTGAGTTACTCTAATATAAGGCTCAGAGAATATAATTAAGGTGTTAAGGTTAGGAGATTTATTTTTAAAGATAAAATATAATCTGTCATGAAGAATTTACATTTTGAAGATGAGAGTTCATTTGAATTGATTTTGGAGCATAATGAAGTGAAATCTAGGCTCCAAGGCTAGTCTCAAAATCGAATGCCCAACGGTGTGGGGTTTTTAATTTTTTTTTCTGTTTTTGTTTGTTTGTTTGTTTTTGTTTTTAGACAGAGTCTCACTCTGTTGCCCAGGCTGGAGTGCAGTGGCACGATCTTGGCTCACGGCAATCTCTGCCTCCCGGTTTCAAGCTATTCTCCTGCCTCAGCCTCCCGAGGAGGTGGGATTAAAGGCACACGCCAACACACCCAGCTAAATTTTGTATTTTTGGTAGAGATGGGGTTTCACCATGTTGGCGAGGCTGGTCTCAAACTCCTGACCTCAGGTGATCCATTCTCCTTGGCTTCCCAAAGTGTTAGGATTACAGGCATGAGCCACCGCGCCCGGACAGGTGTGGATTTTAAGAGAACTTAGTCTGTGGTTCTCAGCCTTGGCTGAAGAGAAGACTTATGCACAGAGCTTCTAAACAATATCAGTTCAGAGAGCCCCCTCCCAGAGATTGACTGGGGAAGAGCACGGTGTTTTTGAAAGCTCTGTATGGGCCTCTCCTGTACAGCCTGGGCTGGGGCGAAGTGGGCCAGAGGGTTGGTGAACTGGAGAACCATGCTCATCTAGAAGCGGTTGCCATGTTAACTGCCTGGTAAGAAGGTAGGCTCAGCATTTCCAGATCTTCATACACTTAAAGTGAAACCAGAAATCCAGATCTTTAGGTAAAATCCTCTGTTTTAACACTGTAGGTTAAACAGAGTCCGTTTATGGGCACGCCTGGCCCATGGGGAACTGATTTGTGACCTCCATCCCAAAGTGCCCTTTCTGCTGTCTGTAAAAGGAACATCTGGATTTTACCTGATCATAACGAAGAATAAACACTTGCATTTCAGCTTATGGAAGAAGAACCAGTGTCAGATTTCGCAGTTCAGGAATGACTTTAGACAATATCAGTCGGGCAGCTGTGGATCGAATAATCCGGGTGGATCATGCAGGCGAATATGGAGCAAACCGCATCTATGCCGGGCAGATGGCTGTCCTGGGTCGGACCAGCGTCGGGCCAGTCATTCAGGTGGGTGCTTCTTCATCTCCCTCACCCTGGTCTACTGAATGGGCAGATCCAAAGGACTTCAAGTAATGAATCATGGGAGGTCAAGCGTTCCCTAGGGAGATGCCATTGTCTCCAGGAGAGCGAAGGTTGGTTCTTGGTGGAGATGGGGAGCAAAAAGCATATTGTTCTTTTTATGGATAAAGCACAGAGAGACATCTAGTACATAGACAGGTATGCGGTATATCTTTGGTATCAGTACTCCATGGCGGGGGCAGGCAGTAATGAAAAAAGGTTAAGAATCGCTCAGCACAGCAGTCAACTGTGCTGAAATGTTGCAGCCCTGCCCCCTACCGTGCCAGAGAGGTATTGTATCCCAAGAGGCTATGGGAGGACCTGAAATTTGTAGTTACACAGACCTGGTTCACATTTTGGCTCTCTCCCACCTCCTACCTGTGCGACCTTGAGGATGGCACAGGACTTCTCTGGGTTTCCATTTCCGTATCTGCAAAATGGCCTCATAATGGCCTGGGTTTGGGTAAGGAACCGGGTCTGGCCCATAAAGGTCAAGTTAGTACAAGTTAAATGGCCTGCCCTGAACCCTTGGGCAAGCTACTTAGCCTCTCTGTGCTTCAGTTTGTTGTGTATACTGGCGCAGTCATAGTGTGTCCTTCACAGGGATTGTGTGGATTGAATGAATTGCTTGCATGAAGCTATTTGATGGCCCCTGGCACTTAGGACGTGCCATCTAAGTGTTAGCTGCAGCTAGCATTCTCCCTTTTTCCTCTGATGTAAATAATATTCAGGGCCGGGTGTGGTGGCTCACGCCTGTAATCCCAGCACTTTGGGAGGCCGAGGCCAATGGATCGCTTGAGCCCAGGAGTTTGAGACCAGCTTGGGCAATGTGATGAGACTCCGTCTCTACGAAAAATACAAAAATTAGCTGGGTGCAATGGCTCACACCTGTAATCCCAGCACTTTGGGAAGCTGTGGCGGGTGGATCACCTGAGGTTAGGAGTTTGAGATCAGCCTGGCCAACAAGGCAAAACCCTGTCTCTACTAAAAATACAAAACAAATCAGCCAGGCATGGTGGTGCATGCCTGTAGTCCCAGCTGCTTGGGAGGCTGAGGCAAGAGAATCACTTGAACCTGGGAGGCAGAGGTTGCAGGGAGCTGAGATCGCACCACTGCACTCCAGCCTGGGCAACAGAGTGAGACTCCGTCTCAAAAAAACAAAAAAAACCGCACACACACCACAAAATTAGCCAGGTGTAGTGGCATGTGACTGTAATCCCAGCTAATTTGAGAGGCCGAGGTGGGAGGATCGCTTGATCCTGGAGGTTGAGGCTGCGGTGAGCCATGAGCTTGCTACTGCACTACAGTCTGGGTGACAGAGTGAGACCCTGTCTGGAAACAAACAAACCACAACAACAACAAGATGATGCTATTCTAGTAATCTGGAAGGAAATTACACAACAGCCAATGTTCTGCCTTCCTGATTTTGAAATGGGTTAAACATGTCATTTCTTATGTGTGTAGACCCTTGTCATTTACTGGGCACATTGTGGGCCTGAGAGACTTCTGCTGCAACCATGGCTCATGGCAGTCTTAACTGGAATTGAGATAATAGACTGTTTTGTATTCTTGGTGCTCTCTTCTCTTTGTCACAGATTCCTTTAGTCTGATGTTTTACTGTTTCCATTGACGTTTTGAGGGGAATGGGGGAGACAGCAGTTCCATCATTTTCTCCGTTTCTGCTTTGCTCCCTGTATGCCGCTTGGATGAGTGGGAGGCCTCTATGGAATGCTTGCATGTCTTTATTTTTATGTTTCTTGCAGAAAATGTGGGATCAAGAAAAGGACCATTTGAAAAAGTTCAATGAGTTGATGGTTACGTTCAGGGTCCGGCCAACAGTTCTGATGCCCTTGTGGAACGTGCTGGGGTTTGCACTGGGTACGTGTCTCTCTAGAAGAGCTTATGCAAGCTTGGGGATCTAGGATGATTAAATCCTTCAGGTATCATGTTCACAATTCTTGCTGTGTCCTCTTATGACCTCATTCTGTTTACTTCATATTTTTCCGAGGTTAAATTGACTGCCTTTTTTTGTGTGTGGTTAAATTTATTTAAGATAGAATCTTAATGTCAGTACTTTAAAAAAAAAGGCCGGGCGTGATGGCTCACACCTGTAATCCCAGCACTTTGGGAGGCCGAGGCGGGCAGATCATGAGGTCAGGAGTTCGAGACCAGCCTGAACAACATGGTGAAACCCCCGACTCTATTAAAAATACAAAAATTAGCCGGGCATGGTGGTGCGTGCCTGTAATCCCAGCTACTTGGGAGGCTGAGGCCAGAGAATCGCTTGAACCTGGGAGCTGGAGGTTGCAGTGAGCCAAGATTGGCCCACTGCACTCCAGCGTGGGTGACAGAGCGACACTCTGTCTCAAAAAAAAACCAAAACAAAACAAAAAAAAACAAACCAGAGCCAGGGTCTCACTCTGTTGCCCAGGCTGGAGTACAGTGGTATAGTCGTAGCTCACTGAAACCTCAAACTCTTGGGTTCAAGTGATCCTCCCACCTAAGCCTCTGAGCCTGAGTATCTTGGACTACTGGCGCATGCCACCACGCACAGCTCTATTTTTTTTGTAGAGATGGGGTCTCGTTATGTTACCTAGGCTGGTCTCAAACTGCTGGCCTCAAGCCATCTTCCCTCTCTGGCCTCCCCGAAGTGCTAGGATTACAGGCGTGAGGCACTGCACCTGGCCTAATGTCAGTATTATAAATAGAAAATACAGTAAAAATAAACAACAGAGAAAAAAAGCTAGTAGAATTCAGTTGCAGCCAAATACTGTTCCCTGACAACGATTCTCAACCTGAGATCTGTTCACTCTTTTAAAAAACGGAGAAGAATAAATGGTATAAAAGATCAAAGATATACTCACCCCAAATGCTGACTTCTCTTGGCCACGGTCAGGATAAAACAGCATTGAAAAGAGAATGGTTTTTCTTAACTGTGTAATTCCAGGTTTAACACTGGGATCCAGTGTCTCCTAAAACAGTGGTTCTCCCTCAGGGTGAGTTTGTCCCCCTGATGAGGACATGTGGCAATACCTAGGGACATTTTTTTTTTTTTTTTTTTTTGAGATGGAGTCTTGTTCTGTCACCCACGCTGGAGTGCAGTGGCGTGATCTTGGCTCACTGCAACCTCCACCTCCCGGCTTCAAGCGATTTTCCTGCCTCAGCCTCCCAAGTAGCTGGGATTACAGGCGCCCACCACCACACTGACTAATTTTTGTATTTTTAGTAGAGACGGTTTCACCATGTTAGCCAGGTTGGTCTCGAACTCCTGACCTCAGGTGATCCGCCTCGGCCTCCCAAAGTGCTGGGACTATAGGCGTGATCCATTGTGCCCAGCCCTCGGGACAGTTTTGATTGTCAAAACTTAGTTGGCACTGCTGGCATCTAGTTGGTAGAGGTCAGAGATGCAGTTAAATATCCCACCATGCATGGGACAGCCCCTGTCACAAAGAATGACCCGGCCCGATGTCTGGTGCAGAGGTTAAGAAGCCCTGGCCACAGATGGTCTCCATTACCGGTCATATCTGTCTCTTACTTTTCTGGTCTGGGTTTAACAATCCCAGGGGCGGGGACCGCCTTGCTCGGGAAGGAAGGTGCCATGGCCTGCACCGTGGCGGTGGAAGAGAGCATAGCACATCACTACAACAACCAGATCAGGACGCTGATGGAGGAGGACCCTGAAAAATACGAGGAACTTCTTCAGGTATTTATCCGTGCTCTAGAACGGGGCTGCTCAAGGAGGAAAATGGCAGATAGCAATTGGGTAAGAGGAAAACATGTTAGAGATTGTTAGGGGATGATGGGGGTTTAGAGGCTCAGGTCAGTGCCTCAGTTTAAAGGTGAGCAAACTGAGGAACAGAGAGGTGAACCCGTCTGCCCTGGCCATACAGCACAGACAGAGCTGGGACTAGAACCCTTGTCTCCTTTGTCTTTTTTCTTTTTATTTAGAGATGAGGTCTTGCTCCGTTGCCCAGGCCGGAGTACAGTGGCACAGTCATAGCTCACTGCATCTTCAAACTCTTGGGTTCAAGTGATCCTCCTGCCTCAGCCTCCCGAGTAGCTATGGGACTACATACATAGCCACCACTCACAGCTAATTTTTTTTTTTTTTTTTTTTTTAAGAGATGGGGTCTCACTATGTTTTCCAGGCTGGTCTTGAATTTCTGAGCTCCAGTAGTCCTCTCTCCTCAGCTTCCCAAAGTGCTAGAATTATAGGCATGAACCACCACATCCGGCCAGAACCCTTGTCTCTTGAGCCCTGTCCTGTTCACTTATTTTATTTTTAATTTTTAAAATTTTTTGTAGGCACAGTCTCTCTCTATGTTGTCCAGATTGGTCTTGAGCTCCTGGGCTCAAGTGATTCTTCTGCCTCGGCCTCCCAAAGTGCTGAGATTACAGGTGTGAGCCACACCACCTGGTGCTGTTCACTTTTTTTTTTTTTTTTTTTTTTTTTTTGAGATGGAGTCTCACTCTGTCCCCAAGGCTGGAGTGCAGTGGTCTCCGCCTGCATTGCAGCCTCCGCCTCCCGGGTTCCAGCGATTCTCCTGCCTCGGCGTCCCAGGTAGCTGGGATTACAGACATGCACCACCACGCCCAGCTAATTTTTGTATTTTTAGTAGAGACGGGGTTTCACCATGTTGGCCAGGCTGGTCTGGAACTCCTGACCTCAGGTGATCCTCCTGCCTTGGCCTCCTAAAGTGCTGGGATTGCAGGCGTGAGCCACCGCGCCCGGCCCACTTCTTTATCATTGGTAGATTCTGAGCAGATGCTGTGAGCAGGAACCCTTTAGATTGAATAAATGAATAGATATCCTGAGATAATTTTCCACAGCAAATAAGGGAACTGTTTAGTTTTTTAGAGTCTAAATCTGAGGTTGGCAAACTATGGCCTGTGGCCAGCCACCTGTTTCTTTAAATAAACTTTTATTGGAACACAAGCACGTCCATTTGTTTGCATGTCTCCGGCTGCTTTTCTGGTTACAGTGGCAGAGTTGGGTAGTTGCAACAAAGTATTTACTCTCTGGCCCTTTAGAGGAAAAGCTGGCCTCCCTGTCTTAGGCCATAATAAGAGGCTTTAGCCTCCAAAATGAAATGGAACAGCAGGAGAGTTGGAAGGCTAACTTGCTTTGGTGTCTTTTTATTTAACCAGCTGATAAAGAAATTTCGGGATGAAGAGCTTGAGCACCATGACATAGGCCTCGACCATGATGCAGAATTGGTAGGGCCCTACTGTTACCTGTTCTGCTTTGGGACTCCTTATTTGGGAGGCTGAAGGGGCAGGAGGTTTCTGTTGCCAGAAAAATACATTTTAAAGTGACAGCGAAAGGGAGAGAAAACCAATGACGTTGCTTTGACAAAAAGCAAGCAAACGCATTATTGCTCCAGATTGGGAATCTCCTTTCTTGCTTTATGCCTTCTCCTTTTCCCCAGAAGCTTTTTTTTTTTTTTCCCAGACACAGTCTCACTCTGTCTCCCATGCTGGAGTGCAGTGGTGCAGTCTTAGCTCACTGCAGCCTCCTCCTTCCAGGTTCAAGCAATTCTGCCTCAGCCTCCCAAGTAGCTGGGATGACAGGTGCATGCCACCATGCCTGGCTAATTTTTGTATTTTTTATTTTTAGTGGAGACCGAGTTTTCACTGTGTTGGCCAGGCTGGTCTCGAACTCCTGACCTCAGGTGAGCTGCCTGCCTTGGTCTCCCAGGAGCTTCATTTCCTTTCCTGTGAGAATCTGGATGACTCCAATGCTTTGGCAGTAGTAGCAGAGGCATTCCGACCTTTTGAATAGCTTTCTTTGAAACTAAAATAAATTGTTCCTTAGATCTATTTCTTATCCAGAGAAATCCAAAGCCTGCCCTGCCAGCCCTGAATCTTACAACCGAAAATGAGCACATAACATGTTTCTTTGTTTGCTTATTGTTTTTAACAGGCTCCAGCCTATGCCGTCCTGAAGAGCATTATCCAGGCCGGATGCAGAGTGGCGATATATTTATCAGAAAGATTATAAAGTGTGTCCAGTTTTGCCTGTCTATAAAAGATGATAGTAATTTACCAAGTGACATTTGCAGAGAAACAGGTGTACAGTTATCGTTGTACTTTTGTACAATGTGAATTTTGTTAATAAATTATAAGGTTTGTTTTTTTTTTTTTAAACTCTGCAGTGTTGATTTTTCTCTGGGTTGTTTTTTCTGCCATGAGACCAACAGGTCACCAGCCTTGTTCAAGTTACAGCAAACGAAGCTGGGCCTTGTTTGGTCTCATACTTAATTTTCTTTTATATACATGTTTTTCTTTTACATGCATATATATATATTTTATTTTATTTTATGTTTTTTGGAGACAGGGCCTCGCTCTTTTGTCCAGGCCGGGTCACAACTCACTGCAGCCTGGACCTCCTAGCCTCAAGCAATCCACCCACCTCAGCCTTCCAAGTAGCTGGGACTACAGGTGTGCACCACCACAGCTGGCTAATTCTATTTTTTTATAGAGGCGAAGTCTCACTATGTCGCCAGGCTGGTCTCTAACTCCTGGGCTCAGTGATCCTCCCGTTTCGACTTCCCAAAGTGCTGGGATTACAGGTGTGAGCCACTTCACCAGGCCCATTTTCTCCTAAAACTTCAAGGACAAATCATTAATAATGTAACAGGAATCTTTAGGAGAAAAAACAATTTGGTTTACTGATAACAAAAGATAATTGGAAACATGAGAGTATTTGAGATTGGCCAAGCAGAACTATGAAGTCCATCAAGTAAGTCAAAGATCATCGTTTCTGTTTTGAATTGTGGGTGATAATGGGTGGGAGAGTGCTACAGTCTGTATGTCTGTGTCTCCCTAGAATTCATACGATGAAATCTTCACTCTCAAGTTGATAGAAGGTGGGGCCCTTGGGAAGTGTGAGGTCATGAGAGTGGAGCCCTCATGAATGGGATCAGTGCCTTATGAAAGGCCCTAGAGAGATACCTCATCCTCTCCACAGTGTGAGACTTCAAGGGGAAGTATGAGACTTCTCTGAGGAAGCAGACCCTTCACAAGCAAAATCAGCCAGCACTTTGATCACGGACTTCCCAGCCTCTAGGACTGTGAGCAATAAATGTTTGATGTTTATAAGCCACCCAGACTGTGGTATTTTGTTATAGCAGCCTGAACAGACTAAGACGGGGGTGTTGCTTCCATCAAAGGATGTACTAAGTTGTGGATTATTTGTGAAATTGAATTACAACCTTTTCCTTAAGGTCTTTTACCACCTCCCCCCCAAAAAAATCCCCCAAAACTGATTCAGATTTTCATACTTTAATGAAATATTTTATAATTTGCAAATTTTTAAGTAATTTATGAAAAACCTAGATCAGTGGATCTCCTCTCTGGCTGCCCATTAGAATGTCCTGTGGAGATTAAACTTTTTTTTTTCAGTTTATGGACCAAGAGTTTTGATTTATTTAGGGTGGAGTTCAGGATCAGAATGGTTTCAGAAGCTCCCAGGTGATTCCGGAGTGAGTTGGAGCTGCAAGCCCCTGAGCTAGATTATAAGATGCTTCTGGGAAAGAACCACATTTTAGGAATTTGCTTCCCACCCAGTGCCCTGCATTTAATCAGCACCTGATGACTTGGCAGGACTTGCCCCACCAGGGTCTGGCTTTGAAGGGTAGTGGACACCAGGATCCTTTGGATTAATCCTCTGCCACCTCTCTCTTTTCCTCAACCGAGAGTGAATTTATGTAATTGAGTGAAAGTCTACGAATCATAATTGTAATAAATTAAGGCTGGGCATTTGTTTGAAATTAGATAGGATAAAGCCAAAGGTTTGAACAAGTTGTGGATGGTTTGTAAAAATTAATCTTACAAAATAAATGCTGTGTGTGAACACGTTGATTAAATTCAAAAGGGTATTATTTGGTTTTTCTGTAAATTGAACCTTGAAATAAAAGCACAACAAGGTTTTCTTAAGGTACTGATCTGCTCTTTAACAAGAATTTGTAAAGGGTTATAAAAGGTTTACAAGAATCTCACCTCATGGTCAAACTAGTTAAGATTGGATAGATTTATCTATAAGGTATTATTAAAAATTGGGGATGACATTAATAGTAGACTGATGCAAGGATGACATTTGACTCTGTCTTGAACAAGATTTTTATGTAATAGTAAAGGATAATGAAAGATTTTTGTTTGCCTTGCAAATAAACTACCAAAAAAAGAAGGGAAAGGCAAGAGACAAATTGTTTGGAAAGTTGTCTTCCCTTTTAATGGGTAAAGGTTTTGTGCTTTTTAAAAAAGTTTTTGAGTCATCATTTTGGCTAATGATAACCTGGAATTCTATTTTATAATATCAAGTGTTTTAAACCTTTAATATGTTCAGTAGGCTTCCCCAAATCGAACTTTAGCTTCAAGATTGTCTTTTTTGACCCCTAACTTTTGGATGCCATAGAGGGCCCCTGGATTATTTGACATGTTTAATTACATGGGATTGCCAAAATAAGAATAATGTTTAATCTTATTCAGGTTACATTTTAGTGAATAACATTAATATATATATTAATATATGTTCCAAAATTGTATAAGATTTCTAAAATTCTAATATCTGAGTATATGATATCAATTATAATTAGGGTTATTATGTTAAGTTATTGTAAACCACAGAAATAACGAAATTTCTTTGTCAATTGTGTTTTTGACTGTGACTGTCTAAAGACATCTTGTGATTCACAGACAATCGTAGTCTTGTTTTGATCCTCTTCAAAAGGTGGTTTATAATCAGCTGTAGAACTTAGGTGCTCTTAAATGCATATTTCCAATATCTTTAGATTGTGATATTAGAATAAAGGAAAAACATTCAGGACTCATGAAGAGCTGAAATATTCATGAATATCAAGCAGAGCAAGAGTTAACTGAATGGGCTGAACTAATAGAAGACATGTAATCTGTTTAACTTTTTGCTTAAAACTTTGCTGATGTTTTGTTTTTCAGAGTCAAGAAAACTTTTATTTTGAGCTATTTACAGCTTTTAACAATTGAGTAAGGTATACTCCTGTGAACAAAATTTGGAGTGTATTTGTTCCTCTGCTGGTTTCTCTAGAATTCAGAAACTATTTGTGAGTATTCTTATGGCAATGTAGTTATTTGCATAAGTGCAACAAGAATCCATTTTCTTTTGCAACAGGACACAATTGGAGAAACTGGTGGTTTTACCAGTTTCTGATAGAAGGGTGTGCTTCCCTTTAAGGAATCAAGCTTGACTTGCAGAGCCAAAAAAAAGGAGAAACTGGCCTCATACCTTGTCTACACAGTCCTTGTACAGGGCTCCTAACCTGTGATGAGTAAAGAATGTCACTTTCTAACAGGTCCAGGAGCCCCAAGTTATCTTGGGACCTCAAGAAGAGAGGAATTTACCCAACTCATAGGTATTGGAGGGTACAAACCCATTGCTGGGCTTGACTTTAAAAAGTCTTTTCTGATATTCCTTATGGAACAGAATTCCATCAGAGCCAATTTTAAAAGCATATGTGAAAAATAATTATTCTTGCTGTACTTTATGCAAATAATCAGGCCAAGTATAAGACTAAAGTTTATTTTGCAAACAATCCTATTATGATTTGTTTTTAACAAAAATGAAGACTGGAGAGTTTCAAAACTTATCACACTTGTCATTAAATTCTAGTTTTATTAGTTGTTTTTAAGTTTTTGTCTGTATTTTAGACTAACCCTACTTATTCTGTGAACCAACCAGTGATCTCTGGCTGAAGCTCAGAAGAAACAAGGGATGGTTAATATAGAAATCTGGATCTGGATCAATATTCTAGAGGAGGCGGAGGTTGCCGTGAGTTGAGATCATGCCATTTTACTCCAGCCTGGGCAACAAGAGTGAAACTCCATCCCAAAAAAAAAGAAAAAAAGAAAACATGTTCAAACCAATCCTTGTACATGAATGCTCATAATAACTAAAAGTGGAAACAACTCATGTCCATCAACTGATGAACAAAATGGCAATATACCCAAACAAGGCAATCTTACTCAGCTATAAAAAGGAATAAAGTAGTGATACATGATACAACATGGATGAACCTTAAAAATATTATGCTTGGGTCCAGAGTTTCAGTATGGGAAGATGAAAATAGTTCTGGAAATGTATGACGTTGATTATTGAACAACAATGTGAATGTACTTAATGTCAATGGAATGTATTCTTAAAAATGGTTAAAATGGGGCCAGGCACAGTGGCTCATGCCTGTCATCTCAGCACTTTGGGAGGCCAAGGTGGAAGGATCGCTTGAGTCCAGGAGTTTGAGGTTGCAGTGAGCTATGAGAGCACCAGAACAGTCTAGCCTGGGTGACTTTGAGAAGAAAAAAAAAAAAGTTTAGGCCAGTTGCAGTGGCTCACGCCTGTAATCCCAGCACTTTGGGAGGCTGAGGCAGGTGCATCACGAGGTCAGGAGTTCAAGACCAGCCTGGCCAAGATGGTGAAACCCCGTCTCTACTAAAACTACAAAAATTAGCCGGGCGTAGTCCCAGCTACTCACGAGCTGAGGCAGGAGAATCGCTTGAACCCAGGTGGCAGAGATTTCAGTGAGCTGAGATCACACCACTGCATTCCAGCCTGGGCAACAGAGTGAGACTCTGTCTAAAAAAAAAAAAATAGTTAAAATGGCAAATTTTATGTATATTTTACCACAATTTTAAAACATGCTAAGTGAAAGAAGCCAGACACAAAAGGTCACGTATTGTATTATTCCACCTACATGAAATGTCCAGAATAGGCAAATCCATAGAAACAGAAGGTAGATTAGTGGTCGTCTAGGGCTGGAGGGGCGGGGATGGGGAGAAATAGGGAGTAACTGCTAATGGATACAGAGTGTTTTTTTGGGTGATAAAAATGTTCTAGAATCGGTGATAGTTGCACAACCTATACTTAAATTTACTGGATCATACATGTTAAAATTGTGAATTGTATGGCATGTAAATTGTCTTAGTCTGTTTTGTGTTGCTATAACAAAATACCCAAGACTGGGTAATTTATAAAGAAAAGAGATTTATTTATCTCACAATTCTGGTGGCTGGAAGGTCCAGGATTGGGCAGCTGTGTCTGGTGAAGGCCTCACACTGCTTCCACCAATGGTGGAAAGAGGAAGGGTAGTGGGCATGTCAAAGAGATTGAGACAGGATGCAAAAGAGTCAAACTGAGGAAGCCAGACACCTTTTAACAATGCACTCTCTTGGGAATTAACCCATTCCCAAGAAAGCGAGAACTCGCTCTTCCAGCAGGAGGACGTTCATCTATTCGTGAGGGATCCGCCTCGATCATCCAAACACCTCCCAACACTGCCACATTGGTGATCAAATTTCAACATGAGTTTTGGTTGGGACAAACCACATTGAAACTGTAGCACAGAGCAAAGCAATAGGAAAAATACAGGTGATTTAGTTTAGTTTTTTGTTTGTTTGTTTCTTTGTTTTAGGGTAGTTTTATGCAAATTTTAATTCTGGCTGTTAAATGAGAAAGCGATTTTGTACATTTACTACCCTTCAAGCCAGCAGAGCATGAAGAAACTTTCATCTTCTGAGACTCGGGTGCTATTTCTTGCCCTCCCATATCAAAGCTAATTTTATAAGTACTGCAGCCAGGAGTCTTAGTCCCATAAAGCACTTTGTACAATTCTTATTAAAAACCCAGGCTGTTTGTTTAGCCTCCCCTTCAGAATTGATGGCTGATGTTTTATGCTTCTGAGAGCTTCCAGAACAAGGCCAGAGAGATTTTTTGAATCTCCCTTTGATTGTTTTTAATTCCATTACAGCTTGTCCTTGTGTATTAACAAGGTAATCTTGTCTTTCTCTTACTTTCCTGATCTGACCTTTTAGGGAAAATGTGATTTTAAAATTGGACACTATCCAAAGATGATGGCAGGATGAGAAAGGATATTATTCTTGCAAGCACTGTAGTTCCAAGGAGGCGATCTGAACTATAGTTCTTTGCAAGTCTTTGATTCTCTCATTATTCAAAGTGTGGTTCATGGACCAAAGGCAGTGGTATCACATGGGAGCATGTTAGAAATGCAGAATTTGGGAATCTCTCCAGACCTACTCAAACAATTTGCATTTTAGAAAGATGTGGTGGTTTTAAAGTATGTCCACAAATTCCTTGATACACCTATGTTCGGTGGAGCTTGCTTCCCCTTGCCTTCCATGTGGGCTGTATTCAGTGACTTGTTTCTAACAAACAGAACACGGTGGAAATGAAGTGTGACATCCAAAGTTAGGTCATAAAAGACACTGTAAAGATTGGCCGTGTGTGGCTTACACCTGTAATCACAGCACTTCAGGAGGCCAAGGCAGGAGGTTTGCTTGAGGCCAGGAGTTCAAGACCAGCATGGGCAATATAGCAAAACCCTGTCTCTACAAAAAATAAAAATAAAAAATTAGCTGGGCATGGTGGCAGGTATATGCAGTCTTAGCTACTTGGGAGGCTGAGGTTGGAAGATCACTTGAGCCCGGGAGTTAGAGGCTGCACTAAGCTATGATCATATCACTGCACTCTAGCCGGGATGACAGAGCCAGATTCTGTTTAAAAAAAAAAAAGACACTGCAGCTTCCATCTTTCCCCCTGGGATTACTTACTCTTGGGGAAGCTAGCTGTCATGTCATGAGGATACTCAAGCACTTAATCTGTGGAGACGCTCACATGGCCAAGAACTGAGGCCTCCTGCCAATAGCCATGGGAGTACACCATCTTGCAAGTGAATCCTTTGGCTCCAATTCAGCCTTCAGATGACTGCAGCCCCCAACATGTTGACTCCAACCTCATGAGCGGCCCCAAGCCAGAATCAACCAGCTAAGTCACTCCTGAATCACTCAGGAGTGATTAGACCCTCAGCAACTATTTTAGATGATAAATGTTGTTTCCAGCTGCTGAGTGTTGGGGTCATTTGTTATGCAGCAATAGGTAACCAATACACCAGCTCCAGGTGATGTGGAAGCACGTTAAAAGTGTGAGGCGCACTGAGCCAGACCATAAACTCCTGCAAGGCAGACACCAATTTGGTCGTTTCCATGTCTTCAAGGCTTAGCGGAGTACCTGACATGCAATACATTTTTGTTGGACTAAAGACAAGGTTAAATTGCCCTGTTTTTAAAACATTAAAACTTTTTTTTGTAATAAAAATGCATGTATGCACATAGGAAAATATCCCAACAGTGCTAAAGGGTATTTACAGTGACAAGTAAATCTCCCTGTAGACTGTTGATTAACAGTAAATTGGTAAATCTGTTACCAATTTCCTTCGAGATAAGCTAGTAGCAACCTACCACTAAGTGCATTTTTCTCTTTTTTTCCACCTCCAAAAGTAATACTTGCCTCAAAATCAAATATAAACTGCATATAAGTAGAAAAAGGAAAGAGAAAAATAAAAAAAGGCTCTTCTTCCAAATGTTCCCTAGAAGCAACTACTATTAATAATTCAGTGTGTATCTTTCTGGATGGTTTTTAGAAATCTTTTATCCACATACATGTTTGAGTTTGTATTGTTCCCCAAATGGAATAATATTATGCATTGGATCTGCAATCTGTGCATTTCACTCGGTGACCTACACTGGCCATCTTCCCAAGTCAGTTCATAGAGCTCCATCTCGTTCCTTTAATTGGCTGCCATACTCTTCTATGAACCACTGCTGACCTGACCCAGCTCCTACCACAGCCCAGGCCTGTGGTTGAACCTCCTTGGCCTGGTTCCAGAGGCTGTAAACTTAACTACTAAGCCATTCTTCCTCCGCTTATCTTATCTTTTTGCCTCTTGGTGGACATCTGGGTTGCCTTTTTTTTTTTTTTTTTTTTTTCCTGAGACAGGGTCTCCTATTGTCCAGGCTGGAGGGCAGTGGGGTGATCATAGCTCACTGCAGCCTCAAATTCCCAGGCTCAAGCGATCTTCCTGCCTCAGCTTCCCAAGTAGTTGGGATTATGGGCGTGAGCCACACCACGCCCGGCCTGGGTTACTTCTAACACAGGCTTTTGGGGGCCCCCTAACGCTTAGGAGGACCATCTTTCAGAAGGAGGGACCCCTGGGAAGGAAGGACGAGCTCAAGGTTTTAACCCTTGGGAAGATCCCATACCTCTGATAATTTAATAAAAACACCAGACCCTCATTAAGGTCCTCCTTAAGATCCCTTGATCCAGGTGATTTGAGGCCAAGAAAACACAACCTTTCCCAACTCAGGGAAACCAAAGACACCTTTCAAAGTGGAGCTTCAGCCTCAACACCGCTCATGTCTGGCTTCTGCGGGTTCCCGAGAAACATCCCGGAGCGCAAAGCACTTTCCCACCTCATGTGTTCAGAGCTTGAAAAGGCGCTTCTCGCCCCCAGGACGTGCGTCCTCCCACTTCTGCCTCTGAAACGGCAACCCTGAGGGGCTGAGCCCGAGCACTGCAGGTTCTTTCATCCTGGATCGCGTAGAGATCGGCTCCCGGGCGCGCCAAGGGCAAAGAAGGTCTCGGGCCCTCGGCGCCCGCCTGTGTCCGGCAGAGGGCGCCCGCGCCCCACGCTGCGAACCCTGCGAGGCTCTGTTGCAAGGCCGGCGGGACAACGCCCGGCAGGAGGGCCGGGTCATTGCTGCGCGTTATATATGGTACATATGATACCCTGGCCACAATCCTCCAGTCCCGCGATCTCGACTTTGTTGAACGGGAACTGATGTCACGTGTGTGCACGGCCAGAGGCGGAGGGCTCGGCTGGCTGCTCCAGTCTGCGCCGTCCATGCGTCTCGGGTGTCCTATCCCGGAGGATACATTTTTCTTTTTCAGAAAAGGGAAACAGGAAAACGGGGACGATTAGACTCTATCTAGGGGAGCCATGTGGAAAAACCAGCTTCAGGCATCAGACAACATCCAAGGGGCTGCACTGTTTTTTTGTTTTTTTTTTCTGTAAGAGACAGGGTCTTGCTATGTCGCCCAGGCTAACCATAGCTCACTGCAGCCTCTAACTCCTAGGTTCAAGCGATTCTCCTTCCTCAGCCACCTAAAGTGCTGGGGTTACAGGTGTGAACCACCATGCCCATCTAATTTTTTTTTTTTTTTTTTTTTTTTTTTTGAGACGAAGTCTCGCTCTTGTCCCCTAGTCTGGAGTGCAATGGCACGATCTCGGCTCACTGCAACCTCCGCCACCCAGGTTCAAGCGATTCTCCTGCCTCAGCCTCCCGAGTACCTGGGATTACAGGTGCGTACCACCACACCCAGCTGATTTTTTAAATTTTATTTTAAGTAGAGACGGGGTTTCACCATGTTGGCCAGTCTGGTCTCGAACTCCTGACCTCAGGTGATCCACCGTCTCGGCCTCCCAAAGTGCTGGGATTACAGGCGTGAGCCACCACGCCCGGCGCCCATCTCATTTTTATTTTTATTTTTAATGACGAGGTCTCACTATTTTGTCCAGGCTGGTCTCGAACTCCTGGCCTTAAGCGATCCTGCCTCAGCCTCCCAAAGTGTTTCTTTCTTTCTTTCTTTTGAGAATTTCTCTTTATGATACTTTCTTCCCTGCACTTAAAAAAAATCCAATTATATTTCCAAAATTAGAATTTCCCAATGTTTAACCCTGGATTTTTAACTGGGCATGCCAGTCAGAATAAACCCGAGATTAAAAAAAAAAAAAAAATCTATGAATGCTCCTGCTCTATCCAGTCCTACTGAAGCAGCAGCTATGGGGCTGGGCCTAAGGGATGACCGTATTATAAAAACTCCCACAGGACCTCTGATGTGTAGCCCTGGTTAAGAAGCAATGGTTTAAGCCGGGTGCGGTTTCCAGCACTTTGAGAGGCCGAGGCAGGCAGATCACTAGAACTCAGAAGTTTGAGACCAGGCTGTGCAACACAGGGAGACCCTGTCTCAATAAATTTGGCCGGGCGCGGTGACTCACGCCTGTAATCCCAGCACTTTGGGAGGCCAAGGCGAGTGGATCACTTGAAGTCAGGAGTTCAAGACCAGCCTCACCAACTTGGAGAAACCCTGTCTCTACTAAAAATACAAAAATTAGCCAGGTGCGGTGGCAGGTGCCTGTAATTTCAGCTACTCAGGAGGCTGAGGCAGGAGAATCGCTTGAACCCTGGAGGTGGAGGTTGTAGTGAGCTAAGATGGTTCCACTGAACTCCAGTCTGGGTGACAGAGCGAGACTCCGTATCAATAATAATAATAATCATAATATTAATAATAATTTTTTAAAAAGAAGAAGCAATAGTTTAATTCCACAAAAGCATTCATCCTAAATCTGCTTCTGCTTGGATGTACTTTCCCCGCTTTACATCCTACTTGCCTGGGCTGATTCAGGATGTCCATTCTGTCCCGCTTTTCCTGCACTGTTTTCTGCTAGGATATGACCTATTGTTCCAATTTTCTGTAACTTATTCAGTGCTGTGACAGCTGGAAACATGTTTCAGACCAAGCTGTCTTTGCCAGGTGGAAACAATGGCAAACACCCATGCTTCCCATTCTGCTGGGGCGGCAGCCTCTCTATGGTATTTTCCATGCCTAATTTCTAAATGGCTTTATTGCAACAATTAAAAAAAAAAAAACCTGCACGGGAATGACACCTGTTGCACTTACTTATTGATGCTCTGTGTATGTGTGTATGTTTAAATAAGACCACATGGGCACTTAAAGAATAATTATTGGAGTTATTCATTTGACCGCTTTAAGGGCACACATTATTCTAAGTGCTGAGGAATAAAAGAATTTTAGAACATGAAATTCATATTTTCCCCTTATATCATTTAAAAGCAACACAAAACATTTCACTTTTGCTTCTTTGGAGGACAGCGGCACCATCATAGCTCACTGCAAACTTGGCCTTCCAGGTTCAAGCGATTCTCCTGCCACAGCCTCCCAAGTAGCTGGTATTACAGGCGTGCACCACCATGCCTGGCTAATCTTTGTATTTTAGTAGAGATGAGGTTTCGCCATGTTGCCCAGGCTGGTCTTGAACTCCTGGCCCAAAGTGATCTGCTCGCCTCAGCCTCCCAAAGTGCTGGGATTACAGACGTGAGCCACCTTTGCTTCTAATAGGAAGTTATTAGCTCTGCTAAATCAGGGATCCAGAGGGCTCTTTCTTCAGGTATTGCTTGATCCAGGAACTGAAACCAAACATTCGACTTTTCTTTCTCTTTCTCTCATTTCACTGCTTTCCACAGTGTTGATATTAGGCTCACAGTGACCCTCTCCCCACCCCCCCGGCCCCGTGGTCCTCCTCACCTATGGCAGCAAAATGGCCATAGCACTTCTATATAGGACATCCTAACACTCCTCCATCCACAAGAAAGATGACAGTCTCTTCCTCTTGCTTCTGCAGAACACAGGGAAGCTGCTAGAATCCACAACACACACCCCTTCCCCATCTCTAGCCTTACTTTTCCCCAATCAGGTTACATTCCTGACCCTCCACCAATCACTGTGGACTGGGGAGGCCTGTGGAGCTCTCATTGGCCAGGCCTGGCCACATGGCTACTCCTGCAGCAGGTGGAGTGGGAAAAACTCCACCCAAGCCCGGTGGGCTGAGAGTTGGGTAGGGGTGGTTCCCACAGAGGAAGCCAGAGTCGTGTCCCAGAAGAGAGAACAGATGTTGGGCAGATCAAAAGGCCTAATGTCCCCTGAGCCCAGGAGGTCAAGATGTAGTCAGGACTTGAGAGTGGATAACAATTAGGCAGTGGGGTCAGGATGGCCTGGAGACAGGAAGACGGAACCCAGTGGGGGACATTTAGGTAGTGCTGGTCTTGAGGGTGGGTGAAGACCTGGGTGAGAGCTCTATGGGGACCCAGAGGCAGTGTAGTGTAATGGGCTACACCACCAGTGGCGGGGATGGGAGAGGTATCCTTGCTTACCACTTACCAAGTGTTACCCAACTTCTAATGTTCTTACTTGTAAAATGAGAACACCTGGGTTGTCATGGCTGAACCTTGAAAACAATATGCTAAGTGAAGGAAGCCAGTCACAAAACACCACCTATTGCATGATTCCATTTACCTAGAATGCCCGGCATAGGCAAATCTGTAGAGACAGAAAGTAGGCTGGGCATGGCGGCTCACGCCTGTAATCTTAGCATTTGGGAGGCCGAGATGACAGATCAACTGAGGTCAGGAGTTCAAGACCAGCCTGGCCAACATGGAGAAGCCTCATCTCTACTAAAAATATAAAAATGAGCCAGGTGTGGTGGCGTATACCTGTAATCCCAGCTACTTGGGAGGCTGAGGCATGAGAATCGCTTGAACCCAGGAGGCGGAGGTTGCAGTGAGCTGAGATCGCGACACTGCACTCCAGCCTGGGTGGCAGAGTGAGACTCTGTCTCAAAAAAAAAAAAAAAAAAAAAAAGAAAAGAAAGTAGATCAGTGAGTGCCTAGGGCTAGGGGGAACTGGGGCATCAGAGGCTAATGGCAAAGGGTGCAGGATTTACCTTTGCAGCAATGAAAATGCTCTAAAATAGACTGTGATGATGGTTGCATGACTCTGAATGTATACCTTAAATTGGTGAATTGTATGGTATGTAATTATATCTCATTAAACTTTATTTGAAGGTTAATGTATTAAGTGCTTTGGACAGTGAGTGCCTAGTCCACCCCCCCTGCATGCCTTCTCAATCCACAGGTCATAGCATCCTCTTACAGATGCAGGTCCTTGGAAGCATCACCAGCCTTCAATCATAAGTTCCCTTCATCCTGTGCTGACCTTTCTGACCAGTCCCCTCATTCAGTTCCCTTCAATAAGCCTCTTTTCCATGTGCCTCTCTTTCCTGCCAGGATAGAAATCAACTCTCCAGAAAAGAACAGATGTTGGTGACTAATTGGAAAGGACCTGGGATGGTTAATTTTGTGTGTCCACTTGACTGGGCCACAGGGTGCCCAGACATTTGCTCAAACATTATTCCGGGTGTGTCTGTGAGGGTGTTTCTGGGTCCGATGAACATTATAGTCAATAGATTGAGTAAGGCCGACTGCCCTTCCTAATGTGGATGAGCCCTGTCCAATCAGTTGAAGGTTTGAATGGAACAAAAAGGCTGAGTAAGAGGGAGCGCCTCCTGTCTGACAGCCTGCAAGCCGGGACATCGTTTTCTTTCTGGCCTTCAGACTTGAATTGAAACATTGGTCTTTCTTGGGTCTCAAGTCAGTGACTTTTGCTGTTGTTGCTGATGGTTTTCTTGAGATAGGGTATCACTCTGTCACCCAGGCTAGAGTTCAGTGATCTTGGTGTGATCTTATGTCACTGCAACCTCTGCCTCCCAGGCTCAAGCAATTCTCCTACCTCAGCCCTCTGAGTAGCTGGGACTACAGGTACGCGCCACCATGCCTAGCTAATTTGTGTGTGTGTGTATATATATATATATATATATATATATATATTTTTTTTTTTTTTTTTTTTTTTTTTTTTTGTCGTGATGGGGTTTCACTATGTTGCCCAGGTTAGTCTTGAACTCCTGGACTGATACAGTTTGGCTGTGGTCCCACCAAAATCTTATCTTGAATTGTAGTTCCCCCAGGGGGAGATAATTGAATCATGGCGGTGGTTTTCCCCATCCTGTTCTTGTGATAGTGAGTGAGTTCTCATGAAATCTGATGTTTTTATAAGGGGCTTCCCCCTTTGCTGGGCACTCATTCTTCTCTCCCCTGCTGCTATGTGAAGAAGGACGTGTTTGCTTCCCCATCCACCATGATTGTAAATTTCTTGAGGCCTCCCCAGCCATGCAAAACTGTGAGTCAATTAAACCTCTTTTCTTTATAAATTACCCAGTCTCCAATATGTATTAGCAGCATGAGAACGGACTAATACAGGGACTTAAGCAATCCACCCCTGCCTTGGCCTCCCAAAGTGCTGGGATTACAGGCGTGAGCCACTGTGCCTGGCTCAAGTCAGTGACGTTTGGACTGGAACGACACTATCAGCTCTCTTGGGTCTCCAGCTAGCCAACTGCAGATCTTGAGACTTCTCAGCTTTCATAATTGCTCTGAGCAAATTCTTTATAATAAATCTCTCTCTCTCTCTCTCTCTCTCTCTCTGTGTGTGTGTGTGTGTGTGTGCGCGCGCGCATTGGTTCTGTGATTCTGTTTCTCCAGAGAACCCCAACAATTACAAGACCTCAAGATGAGTCAGTGATGAGTTTAAGGCTGAATGACTAGGAAAACGATCAAAATATAGGACAAAAATAAGGAAGTCAAGGGAAGTGATTCATTTCAGGGGAAGTTTTTTTGTTTATTTTTTCATTCACAAACATTTATTTGGCATGTGCCCTGTGCCAGATAGAATTCCAGCCACTGGGGATTGAAAGTTCCACACAGTTGCCTAAACTAGAGGCCAACATGTATTCTTTCTTCAGCCTCACCCTCAACATCTAATTAATCTTAAAACCTGAAATTTCACCTGCTTGCATTGCTTTCAAATCTATTT